>NC_000012.12:104429824-104732855 GCF_000001405.40 Homo sapiens | reverse complement strand
GCAAAATCAGTCCCCATTTGTTTTGCCATCTGGTCTCATCAGTGATTAGGAAGCTGGGGAGGAGGATGCCAAAAAGAATCTGGAGACTGGGGGTATCAATAGATGATGTGAGCACCTGGGTGTGGCAAATGCCCCGGTGACAGCAACACCAATCGGATACCTGACTGAGCTCAGGTTTGGATATGGACACTTGGACAGGAGGGACATTTGGTGGCTAAGCCCCAAAAGGTGTTTTATTACCTAGTGCTGTGCATGACAGGCACTCCCGCCTGTTACTTCACCCTTAGACCCTTAGAGGGTGGGTTGGGGAAGGGAGAAGAGACGTGAGGAGACTCAGAGATAGGGCAAGAAGGTCTATTTCTAATGTGATGAAAGGTGAATTTTTAAAAAGTAAGTAAAATCCATTGATTTAGTTTTCAGGCCATCTATAAATGTCCCTGGGGTCAAAACTTACGAAAACCAGCCACTGAGTCTAGCTTTTCTGCCAGGACCCTGTCAAAGGCTGGGGAGGCCCTTAGGGAAATAGGGATCACTGCTTTCATCTTTCTGAGGCACCCACGTCTTTGGGAGAAGCCTTGCTGGGGTCTGGCTTATGGCACATAGGCGAACAGAAGGACAGGCTCCTGGCACAGCCAGGTCCATGCCAGCAAAGCTCACGAACCCCAGGGGGCCCAGCCACCACAGGGCATGGCCATAACCTGCCACCTCCTGCTTCTGAGCCACTGATGCTGAGGTGTACCCAAATAAAACTGACCACCAGCAGCGCAATCCTCTTCCCTGGAGGGACCGAGCATAGCTGTGGAGCTGGTTGCAGTTTCTCCTGCCCTAGGACAGAGGGGAGGATGTTGGGGTGGACTTTCTGCCATCACTGCTGATTCCCCCAAAATGCCACCAAAGGCCAATCTGCTGGGCTGCCAGCCCCTGGGGCAGGCTCATCTGTCTCATTCACAGCTCTATTCCCAATGCCCAGTACGTTGGGGATTAAACAGTATTTAGTAAACAAATGCACCTTGAAGGAGGCCGCAGTTGCGTTGGTGCAAAACTACATTTTGGAATCATGACACGGATGGACATTATGCCAGGGAAGGAAGGGAACTAAAAATAGGAAACCTTTACTTGGTGCTGGAAACTGGACACATTATACCCCGAATCCTTTCAACCCTGAGAGGTGGACATGCTCAGCTCCAATTTACAGATGGAAACGCTGAGGCCCGCAGAGGCTGAGTCCGTGGTCCCGAGTCTCAGGGGTGCGGGGGTTTACACCCAGTTTGCTTACTCTCCTATTACAAAATGTGGCCTTAGAGCCACAGCCCTCGAGCCCATTTTCAGAACAGGGATACCAGGTTCTCCCCTCTTCTCCTTCTGATCCCCCCAAAATAAAACCGGGAGAAGCCTTTCAGGTCTGTTTTCATACTTCCAGCCCAAGCAGGACTTACTCTCTTAGGTCTCAGCAGCATAGACAGCCACCTCGCTGCACAGGCTGGAGGAGGATGACATCTCTTTGGTGTACTTCTTTCGGCTTTGGTTTGCTTACGGATTGAACTGCCTGTTTAGTTTGCTGGTGGGAGTGTCCCTGTTCGGGCTGCCCTTGTTTTCCAGGGCGGGGGCAGCCGTGTCTGGGTGATAGATACATTCACCCTCCATGCCTCTAAGCCATGTCGTGTACAGTAAGTTAGCCCTCCGATGAGGGTTCTGGTCAATTTGGGTTCTCTGGCTTGGAAGGATGCAGGAGACAGCCAATGTCAAGGCACACAGATAAACAAGATGAAATGGAGCTGGCAGCCAGGACTGGCCTGAGGAAGACAGCTCGTAAGTGGAGCACGGACAGCAAATGTTCAGGATGCAGGACAGCTGCAGCAGTCCAGGGCAGAAGGTAAGATGGGCATCCTCTCCCTGGCTTTGACATTGAGGCAGCTGCAGTTAACTACCTCACAGCTGGGACCAGGGAGCTGTGGGGAACAGACTTTTCTGGCAGCTGCAACCCAGGAGCCTTGTAGAGCCCTTCTGGGAAACTGCTGCACCTTCCGTCCACTCCAAGTTGGCCTTGGATTCAACCTGGCCACTCCTAGAGATGAACAGTGTGGACGAGCAGAAGCCACTCCTCTCCCCATTTCTTCCCAAAGCAGAGGATAAAGGAGTGAGGATGTTATATCCTGGACTGGGACTTTTCATATGCCATTCCCTCCACCTGGAATGTCCTCTCGCCTTCCCATTCTGTCCTTTCAAGATCCAACCAAGTGTCTCCTCCTCTGGGCCCGTCGCTGGGCCAGCCACGCCACACTTTGTGCCACCTGCATCCGAGACACACCATTTCATCATACTGTGTCACAGGAGGCTATTTCATACCCATCCGGGCCCATCATGAGCTCTTGGTGCCTCTAGCCCCTCCCTCACACCTAGCATGGCAGGAGTTCAGTAAACAGTTGCCAGGTGAACACCTGTATCAGTGGCTAACATTTATTGTGCCCTTGCTAAATGTCAGGCCCTGCATCAAAGGTTTTGTGTGGATTATCTCAGGGACAATCCTTATGACAACCCTCTGTGGCAAGAGTCACTCTTCTCCCATGTCATACAAGAGGCCGTGTGAACAGAGAGGTTAATTAACTGCTCTCAGGTCACACAGTAAATGAGTGGCAGAGGCAGGATGCCAACCCAGGTCGGGTAGTTCCTCCAGAACGAGTGAAGGAATGGTGGAGGAAGCAGCAGGGAGCTTTCAGAGTCGACTGGAAGCAAACCAGTGAGTACAAGGCCCTAGACGGAGGCCCCAGTACTGTCTCTGTTTTCAGTGTAGCTCCGCTGTCAGCTGACACCAGCCAGTCTGACAGGTCAGAGGATGAGGGTGACTACCTGCCCAGCCAGTGTAATGCTACTTAGAGCCCCAAGTCCTGGGACAGGTGAGATCAGGAAACAGAAAGTGCAAAACCACCCCGACACCAACCAGCAGCCAGACACGCACGGCCAGAGGAGGAGGCCTTGCCCTCCCACCTGGTGGACCTTGCTCACCAGGGGCTCCCCCATCCAGATGGCCTGTGCTGCTCCTCCTCTTCATTTTTCTAAACCCAACCTACTCTCCGCAGACCTCTGCCCCAGCGCCATCGAGCTCCCCCTCAACTCCTAGGTACACGGCACTTCACCAGGCCACCGTCTGCACACCGTACGATTCTGCACACCCACTTCTCACTTCTCCAGCAAGGTTCAAGTTGCGAGAAGACAATACGCTAGACCTTACGCTGCTTCTGTCACTCATGGCACCTATGACAGCCATCCTTCCATGTTCCTGCCCTGATACTGTCTGTCTGAAATGCCTGGATCTCAAAGTCAGAGGGCAGGGGCTTGTTAAAATGCAGATTCCTGGGCCCTGCTCCCAGAAACCCAATCTGGGCACAGGAATCTGCATTCTTCACAAATCATTTGGGTGAACTGTCTGCAGAGAAACACTGCTTGAATCCTCAGTACTTAATGACTGGCTCACAATCATCCTCTACACAATTTGCCAAGTCCCCTGTCTTCTCACTTGAGCATCAGGACAACTGATAAGATGGTCAGGACAGGAAGCACGATTTCACAGGGGAGGAAGCTGTAGGTCACAGAGAGGCTTGCTCAAGGGGACAGAGTATGTGGGGCAGGAGGTCAGTCTCCCCTAGTCTGTTGGTCATTCTGGCCATGTGTCTGCTTCTGTCAGCTCATCTTGGCCTCTGTGTTTTTTCTGTCTCTTTTGTTTCCTGCTTGCTGTTATCCTTAAAACAACTGCAGAAACTAATGGTAATAATTAGAGGAAAACAATAACACGAAAATAAAATTCCCCTAAATTCCCATTAACCAGAGGTAATTATTATCCCTGTTTTGATGTTTTCCCAGCTTTTTGGGGTATGTTTTAATTGGTATTATACTGTTTTGTAAGTCACATTTTTCCATCTGACAATTAACCAGCACGACATTGCTCTAACTGGCTCTTGATTCTGGAAGAAAGATACTGGCCATCTACCTTGGAGCTTCCCCTTTCTGTCCATCTCCACACTCATGTCTGCCTTTCTCAGTGGCTTCTTTTTATCCTCTCCCCTCTGCCCTCCAAGGAGTCTAAGAGCTGGTGGGACCCAGGAGGGCAGAGGCCCAGCAGGGTAGGGTGGGAGCAAGCCTTCCCGGGTAGGGTTGGGACTTCAGGAGGATCAAGGCCCTCAGTTCAGGACTTCAAGGGTCCCCAGTGTTTTCTTGAGTCAAACCAGTGGGACAAGAGCACATCATGGCCAATGAAGTACAGGAGCTGGCACCTTCCACAGGGCACCTGTAAAACACAGTTGGGAACTCTGAAATTCATCCTAACCTCAGACAGATGGGTGGCTCCTGTCTGAAATTCCTCCTCCAACCCCTTGCTTTTTAAAGAGAACAACTCAGTTTTTGTTTTTTTTTAAGGAAGAGTTTGGAGTTGAAGATGGTCTGATCATTTCAGATGTTTCTCCATAGAACACAAAATGCTGGGTGCTAAGTGTGTGCACAGACTGTGGGCGCATCCAAATTTCTGTTTCCTTTCTTCTGAAATCCATCATGCTCCTCCGGGCTTTGCTTTACATTAGTCACAGCTATGGGGAAGTTTTAAGGTCAAGCCGGAAGAGACCTGCCAATCAGTTCCTGCTGAAGACTTCTGAATGGCGACTGATTACAATCCCTAATTGTTTCTAAAGGAACCACTTACCCAATTAAAGCCGCAGCCCATGAAAGGGAAAGAAGTGAAGACTCTCCTGATGTAGAGAATGAGAAATTGCAGCTATTATTATTATTACTATTATTGCTGACATTGTTTTTAACATCATGCTATGTCCAGAGGGCATCAACTCTTTCAACACTGGATTTTATCCCCAGACATGCCGGAAGGCACAGCTGTGCCTGGATCCACGCCTGGATCCACGTCTCTCTCCCCTGTGCCTGCCTGATTTTTAACTTGCTTGCCAGGCTTGGCTAAGATATCATTTCCTTGGAGGGACTTTCCTGAGTAGCTTAGGGTCCCTGTTCTCAGTTCTCTAACCGTCTCCTTATCCTCCCACTAGTCCATAAGCTTCCTATGCTCAAGGAGCTCGTTTGCCATTTTCATGGCTGTGTCTCCAGCACCTAGAACACTGCCTTAATAAACACCTGTTGAATGACTGAAAGGGATTGGAGAATGAAGCATTTTCTACTTGGGCTCTGAGTGTAGACTGCTGTCTATACTCGATTATAAAATCAGTTGATTAACTCATTCATTCAGTAAACATGTAGGAACACCTACCATGTGCTGGGTGGTGGACTGGTTGGTCCAGTCTTATCATCTCCACTCTACCAATACCCAAAACACTGCTCCAAGGTGTGGTGAATGTGCCTCCCCAGACCCCTGCTACCTGGGGCCTGCCCACTCCCATCAGCCTTCCTGCTGGCCCCATAGCCACAGTCTGTGCTGGGATTTGAGGAGTAAATTTCTGTTTGCATTGGTGTAACTTCAGCACCTGAGCAGATGGCCAACTTCCCTGGCCTTGCTGTATATTCTTGGCTAGATTAACACATTTATTGCTCCTCCAAGGGCTGAATAGGATGAGCTGGGAGCAAGGTTTGGCCCTGAAGGATCTTGAATGTAGGCCCCTGAGGGGTGCAACACAAAATTTAACCAATCAAGACCTTAGGGACTTCCAGGAATTGGCAAATTACATTATTAGAACCATTCCCTTCTAGAAGGTTCTAATAATGTAATTTGCCATTGCCATGAGTGCACCATCATTTGGGGTGGGGGTGGATGGCCAAATAAATGTCTGTTTCCTTTTGGATCCCTAGAGACCCACTTATCCACAATTACACTGGTGAACTAAGGCAGCTTGGTGGACCAGACAAAAATGCCAGGTGGGCATAATCATCCTTTGTCATGATAGTGACCAGTCCCAGGCATGTCCCTAATAGCCTCCTTACTCTATCCACCAATATTTATCTGCCCTACATCCTACCTTTCAGGGCCCTGAATTCTGTAAGATAGATGAGATTGTTCAGATATATCAGATCTTGCTATGGGTTCCTTAGGCAGTGTAATCTAATCACATATACAACCACATCTAAGCCCAGTTAAAATGTGTATGTCGGGGATATTTTTGAGGAATTACACTCTAATGTCTCAGCCCTACAGCAGGTTTTGATGCCGCTCAAATCCTGGCACACCCTTTCCCAGCCCATTACACCTATAGACCAGCCTGGCCCTTTCCAGAAAACCCCATCCTGAAGCAGGGTTGTTGAGCTTCTCTGTCTTGGGGGAGAGGAGGGGAGGAAGATGCATGTTGCCTCCTCTGTCCACCTCCCAGTGGTCCATGATCACTGGGATTTCCCTGCTTGTTCTGTGGAAAGAGTCTATTTTTAGTTTGCGGTACCAGGTACCAATTCCAGGCCTCTGGTTTACACCACAGCCTTTTAATTACAAGCCCCTTAGTTTTTCATTTTAATTCAGCTGCTTTGTTTTTCTCTTTGAATATGCTCAACGGCAGATCCAGTGTCTGCTTCAAGCGTGGACTCTGCACCAGGGGATGTACAAATATGGACTTCACTGGCCTACAAGACCACCCAATTTTGACAAGGTCTGTCAGAAAATGAAAAGGACAAAAATTACCATTGAACTTTGAAGCTAGGCCTAAAGCAAAGAATTAAAGAGTCTCTGATTACATATTTCACTAAGGATTCTAGATGAGACACTTAGAACTCCTTATGAAATATGCAATATTTCTTTCTGCTATCTCTCTGTTGTCTTCTCTGACCTCTGTCAACAGAGGCTTGGCTCAGGCCTATTCACCATAGGCCTTGTTCTTGCCAATCCTGCTTCATTGGCTCAAGAGATGGACACAAAGGGATTGATGATGTCAAGACTGAAGAGCTCCGTGTGGTCTGGCCACATCTTGATTAATCAAGATGGCAGAGGCAAAGCAGCTGAAAAGATCATCCATACACTGCTCCTACTGGCCCTTGGGAGCCATGGTGACTGCCCTACCTTGTCCTGCTTGAGTCTGGTGAGTGATGAACCTGCCCACGGACCATCCGTCCTGTGTGGGTTGACCTGGGGCTGTGAGACCCACTGCCCACTCTCCAAGAAAACCAATCCCTGGTGTGTAAAGGGTGATAAGAATTGGCCTATAGGAAGTCCAGGGTTGAAAGCTAGGCTCCAGCACACAAGACCTATGTGCCCCTGAGTTAGGGGCTTAGAACTTTTCTGAGTCCTGAGACTTATTTAAGTGGAGAAGTGACACCCACTTCCCACGATTGCAAGTATTAGGTGAGAAAACAACCACGGCGGGGAGGAGACACAGGGGAGGCAGGCTCAGAATTAAAAAAAAAAAAAAAAATTAACAGCTTTATTGAGGTATCATGTACACTTTTGAATTTGAAAGGAACCTGAGAACTGTGTAATTGAATTTAGAGCTGGGAAAACTGAGACCCAGAGAGGTGAACTGACTCACTCGAGGTCATGAACCCATACGACCAGGCTGGGCTGAAGAACCAGGTCTTCACTGCTGTTTTCTTGTTTCGGCACCACGGCCTCAGGCTCATCTAGAAAATGGTCATCTTTAATTCATAAAGGAAGGCAAAGAAACAGAAACAACCTGAAGTGTTGACACGAACACAACGCTTGCTATGCTAACGACAGCACAGCTACTGTCATTTCATCCTCTGCCATTGCATGAGGAGGGAACCATTATTATCCACATGTGCAGATAAGGAAATTGAGAGTCAGAAAGCTGGGAACGTGCTCAAAGATAAGTGGCTACAAAATGGGGGCGCTGGGCTTAGAAGAGTCCATACCAGAACTGGGGCTCGCAAGGCTGACACTCTACCACCCACTTCCAGCCCTAAAGCACCAAGACACACTGGGGAGAATTCCACTCCTGGGTTGCCTCTCACACAGGCTTGTCAGATTTAGCAAAGAAAATACAGAACACTAGTTAAATGGGAGTTGCAGATCATTTTAGTATGAGTATGTCCCTATATCACATGGGATATACATATACTATAAAATTATTCATTGTCTATCTGAAATTCAATATTAACTGGGTGTTCTTGTATTTAACAGTCCATCTTACTCTAACGTGTGTATTATTTGACCACAGCCGATCTCAAATGCTCTGTAAGGCAACTGCGGCAGCTCCACCGGTGGAGGGAAAGACTAAGGGAGTCCTCCAGCAACTGTTCTGGGCAAGGAGCGGCCCAGAAAGCCCACGGTGAGCCTCAGAGGTGCAGAGGGGAGGCCTGAGGACAAGTTTCTTTGCCTCCCGGGACCCTGGCTGCTGCTCCTAACCCTGTGTGAACAAATGCTTCCACATGGCAAGAGCTCCCTAGGTAGCGACATGGGCAGAAAACCACCCAGAAGTCTCCCCTTTAAAAAAAAATGGTGGTGAAATATACACAACACAAAATGTACCATCTTCTCCTTCCAGTTCAGTGGCATTCAGCACATTGCCATGGCTGTGCAACCATCACCAACCCCCGATCTCCAGAACCTTTTCATTTTCCCTATGGATTCTCTGTACCCATCAAACATGAACTCCCCATTCCCCTCCCCCAAGCCCCTGGTAGCCATCCTCCTGAGGCATCCTGACTACTCCGGGTGCCGTCAGATACATGGTAAAGTATTTGTCCTTCTGTGTCTGGCTTCTTTCAGTTAACATAATGCCCTTCTCACCACTTGAAGGCCACTATTTTCTCTGTTTAGGACTACTTCAGTAGCCCTTTAACTATTCACCACACTACTGCTCTTTTCCCTATAATCTATTTTCAACAGAGCAGCTAAAGTGATTATTTTAAAATGTCAGATCATATCACACTCTCCCTATAAACCTCTAATAGCTCTCCTTCAACTCAAATTTACATAATTGCCTGTAATGCCTTATATGTTCAATTATATACATATACACTTACCACCATGTCTGTGAAATGTCTTTCTCCTACTTCCCCAGTATGAACCCTCAAGGCTCATCCACATAGCTTGTGTCAAAATTTCATTCCTTTCTAAACACTGAACAGAATTCGTTTTATATAGGAACTGTTTTTCTCTGAGAAGAGGTCAGAAAACACCCAGTCCAATCGCTCGGTCTTCTGGGCACTAAAGTGATACGACAGAGCCCCTTTCCAGGGAGGGCCACTTAGGGTCACAGTAATTAGGGGTACCTGGCCAGGGTGAGCAAGGCAGCCCCTCACCCCAGAGTCTAATTTGGGCACCACCTCTTGGCTAACCCAACTCTTACCACCTCCCAGGGGCATGTCTCTCTATGCCAAAGACCCTATAAAGAAGCCAGAGGCAGATATATGGGGCACTCCATGGAGGTTTCATTCTCGCTCTAACAATAAAACTAAAACAGGGAGTGATTTATCGGAGTGAGTGTCGGGAAAGGGGAGCGCAAATTCTCACTTCACTGCAGGCCACAGATTGAACAAGCCTTCAGGGTTAGGGGTGGTGCAGGCAGAGGCCTGGGGCAGACCCACGGCCCCCCAGACGCCCACCCCGCCCGCCAGGCTGTCCTGACTATGTTGTGTGTGTACTTGCTGTGTGATCCCGGGCAAGTCGGCAGCCTCTCTGTTTTCTCATCAGCGATTTTAAGACAGGAATGAGTTAAAACAAAGGGCTCACAGCTGTATTAGGGATATCGTGAGTATTAAATACAGTCCTTGAGGGGCCCAGCTGCCGTTGTTGTCATTGTTGTTAATACTGCTGACTGCTATCATGACTCCCAGGGGAGGTGATACTACGCTCACACCACAGATCAAAAAACTGAGCCACAGGGCCTCAGTCCTGAGGCAGGACTCAGCCAGGCATGTCAGGCTCCTGTCTGGGGTAAGTGGGTCTGACAGGGCACGCCAGCACCACCCCCCTGAGAACTGAGGGACAAAGGCCAAGAAAGTCATTAGCCTTCCCCTAGACACAGAGCAGCCTTCCCGTAGGACACGTGGGTTTGTCTGTGCAGGTTTGAAATCCTTAGGAAGTGACACTTATGAGCGTTCTGGAAAGGTGTGATCCCCATCTCAGCCTCACAAAGGTCTTGGCTCACTTTGATGATGTTTCACTGCCAGGGCCTTTGAGAAAGTCTCCCCTCACCTCCCCCCAGGTATCAGCAGGAAACAGAAAGATGACCTGCAGGGGGATGGGGCCTTGTTTTCTTTGGACACTCTTTCCAGCAACGACTCCAGACAGCAAGGCTGGAAGAGAGAACCAGATCACAGGAAGGAACAGGTGCCAGGCTACGTCCACCATAGCCCGTCCTCTTCCACAAGCAGAAACGATGACGTGTTAGAAATAAAACTCATCCTCACCATTTTTGAACGTCTGCAAAGGCACAATTCATCCACTTTACAGAGGCACTTACACTGTGTTTCAGAAAACCAATCTACCTCATCTAAGTACTGCAGTTCAGTCAATATACAAAATATACTAAAAACCACGGTTAGGGCAGTGCTGAGTTTGGGCATCACACTTAGTTTGTGCTTCCCAGTAGCCAAGGTATAAAGAGAAATATGATGGATTATGAAAACTTTTACCTCTGATGAAGTTAAAAACACACCAAATTGGCCAGGCACAGTGGCTCGCATCTGTAATTCCAGCACTTTGGGAGGCTAAGGCGGGCAGATGGCTTAGCCCAGGAATTCAAGACCAGCCCAGGCAACAATGGTAAAATCTCATACACACACACACACACACACACACACACACACACTTAGCTGAGTGTGGTAGTATGCGCCAGTAGTCCCAGCTACTCCAGGGACTGAGGGGAGCGGATGGTTTGAGCCTGGGAGGTCCAGGCTGCAGTGAGCTATGACTGCATCACTGCACGCCAGCTTGGGTGACAGAGCAAGACCCTGTCTCAAAAAAACCCCCCAAAACCAAACAGGCAAACAACAACAAACCCACAGAGAATTTAGAGGTGGGACGTGGATCTGAGTTTAAACTCCATCACTTGCAGACAGTGCAACCTCAGGCAATACCTTAACTTCTTATTTCCTTGTTTATTAGTCTCAGTAATATCTCAGAATATTGGGGGAATCGCCTGAGCCATGTATGTGGCAGTGCTTTGAAAATTATACAATATCTTCCAGAAATCTGACTTATCATGGAGTATTTATAGTGGTTCTTTCAGTGAAACGATCTATTTTTTTTTCTATGCTGGTTGTGTTCTCTTTGAGGTGGCTCTGAAAACGTTTGTTCACGTAACTCCTTATACCAGGGACGCTGTACAATAGGAAGGACAGTAGTCACACCCCATTTTGAGCACTCATTCTCTATCAGGCGCAGGGGTACACTTGCCTGAGTTTGAATGAGTTGAGCACACTGTCTAACCCATGGCACCTTCACAGACATTCCGGGATAGAAATACCATTAGCATTCCTATTTTGCAGAAGAGGAAGCTGAGGCACAGAGATACATGAACCGATCTGACTCTCTTTCCCATAAAGGTGGCACAGACGGTCAGAGACAGTGAGCCAGTGGGGCCCTGGACCCATGTGGGATTAAAGGCTCTATGCTGAAGGCACCATTCTGAGGTAGCTCTGGTGTGTGTGTGGCTGTGTGTGTCTGTATCTGTGTGGGAGAGAAAGAGAGACACAGAGATAAGCCCCACCAGAGACTTAAGGGCTCAGAGAGCACCAGGGACCCACAGCCCTACTCCTTAAATCTGTGATGCCTGATGAGATGGGGATGGGGATGGGGCCAGGCCCAAACCCAGCTTCTGGCTTTAGGGTTTGCTCTTGCATTAAATTCCCCTTGGTTTCAGCACCACAGGGTGGGTTTCAGTCTTTTGTAAGCAAACATTTCTCAGGGAAGTCATGAGTCTTCCTTTAGAAAAACCAAGGAAGCCAGCTTAGCCGAGGACCAGCCCCGGCCCTGGAGCAAACGCTGCGGGGCACATGAGATGGTTTCTCCGCCCTTCCTACATCCACGACCTCTCAACCTTGCTCCTCTGAGCCCCAGAATTCCAGGCTCACTAGGAGAGGTGAACGGCGTCTATAAGACGTGCTGTCATTTTAAAAGTCCCAAAGCAGCAGCGACTGGTCCACGGTAGACGACATTTCCTGTTTTTGTGAACTTGTTTTGTTTTTTTTTCAAATTAGATTTCTACTCACTGATCCTCTCCATTTTTTTTTTCCCCTTTTTAAAATCAAACAGCAGATCAAAAGAAAAGCAACAGAAAGCTCGTGGTGTTCCTCTGCCTCAAAGGCCAAACGTCTGTGGGTTTTTTGTCTTGGCTGCCGACCGCAGCACGTCACACTGTTTGAAATTTGCAGCTGCGATCATTTATCTTCAGGGGACAGGGGTGGTAGGTGGCCGTGGTCCTGGGGAGACCCCGGGAGACCCTCCCAGCGCATGACATGAGTGTAGCTGCCGTCCAGCCCTAGGTCCTGTCTTCCTGGATGAGGAAATACCGTGCGGGGTCTGGAAGGGGAGGCTGCACGCAGCCCTCAGGGAGAGACACAGCACCAAACGCCTTGGACGCCATGAGTCCCAGCCCTGCCTCTCACGATCGTGAGGCTGTGGGGAGCAACTCGGCCTTCCTCAATTCCAGTTTCTTCATCTGTAAAAAGGGAAAATCCTGGTACCCACTGCATAAGATTGAGGATAAAATTAGACTCTGCAGGTAAAATGCTTGGCACACAGTAGACTCTCAAGACATGGCAGCTGATGCCAGAGTCGGGGAGCTGTCCTGCCTGCAGGGCAGTGTTTCAGGAGGAAGCGTGCTTCTTGGGGCTCCGGATGCCGCCAGCAATGTTTACGAAACTAGACAAGTCCACTTATTCAATTTACAAAAAGCAACATGTTTACAAGCCCCTCCATAGCTTTGGATCTAAAGGCGGAAAAGTGCCTGGACACCAGCGTTAGTCTGGAGAGAGGGAATTCTTCTCAGGAGCCACGGAGCAGGGACCCATTCCTAAACCATTCCCGCTTTTCCTCCAGGAAATGGGTGCAAGACAAGGAAAGCCATGGCCTGGATTGTTACGTAGAAGCAGCTGGGACACAGTGTTCCCTGGGGCATCTGGGGACAGTGGTGCCTGTAACTGTCCCCTGGCCATGGGGTGCAGCCCCCGCCACCCCTCCCTGAGTGCCCAGGGCCAGTCCATCCTCCATGCCACAGCCAGGGCCGGCTGGCCATGCCCCAACTCCTCATTCTGAAGAACACTGAAAATAAAGAGGGGTCCCAGCTAAGAGGGGGTGTTTATAACTTGAAAAATGCTGATAACGCCAGCCAGTCATTTGCCCTGAAGTAGGTAATAGCTAGAGCAGCATTTCTTAGAATTAAAAAAAGACTATGAATAGATAGTTATGCTGTGTCTGCAGTCAGGGCCCTCCAATTAATGGCAGGAAGCCTATGTTTCTGTCGGACTGCAGCCTGAGCCCTGTGTGCGTGCACCTGTGCACGAGAGAGACAGAGTGAAGTGGGCAAGGGGAGCGTGGGTGGATGGTGTGTTGACTTCCAGAACTTCGGATCTCAGGTGGTCACCTAGAAATCCAATTGATGGGAAAGAACATGATTTCCTACTTGTAAGCCAACATGGCATTTCTTTATGCAAGCCCCTTATCTAGAAAGAGATGCTGGTGTCACTACAAAGGGACATGGGGACTCCAGAACTCAACCCTGGCCCACTGAGCATGTATTCAAGCTGGGGAGGCAAGAGCTGTCAGCCTAGAAGACAGTACGTTGCGGAGTGTCTGCTTCCGGGCGTCACCATTCTGGAACCATAGCCACCAAGGCAGAGTCCTGGGGGCCGCGCCTGCAGCCCAGCCCTCACCCAGCAAGAGAGGGAAGGATGAGGAGGCTGGGTTTACTGTGCCCCATTCTGTACCCTCAACCTAAGTGGCCGTTGATCCTCCAAAGGAGAAATGCATTGGGGTTCCATGCACCCTGGAAAGTCGGAGAACCTTCCCCGACAGAAGCTCCTTTCCTGCAATTTACTGTTCAAGCCTTCAGTAACTTCTGCCTTGCTCCTCAAGAACCTCCCTTGTCTTGTTTAATTTAGACCTGGGCAGTAATGAGGACTGTGTCGACTCCACTCTCGTCCACCGGAATGAAATTTTTCATTAAGGAGTTCCTGGGAGACTGGCCAAGTTTACTCTCGCAAGCATTGCATCTGCCTGCTTGCTGCAGTCTTCAGGCTGGCTGGCTAAATGACAGTCCTGGGTGGCAGGGAGGAGACGCCCCCAATTTCAGTTCTAAAGTAGGAGTGATTGCTTACCTCTATGGGGGGCCTGGGGAACTACAAACAATCGCCACTCCTCAAAGGGACTGCAGGTGGCAGGGAGTGTTTTGAAAATATTCATTTTCTAGAAATTCATTCTTCATTAGTAACACACGGAAGGCAGTGTGATGTGGAGAAAGAGCCCAGGCAGCTCACTGAACAGCTGAGTGACACTGGGCTGGCCACACAATCCTTGTCAGCCTCAGTCTCCGTATCTAAGCAGTAGGGATTCAAACGAAATTCCGTCCTCACCTGGTGGTTGTGCAGCTGCAATGGAACAATGTGCGTGAATGGTAGAGAAGTAGGAGGTCAAGCCAGGAAAGAGAGAAGATTCTGGAGTCCAACTCCCTGGGTTCAAATCCCACTTCTGCCACTGACAGACTGTGTGGCTTCAGGCAAGTCACAAAACCCCTCTGTACCACAGCTGTCTCATCTGTCAAATGGGGCTGACAACTGAAACTACTTCAAGGGACTGTCATGAGAATTTAGTGAGGGAATGGGCATCTCATGCTTGGCAAAGTACCTTTCGCATAGTAAGTGCTCAATAAAGATGGGCCCAGGAGTGGGGCCGCTGCTGAATGCAACCAACGCTGGCACGTGGGAGGGGCTCCATGAACAAGTCCTGATTCTGCATCTGGGCTACTGCCCTATTGTCTTTTACTTTTATTTATTAATTTAATTAATTAATTTATTTTGAGACAGAGTCTTGCTCTGTCGCCCAGGCTGGAGTGCAGTGGCACAATCTTGGCTCACTGCAACCTATGCCTCCTGGGTTCAAGCGATTCTCCTGCCTCAGCCTCCCAAGTAGCTGGGATTACAGGCGCCCACCACCTTGCCCAGCGAATTTGTTGCTGTTGTTGTTGTTGTTTGTTTTGAGGCAGAGTCTCACTCTGTCACCCAGGCTGGAGTGCAGTGGCGTGATATCGGCTCACTGCAACCTCCGCCTCCCAAGTTCAAGTGATTCTCCTGCCTCAGACTCGAGAGTAGCTGGGACTACAGGCGCCTACCACCACACCATCTAATTTTTGTATTTTTAGTAAAGACGGGGTTTCACTATATTTGCTAGGCTGGTCTCGAACTCCTGACCTCATGATCCCCCTGCCTCGGCCTCCCAAAGTGCTGGGATTACAGGTGTGAGCCACAGCGCCCAGCCTATTGGCCTTTATTGAGGCTTGTCTTGCTGGCACTTATGACCATCCCCGGAAAATGACTAAAAAAATCCCTGAAGCCTGGAGCCATGCAATTCAGAAAGAGATACCATGAAGACCTACTGAAGGAAGCGCTGGTCTAAGTCCTTTCCCTCTCAAAATGGTTTTGGGGCAGCTAAATGGAGAATTCCTTCATTCACTTTCCCATCTTCCTGACTAACTGAAAATCCCTGTGGTTGGAAGAATAACCTCCCGCTCTTCCTGCATCCAAGATGTCCACATCCTAACCTGCAGAAGCTGTGAATACGTTATGTTACATGGCAAGGGGGAATCAAGGTAGCAGATGGAATTAAGGCTACTAATCATCTGACCACAAAATAAAAAGATTAGCCTGGATTATGTGGGTGGGTCCTGTGTAATCTGTAATCACAAGGGTCCCTTAAACGTGGAAGAGGGAGGCAGGGGATTCAGTGATAAGATGCAAGAAGGACTTGACTGGCCATTGCCGGCTCTGAGGATGGAAGCATGTCATGAGCCAAGGAATGAAGGTGGCCCCCGAAGCAATAATCCCCTTGATTTGATTTTAGCCAGTGAGATCCACATCAGATTTCTGAGCCCCAGAACCATAAGATATAAATGTGTATTGTTTGAAACCATTAAGTTTGCAGTAATTTGTTACAGCAGCAATAGGAAACTAAGATAGTACCAGATGATTCCTTCGTCTTCGAATCTAAGGTAAATTCTGGGCCTGTGAAGCCCTCCGTGGATGAGCAGCATTCACAGACCCTGCCCCTGCCTCCCCCAGGCACGTTGGGAGCGATCACGTATGTGTTTGCTCATGCATCCTTCATGTATTCAGCAAATATTTCCTGAGAACTTTCCTTGGGACACAGCAATGAAGAAGACAGGCCATCCCCTGCCCTCATGGCACTCACAGCCAAAAGTGGACACTAATTTACGACAGGTATGGATGCGAGACGATCATAGAAACACTCTTCTGTACTTACTACGTGCATGGCAATGTGCCATATATTAATTCGTTTACTTCTCACAATACTCATGAGGAAAGGAACATTATCATCCCCATTTCACAGATGAGGAAACTGAGGCATAGAGTGTTTGCATGAGGTGCTCATGGTCACACAGCTGGGTGGGGGTAGACTCAGATTTGGAACCCAGGCAGTGCTTCCATCACTATACTATGCTGCATCTGAAATGACAAGGGATGGGGGCCATCCCAGAGAAGAAGGACGGTGTGACTCTGGCCTCTAAGGTTTCTCTCTACCCTAAAGGAAGGGAGTCCCCATTTAAAGCAGATGTCTGCGACATTGGCTCTGGGGCTGATATTCAAAGGGCTAAATATGACAGAGCCCTTGGCACCCCGTGTGCAGACACAGCACCACCAGATCCACCCAAGCTAGGGGCTTGAGCTATACCTTTCTCTGGGCTTGGCACAGACCCCAGGCCTGGGCTGGAGCTGAGCCAAGCCGAGCCTGCTGACAGTCAACAGGCCTTTACTGACTGTTCATTCTCTGCAGCACACGGCTGTCCATTAAACGCGGATCTAATACTGCTATAGGTCAGGTTAGCTCATCGAGAATGCACAGGGTGATGCTCTCTCAACGAGAGAAAGGCGCGACACACACGAGCTCATTTATTCCAACAACAGCCTGCAGCCCCAGAACCCTTTCATCCCTGAGCGATATCCCCCAGGGGTGGGGACAGCAAGGTGGCAAGGCTTCCTGTCAGGGGGAGGGGAGTCACAGGAGCCTAAGCCGGGAGGGGCTGGTGCATGTGGGGGCCCTCCTGGGAGTTAGGGCAGCAGCATCCTTTGGCAGCCAGGCAAACCCTGGCCTGGGTCCATTTCCTCTACCTGTACCTCTCTAGCTGGGTGACCTACAACATGCTCCTCTGGATGTCCAAACTTGCACATCTATAAAGTGAGGACTTATAATAGTACCTCCGTATCGCTGGGAGGATTGAGACAATATAAAGTGTTTAGCTTGGCAGCCGGCACTTAATAATCACATGATTATGTCATGCAGGGTCTTATTTAATCCCTTCCAGTGGCTCTGAGAGAAGTAACCGTTACTGTCTTCATTTTTATTTTTTATTGTGTTTTTGAGACAGAGTCTCACTCTGTCACCCAGGCTGGAGTGCCGTGGCATGATCTCGGCTCACTGCAGCCTCCACCTTCTGGGCTCAAGCGATTCTCCTGCCTCGGCCTCCCAAGTAGCTGGGATTACAGGCGCCGACCACCACATCCAGCTAATTTTTTTCTTTTTTGTATTTTTAGTAGAGATGGGGTTACACCATGTTGGCCAGGCTGGTCTCGAACTCCTGACCTCAAGTGATCCGCCTGCCTTGGCCTCCCAAAGTGCTGGGATTACAGGCGTGAGCCACCATGCCCGGCCTGTCTTTATTTTATAGATGTGGAAACTAAGGCTGGCACAGGAGCCAGAACTTGCCCATGGACTTCTGGCAAGTCAAGGGTTCGCATCCAGGTCACGAGTGGGCTCTTCCCACAGCTCTGCCTCGAGGTCAGCTACCCCAGCTTGCTTCGGGTCTGGATCGGAACATTAGGTCTTGAGTTCTAGCCCATGGTCTTTGAAACTGAGTACTCTAGGATACTGTTATCATTCTCATTTTACAGATGAGGAAACTGAGGCACAAAAAGTATGAGTGACCAGCCCAAAGTCACAGAGCTGGGTGGTGGACCCAGATTTGGAACCCAGGTAGTCTTTTTATCTCTACCCCACGCTGCACCTAAAATAAATCCTACACTACGCTGGGCTGTGCTGTGCTCATCACCACGAAGCTCACTGTGAAGAAAGGCCTCCCATGTGGTGCCAGGGTGAACGTCAAGCAGCCGCTGTGTCTGGCTGAGCTCATTATTGTCCTTGTCATCATCACCGTCACCATCATCATCATCATCATCATCATCACCACCTCCACAAAAGCAAACCCAAATTCCTCACATTTATCAGGCAATTTTATATTTTAAAGCCCTTTCCCATCCATCAGGCTTCTGACCTTTGCCCCAGCCCTGACAGATCACCACTATGGTGGGAAAAACAAGCTCAGTTTGCAGACAGTGAAACTGACCAAGGTCCCATGGTCCTCTACTAGCAGGTAAGGCTTTGCACTCCACTTCACAATCTCCCAGGCTGGGCACTTTCTCCCCAGTGCCTCAATCTGCTGCATCCTTTGGCATTTGTGGGAGAGGAAGCAGGAAGCACTCCCCAGCCAAAGGGAGGGGGCCTCAGTGATAGGGACTTGAACAAGTTTGTTTACAGGGATGGGGCTCCCCTTAGTGGGACTCTCCCAGTGCGCCTTCTTCACATGCTCTGACCTTTGAGATACATATATAAACATCCATGTGCTTGTACAACCCACCATACTGGACATGTAATGGTCACATTGCAATGCTCTGAGCTATGCTTAGGTGGGAGGCAGGGGGTAGCCTTACTACCCAGGAGGCATCTTTAGAGCACATGACAGGTGGCAGGGAGGCTGCTCAAGCTGCTTCCAGGTTGGAGAACCCAAGGAGAACCCACTGCCAGAATGAAAATAAAGGGGCAGCTATGGGTGGGTTGGCAAAAATGCAACGAACGTATCTCTCTACACCCTAGCCTCGCCTGCTGCTCCAACTCTTCAGGCAGCCTCTGCTCATCCATAGGAGCTGGCCTGGGGAGAAAACCGGTTAGGAAGCCCTGGCTGCAATGAGAGAGCCTGAACTGCAGCATCATGGGGTAATGAGGATAAATGGCCTCAAATCAGGAAACACATAGCCCGGTGTGGACCTGGCCTCAGGAGTCAGCCAAGTCGGCAAACAGAAGAGTGGCCCAGCACGGCATCCTTCACCAGCAGGACTCCTTTGGGAGGAGGTGCAGAGCCAGGTATCGGCTCCTGTTACCTACCCTTTAGCTGCCATTCGAAACTCACGCAGAGTAAGCTGTTCAGATCTTTTATCTTCATACAGAGCCGTTTTGAAAAATTTCTTTACATTTGGCTATACACACCCTGGTTCCCACCTGGATTTTGCAGGTACATTGATGGTGCTCAGAGTAGGCAAGGCAGGCAAATAGTCCCATTCCCAGGACACTGGCTTAGCTTGGCTGATTTCTATCCTGGAGGGCTCCATCTCACAAATACACCTACAATCCACTGTCTCACTTTGGCTAAAGAGTGGGAGACAGTCATGTCATGTCAAATCCCCAAGCAGAATAAATGCAGTCCAGCCACATCCTTGAATACCTATTGGATTCGGAGGAGGGCCCGGGGTGGAAATATCTACAACCTGGCCTGTGTTTGATAAGGCTGAGCTCCTGGAATGGTGTGGCCAGGCTGGGTTACAAGGCATTCATTATTTGTCTTCTGTAGCTGCCAGCAGATCCTTAAGAACACGCTGCTGTGTGCTAACCATTTTCCCTATGTCCTTACTGCAAGCCGCATGAATTAGGGGTTGGACTTGTTTAATGAGTGCATTTTCTTATTTATCTCGGGGGTCCTGGAGGGGAAGGTGGGAAGGGGGATGGGGTTTGCTTGCACAGAACAATAGAAGATTGTCTCCTAAAATAACAATCCCCCTGTCCCCAGCCAAATAACGGAAGACTTTAAGTTGCCAGGGTCAGGGCCTATGAGAACTACCCAGCCAAACTGGCATCACCCCATAAATTGGGAGAAACGGTCTCCATTCATTCAGCCCAGGAGAAAAGGGCATTTATGGTGTTGTAGAGGGAGGTTTCAAGAATGATGACGTTGGTTTTAGGAATTTCCATGCAATGTCAGGGGGACTGTTCAGGGACTGAGGCTCTGGCCGACCAGGATTTCTCTCGGCTGGTAGTTCTGAGGGTTAACAGCTGATTAGTGTAGACGTGGCCAGCTCCTTCACACCAAATGCTTTCCAGGCAACTCCGAATGGAGTTCAGGGGCTGGGAGAAAATGGCTGCCTGGCCTTTGGAAACAGACAGACCTGGATTTTGACCTTGGCTCCACCATCTTCTAGCTGTGTGTTCCTTCACCTTTCTGGGTCCTAATGTCCTCACGTGTAAAGAAGTGGTTGTACAAGAAGGGGCGGCTGCTGTGAGGCGCTTTATACTGGCACACAGTAAATACGAGATCAAAATGGACTATCTGTTCCCTTTGTCTGTTACCTCATTACAGAAGATGAGGAGTCAAGGTGAGATGCTGAAGGCACACTCCAAACTTGAGTTTCACCCCTCAGTTGGCTGTGCACCTGGACAAGATGTTGTGTTTATGTGGGCCTCAGTTTCCTCAGGTGTCAAATGGGAATAGGAGTAACAGTACCCACCTCACAGAAACCAAATGGTACAGTTGGTGTCAAATGCTCACCCCGCGCCTTCTGCATGGTGAACACTTGATAAGTGTGAGCTCCCAGCTTGACTTTTCCATCCTAACCACTCATTCCTGACCTGCCCCAGCCCAACCTTAACGTGTTCTTACCCAATCAACACATTCCCAGTGAGACTCAGCTTTTCCCCCAGAACACTCCTCTCCTTCCAACATCAGGTGCTGCCTGTCCCGTCCCTCCCATAAAGCTAAACTGTGGTCAGAGGCAGCACCAGCTGGACTAGTCTGAAGCCTCCCGGAAGCTTCTTCTGCCTCAGTGGCCTCCTATTTCTCCTTGTTGGAATGAGACAGTGCAAGTTTGTAAAATCCTGAGCCCCAGGTGGACCTGGAACCCAGAGATGTAAGACTCATCTAAGTCCTGTTTAGCTATTTCCTTCCAAAGTTTTTTATTTTTTATTTTTTTTTAATTTTTAAAGCATCACTTGTCTTTAAAGAATCTGGCTGTCACCTCTACTTCACCCTCTCAGGCCCTTTTAAATTCACCCTTGTAGGCTTAAAAAAATGTCAGTGCACATGGCTGAGAAGAGAATAAACCTCTCACTTCCCACTCCTGCCATCCCCCACTTTGGATTCAATTATAAATTGGCTGACATTGTCCTTGGGTCGTTCCCAAGATTAATTGGGAAATCGCCATTAAGGACTTTAAAAAAAAAATGAGCCTGGCTGTTTATTCACAGTATAAGGGAAGGAGGGATCATTTCTAATTCTATTTCCTACCATCTCCATGTGACGCTGAAACGTCAGCTTTCTTTTCTTTCTTTTTGTAAGAAGCATTTTTTATTTGGATATATAACCTATGCAAGAGTTAGGGCAAGAAAGTGCCAGGGACTGCCTATGAAAGGAAGTGCATCTATAAACCAGTGAAAAAAATTAAATCCATCTGCGAACTTCAGGCACTGTTTTAAAAGGGACATTTAAAAAAGCATCCACAGGGCATCTCAGGAAATGTGCTCTGTGTACAAGCCCATCTTGGCATGAATACAGTTTTACTGAGTATGACACAACACAGTTGCTCTAGGGAAGAAGAAAGAATATACACCCCCCACGCAAATATTTGATAATTGCAACAGGATGTTAAAATGGAAGTTTTGCTAAAACATCAAAATATACTAGATGCTCGATCCAAAAGAGGTCCTGGACTAAAAGCAGACTCTACGATAGAGGCTAATAGCTGGTGAACTACTCTCAACTTGTAACCACAGTCCCACTCAACTTTGCCCACATGGAGCACAAAAGGGTTGGATTTTAGGAGATGGGGAAAGAAGCTGTAGAGAAGTTTGCTGGAGAGATGCTTCAGAGCTGGAAGTCACACCTGCCCATATACCTATGGGAGAAGCCTGGGAGATGTCCTCCCATGTGTTAAATAGAAGAGGGGAGGTTAAATCACTGAAGAGCCTAATATATGTGCCCTTACAGTTTGAGGGGCCACGTTTACTCATCGTCTGGGGGCTCAAACCTGTGACTTACTGCTAACTAACATCAAAGGAAAAGCTGGAGTGCAGCTGGCCCTCCCAGACCTTCCAGGAAGAAGATGAATGTAGCTTCTTGTGGACCAGAGGGGGCCTTGCTCCAGGGAGGGGTCATGCTTGGGCCTGTCCAGGAGGAGGGGTCCCCTGGAAGGGTATAGGATGGATTTCCAGTCCTAGAGGAGCTGAGGAATGAGTTGGGAACCGCAAGCGGGAATGAAGCCTTATTAAGGAAACTGATTCCCCAGAGAGCCCACGGAAGTGCCACCGAAGAAAAGAGCCTGCTGGGAATGTCTGCCCAGTCTGGAGACAGCCAGCACCAACTGAAGACCACGCCAGCGGTGCAAGAATTTTTGTGCATCTTTTCCCTTTCTCCCTCCCTCCTCGCTGCAGCCACAGGCCAGCTGACAGAGGAATCAAGGGCTTGGCTTCACATGAAAAAACTTCTTTTTTTGTTTGAGACAGGGTCTTGCTTTGTGGACCAGGCTGGAGTGCAGTGGCGCAATCATGGCTCTCTGCAGACTTAACCTCCTGGGCTCAAGAGATTCTCTCACTCAGCCTCCCAAGTAGCTGGGACTACAGTCACATGCCACCAGGCCTGGCAGATTTTTTGAATTTCTGTGTAGATGGGGTCTTGCTGGCTGTGTTCCCCAGGCTGGTCTCAAACTCCTGGACTGAAGTGATCCTCCCACCTCGGTGTCCCAAAATGCTGGGATTATAAGCATGAGCCACCATGCCCAGCTGAAAGTTTTGAATAACAGCTTTACTGAGATATGAGTCACATACCATACATTTCACCCATTTAGAGTACATTATTCAATGGTTTTCAGTTTTTGTTATTTCAAAAAGAAACCTTGTACCCACCACCCACTTTCGCTGTTACCCTCTGTCCCCATCCCCCTACCCCTAAGCAACCATTGACCTGCTCTCTGTCTCCACGGATTTGCCTATTCTGGACATTTCATAGAAATGGACCGCAGGGTGCCCTGCGACGGGCTTCTTAATGAAAGAACCGCATGGGCTGGCTGAACTCTGCAGCTTCCTAGTCTTGGGTTCTCGGCAGGTCACAGTAGCACCTGCCTCAAAGGAAGGTGGTAAGGATTAAATAAGATGTTCCCAGTCAACTCTTTCATTTGCACAAGCTCACTCCAGCTCCCCGGCCCCACCCAGAGCTGGCAGAGAAATCTCCAGCATGCTTTGCAATGGTGGGCATCACTATGAGGACAGTGCCTGTCCCTCTACCGGACGACAGCCTGTGAGGGCCACGTCTGCCTTTTGGCTTTCCTGTCCCCAAAGCCACCTGCCACATGCCTGGCTCCTATCAGAGCCTCATGTACTTGCTACCTGATGACAGGAGGAAGCTGAGGAGAGAGAGAAGGCCCTGGAGCGAACCCTGGGTGTGGGGGCGAGGCTGTGGGTGCAGGGGGCTCGTAGGTCCCCACAGGAGGGCCAGGAGGCAGCATCAGATGGCAGGCTAACTCTGTTGCTTTCTGGTCAAGTTTTAAGCATTTCTTTGTTTTGCAGTTTCTTTGTCATTGACATCTGCTGCTTTGTCTTGCTCTGAAGGCAAATGTAAAGCCGAAACCGGGTCTTGGTGCTTTGCTCCTCCTCATCCCGGGTGCCCTATGTGAACATGCTCTGTCCTTGGGCCCAGGATGGCTGATCCCCATTCCTTGCCCCATGACCTTTCTCTTTCCCTACATTCACAGCTTTGTCATCTCCTCTCCGTAAGGCCACATTCTATGAAGCTACTAAGGTGAAAATGACACACTTTTCAACCGATGCTCACTGGGGCACCCGAGGGGCCCCTGCCGCATCGCAGGTAATACAGGGTCATCGTGCTGGAGCCTTCTGGAGATGGGGGAAGATGGAGCGAGAGTAGACCCATCTGAGAAGTCACAGATGGCATTTCAAGGGGATGTCTCTACATGGCCCAGACTGTGGTTTTCTAGAGAGCGTCCCTGTCAGAGGGGAGCCCAGCCTGGCTTCCGTGTGACCCCAGAGATGGTGAGGACGGCATGGGGTGGGCTGGCTAGGAGGGGGCACCTGGAGGAAGATGAAGCCTTGGAGGACGGAGTAGGGACACCCTGAGCACCTTGCAAGCTTGGCCAGCCTCGGAGCTGTCACTCCTCATACAGAGCCTTGTTTCCTCCTCACCAGGATCCTGCCAGAGATAGGAGATCCTCACTTTACAAAAGAGGTATCTGGGCCCAGGGAGCTGGTCCAATGCCGTACAGCTGGGCAGGGGCACAAGTGGGTCCCACACACCTGCAGGGAAAGCTGGCGCCTTTGACAACCCTGCTCCCAGCTCATCCCCACAGCCGCCCCCGGGAAGGAGGCATGACTGTCATCAGCCCCATTTCTCAGGTGACGAATCAGGCTCTGTGAAATAAAGTAACCTGACCAAGGTCACTCAGTCACTCTGTGGAGATTTGAACCCAAGTTGGCCTAACTGCAAAGCCTGTGGATGCACCCACCCCTAACACCCCACTGACTTTGGTTAGTAGAGAGGCTGTGTTCCACACTCTCCCTTGCCAGGGTGCACATCTGAACATGGCCCGACAATCTCCCCGGGGAGGAGAAGGTGTCAGTGCATGGAACAGAATAAGGATGATTGTGTATGGACATGTGTGTTGTGTGTATGTGCATGTGTTGAATAAAACTGTGTCTGTATGCACATGCATGCTTGTGAGCATGAGTCTGTATGTGTTTGTATCTGTGTGCATGCCTGCATGTGTCTATGTGCACATGTGTGTTTGTATATGCACACATCTGTGAGTGCACTGCTGTGTGCTTGCACCTGTGTGTGTTTGAATGTATGGATGTATCTGCCTGCATGTATGTATGTGTCTATGTGTCCTCGTTGTCAGTGGGTATATATGATACATGTATCTGTGTGTGTGTGCATTTGTATGTGAGTGTGTAAATGATCCCATGTATGTCAGTGGAGATTTAGGAGACTGGGTCCCCTACAGTGGAAAGTTATTCATTTTTTTCAGCTAATAGAAAACAAAGGAATCTTTTCTTCAGGTTCTGCTTTGGGGCCCCAGAATGTAAACTTTATGCGACTAGGTTTACAGTCTCCAGGGGAAGAATGTTCCTTTTGAAGTCATCTAGGCTGAGAAAACTTAGCATTCACTGCTGAGTTTCAAATTTTTTGACTACTACATGAGAAATAAAGTATATCATTCCATATATATTTCTTAAAACAACAGTTATCCTTACCATGTGTAGTGTGCGCTATTTTTTATTTTTTCTATTTCACTTTTTAAATGCCAGTAACTATGAGTCACTAAAGTGATATCACAGCCCATTCGTGGGACATGAACTACACTTTGAAAAACGCTGGCTGGGGGACCCCTGCCCCGACTCTGTAGGAAGGGGTTTCACCCACCCATTTAGCAAATGAGCACTGAGCAGTTACTTTGTGCCAACTACTTTTCTAGATTCTTGGAAAACAAGTTTCCTGCCTTCTTGGCACTTTCATTCTAACGGAGAAAATGAACCACCAACCTAAAACACTTCCATCATTTCAGGTGGTAGCAGGGTCTGGGAAGGTGCTGCAGTGGGCTGGTCTGGGAGGACTTCTCTGAGGAGGTGACAGTTGCACTGAGACTCGGATGATGAGAAGGAGGTGGCCTTGGCAGGAGGTGGGAGGACGACTGTCCCGTATTTTCTTTCCAGTCTATGCCGCCAAAGGGTGGAAATGGACCTCAATTCAGAGCCTCGCTGTGATCCCATCCTCCTCCCGACCCCTTCTCTCCTCTCCCCTTTCAGCTACATTTTGCCCCAAGTTCTCCATATTAAAATGTGGCAGCTCTACAGTGGCATAGACTCATTTTTTCCCCCTGGGACATTAAAATATAACATTAGTCTGACAGAAGATAGCTGAGTTTGTGGAGGGCAATTTGGTTGATCAATAAGGCTCAGGAATGAAGGGGAGAGGCCAGGCAGGTGGTGTTGAGAGCCTCGTGTCAGAAAGCCCACTTCCAATGAGACAAAAACAGTGAAAAGAGACCTTGCCCCCAAAGTCATTCAAGGCTGGGGGCTGCCTCTCCAGGGATAGAAAGTGAATGTCTCCTGGTGTAGGTAGGGTCATCTCCCTCACTGCCAGGGGGTCGCTTCTCAAATGCCATCTACTCAGTGAGCCTTCGCTGACCACTCTATATATCATCTCTCTCTCTCTCTCTCTCTCCCTCTCCATCCACTCACCCACCCACCCACCCACCTGTGTACCTACCTATCTACCTATCTGTTTTTGTTTGTTTGTTTTTTTGAGACAGTCTCATTCTGTTGCCCAGGCTGGAGTGCAGTGGTGCAATCTCGGCTCACTGCAACCTCCGCCTCCCAGGTTCAAGTAATCCTCCTACCTCAGCCTCCCGAGTAGCTGGGATTACAGGCATGCGCTACCACACCTGGCTAATTTTTGTATTTTTAATAGAGACAGGGTTTCACCATGTTGGCCAGGCTGGTCTCGAGCTCCTGACCTCAGGTGATCTGCCCGCCTCGGCCTCCCAAAGTGCTGGGATTACAGGCGTGAGCCACTGTACCCACCAATATCTATCTGTTTTTGAGATAGGGCCTCATTCTGTCTCCCCAGCTGGAGTGCAGTGGTGCAATCACAGCTCACTGCAACCTCAAACTTCTGCACTCAAGCAATCCTCCTGCCTCAGCCTCCCCAGTAGCTGGGACTACATGCATGTTCCACCATGCCTAATTTTAAATTTCTTTTTTTTTTTATTTTTTGAGACAGAGTATCGCTCTGTCTCCCAGGCAGTGGTGCGATCTTGGCTCACTGCAACCTCTGCCTCCCAGGCTCAGGCAATTCTCTGCCTCAGCCTCCTGAGTAGCTGGGATTACAAGCGCATACCACTATGACCGGCTAATTTTTGTATTTTTTGTAGAGAAGGAGTTTCGCCATGTTGGCCAGGCTGTTCTCAAACTCCTGGCCCCAAACAATCCTCCTGCCTTGGCCTCCTAAGATATTGGGATCACAGGTGTGAGCCACCGCGCCTGGCCCTGCCCACGTTATTTAACCTGCAGCCCTTACCTTCCGGACTTGCTATATATTAATATTTCGCTTGCTTATCTGTTTATTACCCGGCTCCCCATCTAGAGTGTGAGCACCACAAGGGCAGAGATTTTTATTTTATTTCCCATCTAAGGCACAGTTGGTGCTCCAAAAAATAGCTGTTGCCCAGGTCAATGAATAACAGCTCCCATTTACCAGGCGCCTGGGATGTGCTGAGCCCTTTACATACCTGCGACCCCTGGTCCTCATAGAAACCCTGCAAAGTGGTTACTATCATTCCCATTCTAGAGATAATAAAACGGAGGCTCTGAGAGGTGAAGGCAACACAGGGAATCAGCGATGAATTTGGAGCCGAAGCCTGGGTCTCCCTGGCTCCAAACCCTCCAGGCCATGACGCTTCCACTTAGCAAACAGTAACACTGTATACACCAGGTGACCCACACCAAGATCTTCCCAAAAGCAGGCTCCGTAGGCAGCAAGCACTTCTCCACATTTTGCCTAAAGAAAGTGTGAAGGTGCTGTTATTAATCAGCAGAGAGGCTTCTCTGCCAAACAGCTGGCCCATCCTCTCTGAGGGGAAGGAGAGTTTCATATTATAATATTATTCATAAAAAATGTCCATGCTTTTTGTTTCTCAACACACTAAGGCATACGGAACATAAACAGGTAGAAACCTATGCCACTAAATACCCTTTGTCAAGTCCCCTGAGATTGAAGCTGGGTGCGCTCCTCTCAGTGCCCCAGGAGGAGTACTGAGGGGCCAAGGTGGCCGGATGATGCGGGATGTGACAACAACCTTCCGCTTTCCTCCATACCTCGGGGCCAAGCCACCAAGAACAAATGAGCCAGGCATCTGAGCCCTCCAAAGGCCGGGGTTCTGAGGCCTCCAAAGGCCAGGGTTCTGGGGCTATCAGCAGCATGATTTTGGTTAGGGACAACAGCTGTTTGTATTTTTTGAACTACTCTAAACAGCAGATTGACAAGGTTTTTATGCCCTGGAAAGAGAACAAAAGACTTGGGCCATGGCCTTCATTCTCAGACTCTTCTGGCTAAAGCCTCCAGCTGAGAGGCAGAGAAAGGCCACAAGCAGTGACGGTCAAGGCAGCTGGGTCCCACCCCCTCCTCTAACCAGCAGCAGTTCCCAGAATGCCTGGGCAGAACCTGAGCAACACAGGTGAGGCGGGGAGAGCCCAACACAAGGTCTCACCTCTGCAGGGGCTGCTGCCCGGCTCCCGCAGCTTCCCCTTCCTCCCTCACCTGCAGCCTCCCCCGCCCCAATTAAGCCAGGTCTGGAGCCCAGTTCCTTCCAGGAGACCACAGCCCTGGCCTTCCTGGGTCTCCCTGAGCACGGAGCCAGAAGGCAAGGGTTAGGCCCCAGGGAAGTGACACAGACAGTGGGGGGAGGTAGGGGTGGAAGGAGTTTGCTTCCAGAATATATCGAAGTGACGGGCTGTCACCTTTCTCTCACACTGTCCAGTTCCCATGGCCTGAACTAAGCAGTGTGTGCATTGCTTCCCAGGCTCGTCTCTACACCTTCCGTTCGACGAACGTTTGACTTCCCACTTGGTGCCAGGCATTGGACCAGGCCCTGGACACATATCCCATTCAACAAAAGGAGAATCAGCTACGAACCAGGCCCTAAGGAGCCGTTACAAGAACCCGGTCGTAACTACCAGCTATTGAACTAGGCACTGTTCTAAATGCCCCTCACATGCAAACTCATCCATCCTCAAAACCAGGCGTCGATGATAAGTGATTTTTTGAGCAGAGGCCTGAAGGAAGTGAGGGAACTAATGGGGAAACCTGGAGGAAGGGTGTTACAGGCAGCGTTGACAGCAAGGCAAAGGCATGTGCCTGGTGTGTGCTTAGCATGTGCCTGGTACATGCGAGGAACCACACAGTGAGCCTGGAATGGAGTGGGCAGTGCCAGGCCTCACAGGCCACAAGGAGGCTCTGAGCTTTCACTCTGAGCTGGGAGCCCTTGGAGGTGTGAGTGTGGGAGGAACATGATCCGACTTACGCTGTAGACCAGCTCTGGCTGCGGCAGTAGAATGTTCTCAGGTGGGAGAGGAGGTGGAGGATGGGTTCATCCAGGTGAGACTGGAGAAGAAAGACGGCAGCCGGGGTGGGGGGAAGTGGTTGAATTATTGATCTCCTTTGAAAGTAGAGCTGAGAGGACCTGCGTGGGCTAAACGTGTGGCATGGAAAAGGAGGATGTCACAGAGGCCTCTGAGGATTTTACCCTGAAAAGACCAGGTTGCATTTGTTGAGGTGGGATATCTGAGCTGTTTCAGACCTGTCAAATTTGCAACGCCAAATAAAGATGGCCAGGAGGCAGCTGCGGGAACAAGTCTGGGGTCCGAGAGGCCCGAGGTGTCAGCTGCCTCATGCTAAGAACAGGAATTATGAATGCATTCACCTAGCACATACTCTAGGGTGCACCCACTATGGCCCAGGCACTGTGCTAGGTGCAGGGGATGCAGCAGGAAGCAGACAAAGTCTCCGCCCCGGTGAGTTCCCATGAGCCAGCAGGCACGCAGCAGGCAAGATGACAGGGAAAGTCACTGGGGAATGCGAGAAGCCAGCATTGCGTGTGATTAGTCCTAGAGAGTGTGGGTGTGGGGCTGTGGGGCCAGGAGGTCAGTGGTGACCACACGCCTGCCGTCCCCTCCAGGCTGCTTTGGAACTTGCTGCTAAGGCATGAGGAGGACTTGGACTCCAAGTCTGCAAAGGGCGCCAGGCTCGAGTTAGATCTGAACGGCGTCCAATCTGCTGGAACCCATTATCGACTCTCGCCGACCCGCTGTCCGCCCTTGGAGAAACGTCGAATTGGTACTGTCTGAGCCAACATCAGCTCAGATGAATAGCAGGGGATAACTTAATGTTCACAACGTGCTTGAAGAGACTGCTGGGGGCAGGGTGGAATCTGGGAAGGAGCTGAGAGAATGGGGAGGGAGAGATGATTTGCCCCAGTGCGGGGGAGTCGCTCAACCACTGGGACAAAGGGCTGTCTCTCCTCTCCCTGCAGCTTCCTGAGGGACTGTGAGGAATCAGCTGGGTGCAGTCCTCCCATGTCCCATCAGTCAACATCACAGAATGGGTTCAGGACCACCGTGAGGAATCAGCTGGGTGCAGTCCTCCCATGTCCCATCAGTTGACATCACAGAATGGGTTCAGGACCACCCAGGTTCCCAGACTTGCTTGCTGTGAACCTTGTGCAAATGATTTAACCTCCCTATGCCTCAGTTTCCATATCTACAAATTAGAGCTGCTGTGCAGTCTCACAGAATTGTTGAGAGAAGTGAATGAAATAGCACAGAGCATGACTTAGAAGTGTCTGGCATGCAGTAGTACTCAGTAATTGTTAGCTATTATTATTATTATTTATCAAGCACCCAGCATGTGCTGGTATAGGGATTTCTTTGAAATGGGCAATGGAGGATTTGGTAAGATGGTAGGGTGAATTAAACACTATCATGAGTTACCTGGGGTAGAGACATTTTCTCCAACAGTCTTTGAAAATGTCATAGAGCAGAGTCTCTCGGCCTGCTTCTCGAATGAATAAAAGATGGGCTTCTAGAACCCAAGGTGATCTTGGCAGTGCTTGGTGCAGCTCACATGAACCTGTGAGGCCAGCCTGGCTGCCTGCCAGAAATGAATGCCTCTCAGTCCCTCCCTGACCCCAAACCAAGGTGAACTCCACTTGAAGCAATATTGGGAGCCCAATACTGGCAGGAGGGGAACACAGCCAGAGTCACTGTGCCCCCTGCCATGTCCAGCACCCAAGTGCATATCAGGCTGCACCTTCCCTGCTCAGTCCCACCTGAATTGAACACACAGACCGGCCTGGGGCAGCCCAAGTCCAGGCTTCCCCCTACTTCCCATGGCTTGGTAAGATGGCAGGGTGAATTAAACACTATGAGTTACCCGGGGTAGAGATACTTTTTCTCCAATGGTCTTTGAAAATGTCATAGAGCATCCTAAAGTCTCACCTGGAGGGATCCTGCTAGTCTGCTCAATGCCGAACATTCCTGAACAACTGTGTCTTTAGCCTCTGCTTGACTCCTGCAGTGACAGGGAGCTCTGTACTCCCAGGCAGCCCGCCCCATCTTCTCAGATCTGGGCCTCTCGTACTGGAGGTTATTAGCCCACCCCACGCAGTGTGCCCGCCGGGTTCACTTCATGCACCTATGGTCAGTCTGGGGCTCACAGAAAGCAGGGACCTTCTCATTTCAACCTCAATGATTTATTTTTGCCTGTCCCCAATAACATTGAGTATAAGAGATGTCTTATTATGAAACAGATTTTCAGATACATCAAAGGGATTGATCCCATCTCTTTAATGGAGAGAACTGAGTCAGTAGAAAGAGGGGACACATTCTGGGCAGAAAGACATGGGTTTGGATTCAGTTTGGCCACTTAGCAGCAGGTTAGTTAACTTTGGCCCGGTTACTCAACCCCTCTGAGCCTCATCTGTGTCAGATGGAGGGGTTATAAAGAGGAGATGAGACTGTGTGTGTCATGGGACTGGACTATGGCAGGCATCTGGTGTTATTATTGTTGTTGCTATATTTTGCCTGTCCAGCTCCTATGGGGTTCAAGCAATTCCCCTACCTCAGCCTCCCAAGTAGCTGGGACTACAGGTGTGCACCACCATGCCTGGCTAATTTTTGTATTTTAGTAGAGACAGGGTTTCACTATGTTGGTCAGGATGATCTTGATCTCCTGACCTCGTGATCCACCTGCGTCAGCCTCCCAAAGTGCTGGGATTATAGGGGTGAGCCACCGCGCCCAGCCCAACTTTTCCTTTTTTGAATCTATGTCGGTTTACATCTTAATCCTTTCATTATGCCATTCTCCCAAAAAGCTTCCCTTCTCTGGGATACTGGGTGATATCCAATAATACCTGGCATAGAGTAGGTGCCAAAAAGAAAAAGTTTTTGAAACAGCAATCAATAGCAATATGAATGTATTACCAGGTGCCAGGTACCACGCTAATTGCTTTACATACATTAGTCACCTATAACCCTCCCATCTTACACAGGAGCTAATTACTAGTATTATCCCCATTTTACAGATGAGGAAACTGAGGTGCTCAGTTCATTTGTCCAAAGTCACATAACTAGTAAGATGTAGGGATGGGATATGAGCCTAGATGATTGGATTTTGAAGACTGCTCTTTTGACCACCATAGTAAATATGTAATTTTCAGAGCCATTTAAGCCTACAGTGACTCCTGTGGAATAATGAAGGAGGCAGGCACTTCTGTATTCCAGGACTTTGGGGATTTCAGAATGGGTTCATATGATTTTCTTTTTTATTTTTGGTAGTTTAAAAATTTTATTCTATCAGTATTTTTAATAAATGTTTATTGCTGCATTCCCGACACCCCCAGTGTATTACTGTTTCATTGTTTTGCTATCCTTGTAGTACTGGAATTTAGTTGGAAGAATAAGACATTTACTTCTAATCTGATTTAAAAAAAACCAGATGGGTAGTATTTGAATACAGCCAGTGTTTTAAATGTAAAAGAAAATGTTTAATCTGGTATTTCTAGAGTTGAGTCATGCATTACAGGCAATGGGATAAAAGTGAATAATTATAGTAGTCCTGTGGGGACAGCTGTAAGAGAGATGGGCACCACAGCTTGCCACAGTGGGCAGGACTGTTCCTAGTTTTGAGTGGAACCAAGAGATTTGGGGAAGGATTGCAAAAGAAGATAAAATTATCGAGGGCTCCCAGGAGGTGCTGGCCTCATCACTCTCAAGCTGGAGGCAGCATCATTTCCCGCCCCTGCTGATGAAGCTATAGTGACTATAGTCACTGCAAGTGGAGGCCCAAGATCCTTCCCCAAATCACTGAGATCCAACTGCAGGTGAACAAAAGGGCTCCAGTTACTCTGCTTATATTACAGATATAAGAGAAGTGAAACAGCCTGTCTAGGTCCCATAGTAGGTAAGTGGAAACCACGTGTTATGCGTCAACCTCATTCACTCATTTGTCCACTCAAAAGACATTCAATGAACACCAACTATCCGAAAGCCACCAGGAGGGAAGCACCATGTCCTCAGTGACCCTACAATTGAGACCAGTGCTGTCCCATAGAGGGAGATATCATGCAGGCCACACTTACAATCTAAAATGTTCTAGCAGCCACCTTCGAAAGCAAAAAGAGGCAGGTGGAATAAATTCTAATCATTTATTTCACTCAATATATCCAAAATATCATTTTAACATGTAATTAATATTTAACAAATATTAATGAAAGAGATATTTTACTTTCTTTGTACTCTTTGAAATCTGTATTTTATACTTATGGCACATCTCAATTCAGGCTGGCAAAATTTCTAGAGCTCAGTCACCACACGTGAGCTACCATACTGGAAAGCACAGATCTGTATGTACAGTTCTCAATCTCAGTATATGTTAGAATCATGTGGGGAACATCTACAAAAATACAGCTTTCCAGGCCCCACCCAAAGATTTGATTCATTAGATCTAGGGTGAGGCCTGAGATTTTGTATTTTAACCAGCATTCCAGGGGATTCTAATGCAACTAGTCATTTTGGAAGCAGTGAGCTGAGAAAATGCAGCCGAGTCATTTATTGTGCCTTCTTAGAGACTGGCCAGATAGCCAGTGAAGAGTCTTCCCTAATTCATATTGATTAGGAAAAGCTTGGTTTTTAACTAGCTACGTCAGAATTAAAGACAATATTCAATCACATTCAATTGAATTACTTTTAAGTATAAAGAGTAAATTCAAAAGAGTTTCCAAGTAAACAGTGCTTGCTTTAGTAAACAGATAAGACTTCCTGATTAATAATAAAGAATATTCATTTGCACATGCTATGTTAAACTCTTGAAATACTAATTTATCTTCTCAAGATTAAACAAACCTTCAATCATGTCTCCAGTAATTTGCTCAGCAGAAAAACTTTCTAACAGATAACAGACAGTTGAGTGGTAGCACTGCCTATGCCGAGCTGGTAAGTGCAGGAAGGAAGGTCAGGAGACATTCACCAATATGCTTTAATTGAATGCCTTCTGTATACCAGACACAGCCCTTAGCCCTGAGACTACAGAGATGGGTGAGAACTTTGGAATTACAGAGCGCGCACTGTAGCTGAAGAGACAGGTGATGATAGGTAGATAACTCTACGGAAGCAGACAAGGAAAAAGATAGTCCTGCACTGGAGCCCGAGGAAAGCTCCCTGGGTAAGAACTGAGCTTACCAAGTGACTTCTAGGTGACAGGAAAGTGTTTCACAAGTAGAGACAGGGAACATTGGCAGAGGGAGCAAGAACATTGTCATCAAGTGCTTGGAGTCATGTGGGTGAGGAGGTGGAGAAGATGGAGATGATGCTGGAGAAATGGGTTGAGGTTGGGATGATGAAATGCCTTGATGGCCAGGCTAAGGCATTTGGGTTGGGTTCTGCAGGTAATGAGAGGCCATAGCAACAGTTACAGGGGTGCACTGAACAGGGCTCCAGTCAATGATGGATGAATAAATGGCTTGATATGTGACTGCATGAAATAAACATGCTGATGCATTCAACTAGGGGACATTGACGCCAGGAGACCAGTAAGGACACAGGGCACCCATCCAGGCAAGAGATGAGTAATGAGGCTTGGACCAGGTGCTGACAGCAGATGGGAGAAGAGGCCCAAATATTCTTAAATGACCCAGGTAAGAAAGTCAAGACTTGGTCAAAAATGCCATAGGAAGTCGCCCTTTACTTGGCAAAGGCTGACATGCCATGCCACTGTGCATGGTCCCAGGAAAAGAAAAGAAAAGTGCTCCTGAGTCCAGAATCTCCAGGAGCCCTGAGGAAAGATGATGTTGAACTCTGGGATTTACAAAGCATTCCTTTTCATGGGCAGGTCATGCCACTTCTGAGCAAGCTCCTTGTTTTAAATTTTCTTATTTTTTTCAATGGAGAGGCCACTTAGTTGGGAAGAAATACAAAACATCTGTGTGTTAGGGTGCTCCAGAGGAACAGAATCAGTAGGATATATAAGACATATATAAGAGGAGGTTTATTATGGAAATTGACTCGTGTGATTATGGAGGCTGTGAAGTCCCATGATATGTCATTGGCAAGCTGGAGAACCAGGAAAGCTGGTGGTGAGATTCAGTCTGGATACGAGGGCCGGAGAACCAGGAGCTCCGACGTCCCAGCTCAAGAAAAGAGAGAATTGGCCCTTCCTCCACCTTTTTGTTTGATCCAAGGCCTCAAGTGATTGGAAGGATGCCCGGCCACACTGGAGAGGAAGCTCTTCTTTACTCAGTCTACTGATTCAAAGACTAATCTCTTCCAGAAACACCCTCACAGACACACCCAGAAATAATGTTTTACCAGTTATCTGGGCATCCCTTAATCCAGTCACATTGTCACAAAAAATTAACTATCACAATATGTCAACACGAAGCAGTGAGGAGGACCCAGGGAAATCGGGGTCCCCATCCACTGCTGGCGGGTGTCCTGAGACACACACTATAGGGACACACTTATACTTGTGCATCTGAAGGCAGACATGCACCAGGATGCTTTGATCAATGTTATTCATAATGATAAAAAAATGGAAGCAATTTATCTGTCTACCTATAGGTAGATACATAAATAGAATGCAATATAATCATATGATGGAACATGATACAGTAATTGGAACAGACTGAGGGATCCACAGGGCTGGACATCAAAACACATAGTTGTACAGAACAGGCAAATTGAAGAGTAATATATTCAGTATGATAGCACCTACATAAATTATGAAAACATAAACCTGTGTTGCATATTGTATCTGGGTCCAGATATAGGAGTCACAGTATAAAACAAACACTGGAATTTATATTGTAAATTCATAAGAGGTTGAGAGGCAGGGATGAAGGGGAGAAGAGGAGATTCAAAAGAGATTTCTACCTTGGTGATGGTTTGTTTATTTTATTTTATTCTTTTTTTGAGACCGAGTCTCACTCTGTTGCTCAGGCTGGAGTGCAGTACCGTGATCTCGGCTCACTTCAACCTCTGCCTTCCCGGTTCAAGCAATTCTCCTGCCTCAGCCTCCCATGTAGCTGGGAGTACAGGTGTACAGGTGTGCACCACCACGCCCAGCTATGTTTTTTTTTTTTTTTTTTTTTTTTTGTATTTTTAGCAGAGTCGGGGTTTCACCATGTTGGCCAGGCTGGTCTTGAATTCCTGACCTCAAGTAATCCGCCCGCCTCAGCCTCCCAAAGTGCTGCGATTACAGGCGTGAGCCACCGTGCCTGACCCTGATGGTTTATTTCTATTATATAGGCAGATCTATAAAAGATCTGAAGCAAATATGCCACAATGTTACATTTGTGAATTCAGGATGGTGAGTAAAAAGTGTTTATTATATCATCTGCTGCACTTTATCTTCAAAAATTTCCCAAGTAGACAAAAGGAAAAAAGAAAAAAGGTAGGGTGGGTGGGAGCCAAACAGAAGGCTTGGAAACCATTTCTGTGCTCTTTGCACAGCAAAGGGAGCATGCAGATGGCGAGTTAACATACCTAGGAGGCTCCCCTGGGGTTTAATGTTGCATTGTGTACCCTCAGAACGACTGCTCAGCAAAGGCAAAATAAACACATTTCCTGTGCTTCCCTTTCTCAGCTCCGCAGCCCTGCCAAAGTGGGGGTGGGAGGGTCACATCATTTATTTACACAAGGTCCTCTTTATATGGACACCTCCAATAACGTTATTCATCGGGTTGGCTCCTCCAGGGCTGCCCCACTGTTCCCAGCAGGCCAGGAGTGTGACTTCACGGTGAAGCGTCACGTCCAAGTTACTCTGTACGTGGCAATGCCAGCTACCCACAAGAAAGGAGGGCTGTGAAGGGGGAGCTGGGGCCGCTTCTGGGTAATGGATTTCCCCCGCCCCCATTTCTGGCAAAGAGCTCTGTGGTCACAGAATTAAAAAAATCTATCAATTGTAAGCTAAGGCACATGCTGGGTGGAAGTGAGAGTGAGGGAACCTATTCTTATCACTAGCTCTGAGGTAAGATAGAAATGTCTGGAAGCTCCCCGCTTGCAGCTGGGAACTGTGCCTTAGTCATCTTTATGTTTCCATGGCTTTGCACAAAGTAGGTGCTCAGGAAATGCTTGTTCAATAAGCAAACCACAAGGACACATACACACACACACACACACACACACACACTCATTGTGTTGTGAATTGTGTTTTCATGAGTTTTCTTTCTCTTCACAGACAGTGTCATCTAATGGTTAAGGATGTTGATTCTGGAACCAAACTGCCTAATTCTAGGAACAGACACAAAACCTCTACCTCAGTGCCTTCAAACTATCAGGCCTTGGAGGGGGCTGAGCTGAGGCCCTCCCCACAATAGCTGGCACATAAGGAGCATTCGAGGAATGTTGGCAATTTCCAAATTTAGTCTCAGGGCAAGCCAGTTGGGAAGGCAACACCATGTCCATCTTACAGATGGGACAGCTGAGGCTCAAAGAAATCCTGTTGCTTGTGAAAGGCCACACGTGTTCCTGCCAAATGATGATGCCAGGATCTGAAGGCAGGGTGTCAAGCTTCGGAGAACCCCCCAGCATCCCCTGTGGCTCCATTTCTCAACAGCTGACTCAAGGACCAACAGATCTTTCTTGGCTGCTGTGTTTTCTACCCAGCAAAGGGTCCGGTGGGAACCCCCTCAGCCAAATGGGAGCCACTGACTTCTGTGGGGCCCAGAATCTGACTCAGGCCCAGGGAAATCTGATTCCCACGTCAAAGCTCAGGACTCGGAGCTGCACTGGTTCCGAACACAGAGCAGGCATAAAGTTCTGATGCCAGAAGAAGGCAGGAAACTCCAACGAGCTTTAATCACTCTCCCATCACGAACAGCTCTAGTGACAGCTTGGCCTTTCTATCCCAGGAGTTCAAAGAGTTTCCATCGTTCATTCTCACAAAGGCCCATGTCCCCTCTGCCTCGTTCCTGCTTCACTTTATTGAAGTAACTGTGACCCCAGATAGAATCCTGGCAGGTGACCCAGGTGAAGTCACCCGCTTCGTTAAACTCATTCCCTCCACTAATGCAGCGTCAAAACAGGGGGCTGTGCTCTTGACCACACCCAGGTTTTTTAAGAAAATGACCACAAAAACAAAACAAAACCAAAAAACACATTCAAAAAACATTTTTTTCAAAAGTGGCATCTTGGCCACCTTTGAACTCCGGGGCCTGGTGCAGCGCCCAGTGCAGGATAAGTGTTTGATGAATGCTGAGTAAGAGGAATGAGAAGGCAGCTAACAGCAGCCCTGAGAAGCAGTGCTATTACCCACATTCCACAGGATCAGGAAACAGATTCAGAGAGGTTAAGTGGCTTGGCTGGGGCTGGACTGCGGCTGGAGAGTGGAGGTAGGTTTGAATATGGGTTTTTGCTGGCTCTTGGGGGCTTTTAATGTAGGTACGTCCATGATACAAGCTACCCCCTGCCCCATGGTCTATACAATACCTGGCAAAGCTTTCTGATGAATAGATATGCCATAAAGCTGGGTAAGACCACAAACTTTGAGATAAATGTGCGGGCCAAATCCAGTTAGCTGCCTGTTTTAATATGGTCCTGGAGCTAAGAATAATTTTCATATTTTTACATGGTTTTGTTTTAAGTAACTATACAAGTTCCTATGTAATATCCTTGATATTGCCTCTTGGCCCACAGAATCTAAAATATTTACTATCTGACTTTTTAAGAAAAAGTGACAGATCCTTGATGTAAACTGTATCTCATTTTATATAAGCGGTCCCAGAGAGTAGGGGTGTGCCCGAGCCCAGAGGCCTAATCTCTAGATTGAGGCCTTGGTATCCATTCCATCTCAGCTCTCACCACTATGTACTTCACTTTGGCTAACTCCTACTTATCCATCAATCTCATCTTAGTTGTCGCCTCCTCCAGGAAGCCCTCCCTGACCCCCAGAGACCAAATCAGGGGCCCTTCTCTGTGCTCCCAACTTCTCATGGTCCCTTAAAACCCCCATGTCCTGACACTTGGCATGCTGCATTAGCATTGCCACTTTCTTGTCTCCCATCCAGTGGACTGTAGACTCCACAAGGGCAGGCACCATTCTGTCAGAGTTAAGAAGTTGTGTAATTTAAGTGACCACACATCCTGGTGTGCCTGAGACAGCCTCATCTTATGCCTGTTGACCCAGCACAAATATTAATGACGATCCTTCCCTCTCAAAGTGTCCCAATTTGGAGGATAAATTATATAGTACTGCTACCCTAGGTATGGCATAGTAGCTTAAGAGCATGGCCTCTGGGTTCCAATCTCAGCCCTCCATTTTTCAGTGGTGTCACACTGGGCGTGTTGCGCTGATCTGTGACCCCTTCAAATTTATATGTTGAAGTCTTAGCCCCCAGCACTTCAGAATGTAACTGTACTTGGAGATAAGATTTGGAAAGAGGTAATTAAGATACAATGAGTTCTTTGGGGGGCGGGGCCTGATCCAATCTGATTGATGTCCTTATAAGAAGAGGAAATTGAGACATAAGATATGTGTGTGTATGGAGGAAAAACCAAGTGAGGATGCAGCAAGACAGTCATCTGCAAGCCAAGGAGAGAAGCCTCAGGAGAAACCAACCTGCAGCCACCTTGATCTTGGACTTCCAGCCTCCAGGACAGTAAGACAATAAATTTCTGTGGTTTAAGTCAGCAGTCCCAGCCTTTCTGGTACCAGGGACTGGTTTCATGGAAGACAGTTTTTTTTTTGTTTTTTTTTTTTAATGGATGGGGGTGGGAGGGGCGGGGTTGGATGGTTTCAGGATGAAACTGTTCCACCTCAGATCATCAGGCATTAGATTCTCATAAGGAGCATGCAACCTAGATCCTTGCATATGCAATTCACAATAGGGTTTGTGCTCCTGTGAGAATCTTATGAGGCCACTGATATGACAGGAGGTGGAGCTCAGGCAGTAATGCTTGCTCGCCTGCCACTCACCTCTTGCTGTGGGGCCTGGTTCCTAAAAGGCCAGGGACTGGTACGGGTCTGTGGCCAGGGGCATTAGGGACCCCTGGTTTAAGTCACCCAGTCTGTGATGTTTCATTATGCCTGTCAGAGCAGGCTAATACAGTAAGTTATTTAACCTCTGTGTCTCAATTCTCTCCTCTGTAAAATAACAACAGTTTCCCTCAGAGGTTTGTAAGGCTTCAGTGGGTTAATATATGCAAAACACTGAAAACATCACTCGGCAAATTGCAAATGCTATGAAAGTGTTAGCTATTTTTGCCGGTCACGCCAAATCCCTGGTTCCTAATGCAATGTCTTGAAGGTGGTAGGCAGTCAAACACATTGTCTGGATGGACAATGCCCGACTTCAGAGTGAGGATGAGCTGGCCAGGGAGCACTGCATGCGTCGGAGCAGCTGTGCTCGTGGGCTGCACGCTCTGAGGACTGCGGACCGAGGTTCGCTCTGTGGGTGAAACTGCAGAGACGGTGAACAGGAGCTGCTTTGGGGGAAGTTGCTGTGCCTAGAACCAGGTCCTCCACTCAGGAAGAAATGCAATCCTTGAATGACTTCATCATCTTGCTCTCAATTGTATGTATTTAAAAGTGATGATAAAGTCAAAACAAGGAGACACGCTGAGGTCTGGTCTGTAGTGTGGCACTGCTCTGCAGAGAATCTGCAGCTTAGCAGAGAAAGGGTTTCCTGAGGCAGTGACTTCCTAAACAGCAGTCACTCACCACATTGTCACACATCCAAGTACCAAGCCACACACTCGGAATTCGTCTGGTCTGCATGAGGCTGGTTGCCAAAGCCTGGTGTCCCTTGTCCTGCCCTTAGGTGACAATACCTGTGTTAAATTGTGCCTCTAGGCTGGGGGCGGTGGCTCACGCCCATAATCCCAGCACTTTAGGAGGCTGAGGCGGGCGGATCATGAGGTCAGATGATCGAGACCATCCTGGCCAACATGGTGAAACCCCAACTGTATGAAGAATAAAAAAAAATTAGCTGGGCACTGTGGCGCATGCCTGTAATCCCAGCTACTTGGGAGGCTGAGGCAGGAGAATCGCTTGAACCAGGGAGTTGGAGGTTGCAGTGAGCCGAGATCACACCACTGCACTCCAGCCTAGCGACAGAGTGAGACTCCATCTCAAAAAAAAAAAAAAAAATTGTGCCTCTAATGTGCCTGGTTTCCCCCCCGCCCCCAGTATTCTTTAAAATAGACACATCACCATTAAGAGAAAAATGGTTGGTGTGGGTAGCATGCTTTGGGGAATGCTGGCTTGTGCTCATCTAACAGTGGATGAACTGGAAGTCTAACTCTCACTTTAGCACCCACCTGACGCCCTCTCTAGGCACCCTTCCCTGGTGAAAGACAACAGGACACAGAACATCACATCCTCACAGCCCATCCAGAGCTGAAAGGCAGTTCAGAACGGGCTGAACCAACCAACCCTTCCCGTGCCTTATTGGGCACTGGCACATTTTCTTAGTAGAGAAACTGAGGACCTGGAGACCTGTCTAAGGCCATCTGTTCTTCGAGGACAGGACTGCGGCTAGAACCCACATCTTTGACCCCAGACCTGGTGAGAGTTGGGAGGAAAGAAGATGGTAAGAGTCTATACATGACCTAATTTTTTCAACATAGCCAATAATGGATTCTTTCAGGCAAGAAAAGACCAGTCTTTGATGCTGGCCAAAGATGATTCTGATATGCAGTAACTACAGTGAGTAAGCTGCACTTGTGAAAATCCTGTTTTGGTCTGACATTCCCCGATCACTCTGTTTTTATTCTCTTGCTCATATCTCTTTTATTTTATTTTTATTTTTGGAGACAGGGTCTCACTCTGTTGCCCAGGCTGGAGTGCAGTGGTGCAATCCTGGCTCACTGCATCCTCAACCTCCCAGCTTGGATGATCCTCCCACCTCAGCCTTCCCAGTAGCTGGGACCACAGGCGTATGCCCCCATGCCCAGCTAATTTTTGTATTTATTTATGTAGAGATGGGGTTTCACCATGTTGCCCAGGCCGGTCTAGAACTCTTGGGCTCAAGTGATCCACCCTCCTCGGCCTCCCAAAGTGCTGGGATTACAGGCATGAGCCAACGCGCCCAGTCTCGTATCTCTTTTCAAGCAGCCTGTTTGTCATTGTTTTATGACTGGCCAGAGGAAGACCTCAGATGTTGGACCTAATGCATCCATTTTTCATATAAGAGGGGATCAGAAATCGACTTTTATTCCTACCCAACAAGAAGCGACAAATGGATGCAACTTTAAGAATAGTTTTTAGCAAATTGAAAAGAGAAATACAAATGAAATGATTCAAACTTCAGAATGCACAGAGACCCAGAGACAGGAAGGGAATGTTTAAATCCTCACGGAGTCCCAAAACAAAATCCTTCCAATGCAATTCTTTCCGTCAACTCCACTTTAATAGAAAGCTATTAACTGGATTCTCACCTTATTTATAGGTACTGTGTTATTTTAATGAAAACTAAATCTCGCTTGCTCTGCTCAATCCTTTCTCTGCTCAATTGATTTCCTGTGGCTACATGGGAATAAATTATTTTTAAATCTTCACCTTCGTCACAAGAGTGTGAGCCCACCTGAATGGGGAGACAATTGATATTAGACAAATTGAAAATATTCTTGAGAATGTCATGCAAAATCCCCTCTGGGTTGAATCGACCCAGTTTTGACTTAAATTATGATTTTTGCGTAGTGGTTTTAAGTAAAAAAAAAATGCACAGACATTTTGTGAAAGAGGAAAGGGAAGAGACGGGGGAGAGACCACAGCAGAGGGGAATGGGGAAGAGCATCCAGGGGCAGAGCTGGGGACAGTATTGGGAGGGGGAAGGAGAGAGGGAACTGGGCTTGTCTGTCTAGTTAAGCAGACAGTGCCTGTGTTAGGCTCTATGTTCCCATGATGGTCTTCATAGGGCTCTGTCTCTCCCAGGACAGTCCAAATCTCTCCATTGTTAAAGGACAGCTGTCTCCCCAACCCCGTCTCTAACTTCAGGCAGGTATGCTAGCCGCCTTGGGCACTGGTATAAGGCAGCATCTACCACAGTGCCTGGCAAGGAGAAGAATCACATAAATGTAGTTGCAATGATTAATCACGTAATTATAGTAAGTGCATGATACAAGGTTGCTGAATGAATGCATGAAAGAGAATTCAAAAGGACTTGCTCACCTCGTCTCAGCCTCACAGCTGCTGGGAAGTATGTTCTGCCCCATCTTCAACAGAGCATAACACACAAACGAGGGTCTCAGGCGTCTGCCTGCTATGGGATAGAACAGCCATTGGGCCTATCCTTGGCCATGGAAAAAGCTTCCACTGTATTTCGATTGGAAGCAAGCATGTCCACCTGAGGAGGCAGCAGGCGATTTATGGCCCTGAGGTTTCAGGTTGGGTAGGAAGGGATTCTGGCTGAGGCCAAGGTTTATTTTGGTCTTAAAAATTTCTTTTCCTAATCCTTACTCATTGCAGGCAGCTTGGAAGGAAAATGAGAAAGTCACAAAAGAATGAAGAACATCACAATAGACCATAACACCTAAAGGAAATACTGTTAATATTTTGACATTTGTCCTAGAAATGTTCTTTCACGAATGTGTGTATATAGAAAGAATTGTATCATATAATACTTATATTAAAAAGTCTACTATTTTTATTTAACAATAGCTTGTCTCCTTCACCTCCTCCTCTTGCTCCTTCTTGCCCCTTCTTGCCCAGGCTGGTCTCGAACTCCTGGGCTCAAGCCATCCTCCTGCCTCAACCTCCTGAGGAGCTGGGCCTGCAGGCTCATCACCATGCCCAGTAGCAATGGCTTGTAACTGACATCTTCCCATGTCCATAAACTTTATGCTACAACATCATCTTAAGGGCTCTATACATTTTCCTTATATGGCTGTGACAGAATATACTTAACCACACCCCTATTTTGGTTACTGTCTAGTTCCAATTTTTTGTTATTAGAAATAATACCTGTGTGAACATCCTTAAGGATCCTTAACATTTTATTTTTCACATATTTCTGAAGATTATCTTGAGAATATCTTACAGGTTTTTAAATACACGTTTCAGGTTGATGTTTTAACATTAATTTATGTTTCTAGCAAAACAAGTGAGAGGAAGAAGCAATTTATTCAGAAGACTTCCCAATACGTCAATCTAGCCCTATAGTTCAGTAGGCTCAGGGGCTCTTGAGCCTTGCTATCTGGGGCCACATCTCATTTTACCACCTACTGGCTCAGGGACTAGTGGTGAGTTACTTCTCCTTGCCTCGGTCTTCCCATCTATAAAATGGGTGGAGTGGCGCCCACCAGACAGGGTTGCTGTGAAGGTTCAACTTGTCAATCTAGACGGAAAGCATTTGTGATCAAGGATCAGAACAAGAGCTCCAGGAATCTGTCAGTACCCACCCTAACAGCAAGCTATTCATCCAGAGTTAAAATCCCACAGCAACAGTCACCTGAACACTTGTATCTCATTTTAAAATGGTCCCTATTGTTTTCCTCTGCTGCAACAGCCTGGCGTTCTTAACGCGCACACAGGGATGCCAATTTCCAGCCACACAAATGACCACATCTTTGCGTTTTCTAAGAATCAGAAGGCCCATCTGATGCCATGCAGGGAAGTGATGCACAGAAAACACAACCACACTGTTGCCAAATTCAAGTGTGAACCACACACTGGCTGAGAGCAGGAAACACAGAATAACAACCGCCACCCTCACCCAACGGCATTAAACTGTGAAATGCTGGTACGGTATGAAAACAGCTTCCCTTGTACCAGAAAACTGCATCTGGAGTATTTCTCCAGGAAATATTGTTGGTGTTACTAAAATCCAAAGCTGCAAAGGGAAAAAAAAATTTTGGGGGGGGCGGGGGCCGCTGTTTGAAACAGGATCATTCTAGGCAGGAAAGGCCATTTCTTTAAAAAAGAATCTTGAGCTAAACTGGCCTTGACATCTATCTTCTCATTTCAACTCGTAGTACCTCCTCACTTCCCAGAACCTCCTCACTGCCCAGGTCTTTGGGAAGTACCTCCTCACTGCCCAGGTCTTTGTCTAAAGACTACCCTGGAATCAAATCCTTGCCTCTGGCTTCCCAGCTATGACTATGGGCAAATTCTTAAGCTCTTTGGCCTCTTTCTTCATCTGTAAAATAAGGGCTACTGCAGCATCTACTTAATGCAGTGGTTGGACGGTGAGATGAGATAACTCAGGTAAAGCGCTTCACATGGTGTGTGGTACATAGTAAGTGCTCAATAAATGAGAACCATTGTTATTAACCATCACTATTGCTGTATTGTCCAGGATTTATACACATTTACTTAGTGCCTCTGATGTGTAAGGTGCTTTTACGAATTCAGTCAACAACCCTTGGCTTGACCACCCAAATGAGAACAAGGTGTAAAGCACTTGGATGCTAAAAAAACAAAATAGTTCCAGAAGAGCTGGTGAGGGGCATGGGCCCTGCTGACTGCCCAGTGCAACTTCTGAATCCTAGGCCCTATTGCAACCACTCTTAGCACTTGGCAAGGCCAGAAAGGTTGCTGTGTTAACTGTAGGTTTGTGGCATCTATACAGAAGGACCATGAGCCTTGGCAGTTGGGACCTGCACAATGCTCAAACCAATCCCTGTAGAGAGAGAGAGATGCAAACTGATCCAAAATATACAATTTTAAAACAAAACAAAAAGAAACAAGAATGGCCAGGTGTGGTGGCTCACACCTGTAATCCCAGCACTTTGGGAGGCTGAGGTGGGTGGATCACCTGAGGTCAGGAGTTTGAGACCAGCCTGACCAACGTGGTGAAACCCTGCTTCTGCTAAATACAAAAAAATTAGCCAGGCGTGGTGGCGGGTGCCTGTAGTCCCAGCTACTTGGGAGGCTGAGGCAGGAGAATTGCTTGAGCCTGGGAGGCGGAGGTTACGGTGAGCTGAGATCGCGCCACTGCACTCCAGCCTGGGCAACAAGAATGAAACTCCGTCTCCAACCAAACAAACAAAACAAATAAATAAAATAAACCAGAACAACAACAAACTAAAGGCTCTACTTAGCAGTTACTTTGTAACTTTTGATACAGTAGCAGCCACAGTTGCAAATCTTGTCCAGAAGTCCTACAATTTTAAATAAATAGCCAACAGGAAGTGACACATAGTAACTGAATTTGTGTGGGCCTAGTACCAGATTCAAGTTTCTCATCCTTTATTCCAGCAATCATCAACCAACTTTCTAGTCTTTACTGTCTTCTGCACCTGAGTGAGCAGAGGACTCTCTCTCAGAGCACAGCTGTCCCACATTCTGGCACCTGGAATCAGTCAGCCAAGCGCTGGATCAGCGGCTAAGCAGCTGTCCATTAGACTCCTAGGAAAAGTCAGGTCAACCCTATGAATCACTATGTTGTCTTTTTTTTTTTTTTTTTAAGAGGTGAGTTCTCCCTTTGTGATCACGTTGAAGTGCAGTGGTGGGACCATAGTTCACTATAGCCTCCAAACTCGGGCTCCAGCGATTCTCCTGCCTCAGGCTTCTGAGTAGCTAGGACTACGGGTATGCACCACCATGCCCAGCTAATTTTTTAAAAATGTTTTCGTAGAGATGAGGGTCTCACTAAGGCTGCCTAGGCTGGTCTCAAACTCCTGGCCTCAAGTGGTCCTCCCACTTTGAACTCCTAAAGTGTTGTGATTATTGGTGTAAGCCACTGTGCCCAGCCTATAGAAATGTTTTGCACGAATTTCTGGAACCATCAGAAAACACCAGAGTCTGCCAGAGAAGTCCCCAAATAGCACAGGAATAAATGGCATAAAATATTAATAATTCATGTCTCAGCAAGGGAATAGGCAGAGAACACATGTTCAGCACCAGCAGTGCCAGGAGCTGTTATTTTGACCTAACTTGCTCCAAATGAAAGTCCAGACACAATCTCTCACACAAAATTCTTCACCGGCTCAACCATAACAAGAATAGTCCCTAATAGCATTTATTAAGTGCTATTATGTGCCAAGCACCCCACATACATTAAACATATAATCCTCACAGTAGTCCTACAGGCAAGTGTTCATCTAGGTGATGGAAATGGAGCTCAACTAGGCTGAGAGACTTGCCTGAGGTCACACATTTAATGAGTATTTGAATCCCTGGTCGCCAACCCATACATTATGTCTTAATGATGAATATTCAAAAATGGAGAAAAGGTGTTCAAAATTTATCATTGGTATAAATCATGGTATAACTTTTCTCAATAAAAAGCACCTGTGTAACTTGAGATGAGCATCTGCATTAAAAGTCATAAAATAAGTTTAGGTTTCTTATACCAAACAACCTAATTTGCTTATATATAAATATCAAGGGATAGAAGAGCAGAATTTCAAGCCAAATTGAATAAAAAGCATGCAGTAACATCGCACCTCAGCCCTCTCAGGAGGCTATATATTAAGATTTTTTTAGGCCTTACACCTAATGCTTCTGGAGCAATGAGACAGATGAGGTTTTGCAGATTTACTTCAGCATAAATTAATGCTAACCATCTGGATGGATAAGATAACCAAATAGCCATAAAATCTTGGCAACCTCCAATGTAAGAAAAATTGCTTGGGAGCTGAGAGGAGGAACAAAATCCATGCAGAGTTTGTTGGAGGAATGCCAAAGTGATCATAGAGTTTACTAAGATTTTGACTTACTCTTGCACTTTAATCATAATATATTTGCAGCATGGGGGATTAGAGGCAGTCTTTGGAGGGAAGAGGTTGCATAGAAAATAATTCCTTATAGCTGCAGAGCACCTTGACTGAACAAAGGTGTTTTGGGGCTGGGTGTGGTGGTGGCTCATGCCTGTAATCCCAGCACTTTGGGAGGCCGAGGCGGGCAGACCACTTGAGGTCAGGAGTTCGAGACTAGACTGGTCAACATGGTGAAACCCTGTCTCTACTAAAAATACAAAAAATTAGCCAGGCATGGTAGTGCATGCCTGTAATCCCAGCTACTTGTGAAGCTGAGGCAGGAGAATCACTTGAACCTGGGAGGCAGAGGTTGCAGTCAGCTGAGATCGCGCTACTGCACTCCAGCCTGGGTAACAGAGTGAGACTCCGTCTCTAACAAAACCAAACCAAACCAAACCAAACCATATCAAACAAAACAAAGGTGTCTTGGCTTTCAGTTTGAGCTTTCTAATAGCCTTTGGAGCCATGGAGGGGCAGGGTGTACCATCCCCTTTTTACAGATGATAGAGTTGGGCTCAAAGAAGCTGAGTAGCTCTGCCATTCAAGGCCAATGCTCTTTTCACCACCCTGTGTAGATGTCCTCTCATCCATCCACCTATCTGTCCATCTATCCATCCACTCACTCACCCATCTATCCATCCATCCATCCATCCATCCATCCATCCATCCATCCATCCATCCACATTTTGTACCAATTCCTATTTATTCTGTAATCCTTCAAGAAGGAAGGAAAGGAAAGCCAGTCCTTTGGGGGAAGAGCCACACCCATGCGTCTACGCACAGTTTTGCAAGAGGAGTCCTTTCTCATAAATAATGCCACCATCTTGGGGATCTGGAGCTCTGCCCCGCTGCTAGTTCTGCCGCATCTCCTCGCTCCTCCCTCATTTCCACTGCTGACTATTCTGCCAGCAGTGTGCACTTACAGTCAAGTGCTAAGCATTAAGGGAACATTCTTTCACCTCTCTGCCCTTCTAATCCACTGAATTGGTAGGACTCCAGGCCTCTCTAGCTTAGGTTACTTGGCTAACAGATGCTAGCATGATGGAACTGAGTTCAGAGGTGAATCTAATCATAGTGAATTTTCCCATAGATGTGAATGCATGCATTCACTCCCACATTCATTTATTCACCGACAGATTCCTTCATTCATCCTGGTAGATGTTCTTGGCATCTACTCACTGCCCGGCAATGCGCCCAAGGGATGTAACAATTGATACAATTCAAATGTCAAAGAAAAATGTTCAAAGCATGATTTTTAAAAATTTTCCTTTGCAGGTGGGTAATCTGGTGTCGGCAAATCAAAGATCTGCCCCATGAGAGTGATCAGTTCTGGGGTGGCTGAAAGGGGAATCTCATATCTTACTATTTCCTGGGAAAATCTATCCATATTTCTGAATACCATATTTCAACCCCACAAAGTTGCTCCCAACCACTACAGGAAAATTGTTCAGTGTAGCCACAGCTGGATTTAGACCTTTAGAGGTCTGAAACCCTAACAAAACCATAGGGCCACCTCCAAAATGTGATTCGAAGTGAAAATAAGGTGAAACCATAAAGTAAGTATAAGCCCGGCCTCATTTCTTACTGGTCCTATGATGACTACATTGATGATTTTTATAAATATAAATGATTTCTCTTTCCCTCTCTCTCTGTTTTGGGGTGGGGAGCTAGCATGTGTCCAGCTTTGCTGAAGCCTCTGCCTTAGTTTTGTCTGACTGCTGGGTTGTCTCGCACTGAGCAGGTGGATACTGGGCCTGAAAGTGTCAAACCCTGCTCATTGGTGACATTCTCCCCCTGCCCAATCATACTCCATTCCACCTCCTGCTCAAGACCCCGCCCCCTTTTGCCATTTCAACACTTTCTTCCTTCCTGCAAAGGTTAGTTTCCCTTTTGAGGTTTGTACATCTTTTAAAGTGGCTTCACTTTTGTCTTTGAATGCATAACACTCCCGTGAAGATAAGTACAGTTTACCCCTATTAGACAAGTCTGGAGAAGAAGGACAGAGAGTCAGGTGGGGCTGGACACAGGGTTGGTACTTGGTGATCGGTGGCTACGGTTACGGTAGCTGGCTCATTAAGGCCAGGAGCAGTGTTGAAATCTGGAACCTGATTCTCAGTGCTTTCTGCCGGGCTATGCTGCTGTCACTGGGATTGAACATCGGTTGCCATGGGGCAGAATTTATTTCCCAATGAGGTGGCTTCACAGGAGAAACACATCATACAGGTGAAATCCTAATGCCATATGGAGGATACCATTGCTATCTCTAGTCTGTCTCAGATTCTCCCAATGTCAGTTTGGTGAAAAACAAGACCATAAACACCAGAGAGATGAAATCTTTCACTACCAAGATCCAGGCCAAGACATTACAGGTGTTACCAAAACTGGGGTAACCAGGAGTCAACTGATATCAATGATCCACTTGTGTCCGATGGCCAGGGAGGGTTTGCTTGTCACCAAGGACACAACTAAAATACAACCATAACAAATGCTGCTGCTGTTTCTTCAGGCAGGTCAAAGCTTATAGAATATTACTGATCTTTTCTTTTGTGTGCTGCTGCCTCTACTCAGTTTGTGGCGGTTGGCCAGACAGATGAACACTTTTATTCCTCAACGGCATGCTCAGATGCAACCTCCTTTAGAAAACTTTCCTGATACTCTTGTTCCCTCACTTTGTCCCTCCCTGATGGAATTTGCTGTTCCCAGTGCTGTACAACATATATACTTCCAGTAGAGCCCAATCCCACATTATATTATTTCGGCATTTGTCAAAATATTATGCCAGTGTCTTTTTTAAAAAACCAAAACAGGCCAGGCGCGGTGGCTCACGCCTGTAATCCCAGCACTTTGGGAGGCCGAGGCAGGTGGAACACGAGGTCAGGAGATCGAGACCATCTTGGCTAAAACGGTGAAACCCCGTCTCTACTAAAGATACAAAAAAAAATTAGCCGGGTGTGGTGGCGGGTGCCTGTAGTCCCATCTACTCGGGAGGCTGAGGCAGGAGAATGGCGTGAACCTGGGAGGCAGAGCTCGCAGGGAGCCGAGATCGCACCACTGCACTCCAGCCTGGGCGACAGAGCGAGACTCCATCTCAAAAAAAAAAAAAAAAAAAAAAAGCAAAACAGACAAAAAGAAAAAAGAGGTATATGAGTGTTTCTAGACCTATCAGACTGAAAAACAGACTTCAATTGTCTCCCAAGTAGCAACTGGGACTACGGGTGCATGCTACCACACCTGGCTAATTTTATTTTTTTCTGTAGAGAAGGGGTTTTGCCATGTTGCCCAGGCTTAGCATGTCATTTTAAACTTTGTATTATTTCTGAAAGTAATGAAACTATATCTCTTTTTTAAAAAGCAGCTTGAGATATAATTTATGTACCATAAAATTCATCCATTTAAAATGCACGATTTAGTGGTTTTTCATGTATTTACAGAGTTGTGCAATCATCGCTGTAACCTAATTTTAGAATATATTTATCACCCCCAAAAGATTCTGTCTATGCCCTTTCTAAGCCCTATGCAACCACTAATCTAGTTTCTGTCTCTATAGATTTATCCATTCTGGAACTTTCACATTAATAGAATCATATCATATGCGGTCTTTTGTGAGTAATTTCTTTCACTTAGCATAATGTTTTTGAGGTTCATCCATGTAGCATGTATCAGTACTGCATTCCTTTTTATTGATGATCTATTTCTATGTATCCTATCATTTAGATGGTAATGCATGAAGTTACTCATTACAAAGTCATTAGACAGCCCAGCTGTACTCACTGCCACCCAGTGATGTGTTACTAGAGAAGTGTTGTACCTTTCCTTCCAGGTACTCCACAACAGGCTGGTAAGAGACTGCAAGAAGAGAGAACCTTTAAACTGATCAAGCACTTGCCTTGCACTAGATGTCTTCATTTATTATCTCAATTCATCCTCACAACAACCCTTTGAAGTAGATATTATTATCCCCAGTGTTATTGAGGTCCAGAGACTTTAAGAGACTTGTCCAAGACCACACAGCCATTAAGTGGCAAGACTGAGATTCAAACCTAAGATCTGTCTGCCCCTAACATCTATGCCTTCTTCACCTGAACCCTTCACTCACAGCAGGAACAGGGGGGCGGGGCACTCAAAGATGTGGGCCCAGCTAGTCAAGCTTTGCTTGCACGTGAGAACCCGGGGGAGTGTGGTATAAGTTAAAAGTCAGGGTGACCTGATGATTTCAAACGTGGTTTGGGTGGGCACATACCAGAGGAGGAGGGATTGAGAGGAACTGACTTTACTGAGTGCACAGCATTTCCTTCCCACATGGAGCAGGTGCAGGAGCTGAATCACTGACCCAATAAGCAGAAATAAACCCTCGAATGACAGGACACCAGTGGGAGGCTCCACACTTCTGCACTTCTGCCCAGTAGGCAAAAGCAATGGTGCTTCCTAGCAGAACATCCTTACTTCTGTGGTCTGACCAGGCCCCGCAGATTGGCCCCTGTGTGCCTGCCTGGCCACATGTCCGTCCCCATCCCCACATTCATCAGGGTTTCCTTGCACAGCCTTTGTGTTTGCTTCTTCCAGCCACCAGGCTTGCATCTGCTGTGGTGCCCTTGCACTTGCTCTTCTCTCTGCCTCAGTATGTCCCTGAGATGTCCCCATGGCATTTGCATGTCACTCCAGTGTTGAGAGGCAAGAGCGTGGCTTAAGAGCAACACCCACTGGCTCACTCATGCTATTACTACCTTGTATCTTCTTATATATCTATTTGCTATCACCTGCGTCCTCTCAACCAGAAAGTATGCCCCTTGAGAACAAGGATTACACAGCCTTATGCACTGCTGTATCCCTGGGGCCTAGCCCAAAACCCCTGCACACAGCAGGAGTCCAGTTGATGCTTGGTGAGTCGATGAATGCTCAGAGGTTCAAGTCACTCTAAAGAAAGCAGACCAGTTGGTGGGGCTTTGCAAATTATAAGGTGGTCCAGCAGATAACCCTGATTCCTGGGGCAGTAAAAAAACAAACCAACAACAAAAACAAACCAGAGGGGTTTTGTTGTGGGGAGGCCTCTTCCTCTGGACAGTCAGGGCCGCCACCCTTTGACAAGAGTCAGAGATGCTGTGAGGAGCCTGCCATGATTCTGGCAGCCCTGTGGGGAGCTAATTAGGATTTTCCATGGGGCGGGGCTCCATTGCGTCTTTCTCTGTGCTCTACCATGAATTACACATGGCAGTTTCCAAAAGGGAAAGAAAGATGCCTGCTCTCTGCAGGGCAGGTGATAGTGCTGGCTGTCCCTGCAGCTGGGGCTCGGCGGCCCCAGTATGTTCAGGCCACAAATCCCACTCAAAATCCACACAGGCCTGGCCCCCCTCACCAGCTGCTGGGGTCTCATCAGCAAATGACTTCGCATGAGGGCTCTCTCCATTCCCAACTCTTCCTTCTCAAACCACACACGGGGCGGAGGTCAAAGAAGAAGATCTGACTCCAGAGTTCTGCTCAAGGGAGACTGCGGCTCAGGGGGATATGGAGCAGGACGCGGAGGCTCCGGGGCCTGAATTGGTTCCAGGCCTCGGTGGGTACCCTCCCAACGGGTTTACAGACAAACGTATATGCCCTCGGTCTCCCTTCGCCTCTCTCCTGGCCGGTGGGGGCTGTAAACTGTGGAGAAGGCATTTGGGGTCCTGAAGTCCTCACTGCTAAATTCTACTTCCCTCAGATAGCACTGGCTTCTGGAAATGGAACTTTCTGGGTTGGAATCTTGACTTGATCATTTACTAGCCAGGTGACCTTGGACTGAATCTCTCTAAATTCCAGTTTCCTCATCTGAGTACTACGAAGATAGGAACATCCACCCTCACAGGTCGGTTGGTGGCCTTTCCTCCTCCTTCATTCAGCTAATGTCTACTGAGTACCAACGACATCATGGGTGCCCTCTTACGAGCTGGTTTTGTCTGGAGAATCTCAGGAGAGATAAAAATAGCGGCGAGACTGTGTGAGCTAGAGCGGGAGAAATTAAAATAACCCTAAGACTGTGTGAGCTAGAGTACGTGACTTTACCTCTCAGTCTGTTTCACAAACTGAATGAAATGGGGTCAATGCCACACTCCTGAGGACTGTTTTGAGTATTTAATTCCAAACGTAACCGAGAGCCTGACGCACAGTAGATGCTCAATTAATGCTCATTGTCACTCTCTGAAAATATAAAATGTGGTTTTTATCTCCCCCACCGTGAAGAAAAATAAAAACCTTGTCCTTTCATTCCTTGGCAGCCTTAACAAGCATGAAGAAATAGGGTGTTTTGTTATGCAGAATTACTGTAGCAACGGATAACTGATACAATTGCTGAATCAATTCAGTAATACCTCCAGTATACCTGAATAGTCTAATTCATTTGATGTTTTTCATTTATTAAACTATGCCTCCATTTCCTCATCTGTAAAATGGATTAGTTGAGAAGACTAAATGAATTAAATCATGCAAAACATTTAGAACAGGATGTGGCCCATAATAAGCGCAGCATGTTAGCAAGTATTTTCATAAATGCCCTTCATTTGTTAGGCAATGTCTCACTCTGGGGTTATGGCAGTCAATAAGAGCCAATGTCCCTGTTCCCCTAGAAGTTCCATTCCAGAGGTGGTGAGAGAGACACCAGACAAATAAGGTGTTTTCTTTCAGTGAATGGAAATGTTGGGGAAGGATATACCTTTCTAGGCAAACCTTTACAATATGTTATTAGAACATTTTTCTTTCTCCATTGGGCCCTAAGATAGGCCAATAGAGATATCCAGCAATAAAAGTTAAATGTAAGGTTAAATTCTAGAGGTGATGAGAGAGACACCAGACAAATTAATGAGCAAGATCACTTCTGATGGTGACAAGTGCTATGAAGACAATAAAACAAGGCAATGCAAGAAGCAGTGCCTGGAAGGTTGGAGAAGGCCTCTCAAAGGAGGTGATATTTCATCTGAGACTTGATGAGAAGGCACCAACCACAGAAAGATCTCAGGGAAGTATGTTCCAGGAGTGGGAACAGCAAATATGCAAGTCCTTTGGTGGAACCTGTTTGACATGTTTGAGGAATGTGGGCCAAGAGGCTGGAACAGCAACTGAGGGACAGGGTGATATGAGGTGGGGCTGGAAGGCAAGCAGGGCCCCTTGGAAACAGAATCATCTAGCCCTCTGCCATTGAATCTCTAACCGCCCGTCTTGGCAACATGGTACCCAAGGAGGAGGGGAAGCTGTGCGCAGCTATGCGCCACATTTGAACTTCCGTGAATCTGCAAATGGACCAAATTTCCCTACCTCTCTCTCTCTGCTCTATTCCCCCCAAATTCCTAGTGGTTTCTCCCACTTTCAAATGGACACCCTGAAGGAGAAACATCACATGACCTGTGAAAGGCTGATCAAACAGAGTTGCTATTTAGGCTCTAGGCTCCAATAGGGGCTATAAATATCTTGGGCCTCTTTTAATATAAATGCTGTCACAAAAGACTGCCTTGATCTGCAGCATTCACAAGAAAATACTGTTTGACAAGCTAATCTCCACTCACCTTCCCCTTCTGTTCCTCGCCCATCCTCTGGTCAGCTGAATAACCCTTTTGTTCCTAACTGAGTCCAGTTCTAGCTAGTTAGAACCAGGTTTTGTTGTTTTTCTGCTTTTTGGAGGCCATGGGGACCCCTCGACCTGCATGCTAAGACTTTTGTTCCCTCTGACCAGGCCAAGACACTGGGCTCTGTTTGTTATTACAGGAACATTAAAAATAATTGAAAAGTAATCATTGCGAGAATAATGGCTCCCATTTTTGAGAGCCAATTAGGACCAGGCACTTTCCACACATTACTTCATTTTGTGCTCTCAACAGTCACGCAAAACTGGTACTGAAAACTCTATTCTTCAGATGAGGAAAGGAGGAAATGGGGCAGGGTCGGGAGAAGGTTGGAGAAGGGCGAAGAAATGAAATGTCTGCTTAGCCTAGGCTCACAGGCTAGTAAGGGCAGGGGCTGGGATGGGGCCCACACCACACAGCCCCTATAGAAACAAGAATGTGCCAGCACCCTGGCACGATGAGAATGGCCATCTGTGCTAGGCAGAATGACACGCCCAAAAGGCCGCATCCTAATCCCTGGAACCTGTGAATGTGACCTTCCATGGCAAAAGGAGAATTTGCAGCTGCGGTAGAGTGAAGGGTCTTGAGGTGGGAAGGTTATCCTGGATTTCCCAAGTGAGCTGCAGCTTCCTTAGGAAAGGAGGCAGGGAGGCCGGGTGCAGTGGCTCATGCCTGTAATCCCAACACTTTGGGAGGCCGATCACAAGGTCAGGAGATCGAGACCATCCTGGCCAACATGGGGAAACCCCATCTCTACTAAAAATACAAAAATTAGCCAGGCGTGGTGGCACATGTCTGCAGTCCCGGCTACTTGGGAGGCTGGGGCAGAATAATCCCTTGAACCCGGGAGGCGGAGGTTGCAGTGAGCCGAGATTGCGCCACTGCACTCCAGCCTGGTGACAGAGCGAGACTCTGTCTCAAAAGAAAAGGAGGCAGTGACTCGGAGTCAGAAAAGATGTGACAATGGAAGCAGAGTTGAGGAGATGCGGCCATGAGCCAAAAAATTCAGAAGGCATCTAATAGCTAAAAAAGGCAAGGGACAGATTCTCCACTGGAACCTCTGGAAGGAACTCATTTCTGCGGACACCTTGATTCTTGCCCCAGGAGACCCATTTCAGACTCCTGACCTCCAGAACAGTAAAATAACACATTTATATTGTTTCAGCCTCTACTTTGTAGCATTTTGTTACAGCAGCAATTGGAAACCAATACGGTGCCCTAACTGCAGGCTGATCTCTTGCTCAAATGAGATACATGACTCAAAAATCAAAACAATATAAAAAGATGATCATTGAACAGGTCTTTCCTATGCAGACAGAATTATAGGAGTTGACCAGTCGAGGCATGCGGGGATGTAGCTTGTGAACCTTGGCTCTGGAGTCAGACCTGGATTTTAGCCTACACCTCCTGACCACAGCACACGTGACCCTGAGTAAGCCCCCACCTTCTCCGAGCACAAATTCCTCATCCACAAAACAGGGGTGTACCTCTGTCAGAGTCCTTGAAGGAATCAACAGCAATTAATGGAACTGAGTGCTTACAGCCTGACAGCATGCTGTGGACTTTTTGCATGTATGTATCATCTAAGCCTCAAAACAACCCTGTAAGAATGGCAATGTTATTAATCCCATTCCACAGGAGAGGAAACTGAGGCACAGGGAAGTAATTTGCTTAAGTACGTGGTTTAGGACCAGGAATCTGACTCCAGAGTGAGTGGTTCTTCAACCCCTGGATTGAATAAAGTCCAAACAAAGCACTTGGCACTGAGTAAGCACTCGGCTCATAACAGCGGTTGTTAGTTCGGTTCATTCATTCATTCATTTATTTCTTATGGCCTCAGTTAATTGGATCCTGTGAACAGGAGATAGTAATACACCCTACTCACATTACATAGCTAAGAGAAAATAAGAAAAATGAATATTGGAAAGTTATGAGTCTGTATCACCCAGGGGGAAAAAGGCAAATCTACGGTTGAAGCAATTCCATACCATTCTTACTTGTAGAGAGGGCACATGAGTGTATTCGATGCTGCCATCAAGACGTGAGCATAACAGAAGCTGAAGTAATTTCTGTCAATTATAGGTCCTTAATGAGATCTATTTCAACGGTAAACCTCTCTTTTTAAAATAATGACGACTATCGTCATCTACTTCTGGTTCAATTTTAAAAGCATTTCTTTATAAACTTTTCATTTGGCCAGAATATTTTAATATATGTAACTGCTTAGAGTGATCACCACTAAAACATTAATATAACAGAGACACCTATACTAGACTGACCACAGCAAGGTAAATATAGTAAAAATATACCTTAAGAGTTACGCAGTACCTTTCTTCGGAAAAATGCAAAGTATTTTGTATTTTATTTTTCAAGTCACTATGTATCAGGACCTGTTATTATGCCCGACACTTTACATACATTAGCACATTTAATGCGTTAAATGTTATTAACCCCTGAAAAGTGAGGCTCAGAGAGGTTACGTGACTTGCCCAGGTTACACAGTATCTGGGTTTGAAAGACCATCCTTTTTATACCATACACAGGCAAGAAGACAAGGGCATTATATCCTAGATATAGAACTGCAAAACCAGTGAGAGAAAAATCTACACTTGTCTCAAGGCAGGGGCTGAAAAAAAAAAGTCTAATCCGTTAGCAAAGACTGACTGAGATTCCTCCGTTAACAGGAAAAGCCATTCAATATTCAATTAATTCTATAAACATTTATGGAACTCTGACTCTTCGAAATTATTCAGGCATTTAATGAGGGACAGTCCTGGGTGGTGGCTCAGAGCAGAGCTGCTGGACTCAAGAGGGCCTGGGTTTGAATCCCAGCTTCACCACTTATAAACTGGGTGATACTGGACAAGAAGTTACTGAACACTTTTTGTTTCTTGGGCCTTGTTTGTTTGTTCATCTCTAAAATGTGGATTGTAACAGCACCTTCCTCGTTAGGATGCAAGGATTAAGTATAAAGTCCTTACAACAATGCCTGGCACAGAGTAAGTGCTATGGCAGGGTGGTTATCATTATAGAAACACTGGTTGTCGTAGAATTAGTGATCTGGTTCGGATCACTCTGACAGACCACTGAGAGAAACAAGGCAGCATTTTAATGAACAGCTAAGAGTTTTAAACACACAAAGTTAGAATCTACCTGGAAATCTTTTACTAGCAGAACAGCTAAGGTTTGATTCTGTATTAACAAACATCCTCCCCAAAGAAGCCAGCAAAAAAATCCTGCTCTGGGACCGCAGTCTGAAATGTACAGCCTTATCTGTGCTGGAAACTGCAGAGAAATCAGACTCAGGGGAGGAAATCGACTAAAACTAAGTGCAGGCCATTCAACAGAGGCCGGGAGAGCTGACAGCAGAGGAAAACCGAGCAGCCATAAAGACACGGGCAGGGAAGAAAGATGCCACCAACGTCTGTGGAGAGGCAAGACTGTAACATGCTGCCTTCTCACTGCTCAGCCAACGTGGATTGATGCAGAACATGTGTCACGAGGCTGACCACATTTAATCTTTCAGCAGCCCTTCCAGGGAATGTTCTGCCAGACTCAGAGAGGTTAAGGAACTTGCCCAAGGTCACACGGCAACAAATTCCAAGTGATTTTAAGTAGGTCGAAAAGTCGAAACAAACGGTTTGTGAATGTGCTGTGCTACATGTTAAATGAGTTGTCTAGGACAGTCTCATTGCCTGGGGTAGCTTCCAATGATGATTATGATGCCATGATGATAATCACCATAAGAATGGTTGATATTTATGGAGTGCTTTGCTAATTGCCAGATAGCACTCGAAGCACTGTACTTACATGAACTCATTTAATGCTCATAACAAACCTATGGGTAGGTACTATTATCATTCCCATTTTACAGGTGAAGAAACTGAGGCCCAAAGAGGGTAAGTTACTTGTCCAAGTCAAATAGCTAAAAATAGGTGTCACCACATGTGTATTTTTGAGAAAATGCTCTAGGCTCACCCTAGAAAGCCTCAAGTCAGTGTTAATCCATGTAACAAACCATTCCATTAACAGGTACAGTAGGCTGAATGGTACCTCCCCAAAAGATAGGTCCACATCCAAATTCCCAGAATCTGGGAATGTGACCTTCTCTGGATAAACGGTCTTTGCAGATGTGATTAAGCTAAGGATCTTGAGATTATCCTGGAGTGTGTGGGTAGGCCCTAAATATTAATGACGTGTCTTTATAAGAGACAAAAAAGAAGACAGAAGAGGGGGCAGCAACGTGTACATGGAGCAGAGAGATGGGGCCCCAAGCCAAGGAGTTTGGCAACTGGGAGAGGCAAATAATAAATCTTCCCTTAGAGTCTCCAGAGGGAGTACAGCTTTGCTGACACCTTGATTTTGGACTTCTGGCCTCCAGAACTGGGAAAGAATACATTTCTGTTGTTTTAAGCCACCTGGTCTGTGGTGATTCATTATGGCAGCCTCAGAAATGGTGGGGCAGGTATGGCCAAGCATCAGGGTTTCAGAGTAATCCTCACGCCTGGGTGTCTGAGTGGTGGCAGCAGGAGAACAGAGGTGCCATGCGGGAGGCATGTGAAATCTGGGGGAGGCTCTTGGCTTGGAAAGTGTAGGAGGGAGAGTCACAGTCAGAATCACGAGCCAGTTTTCCAGCCAAGAAGGCTGCCCAGCAGAGCATACGCTTGTTGCCATGCACTGAGCTGCCCGTCATGGTGAGTAATCTTGCCCCATTGGGAGGTTACTCCTCCCGAGGTCCCTTTGGAGGTGGTGAAGCCAACCATCCTCACATGTTCTATTCCTGAAAGAGGCCAGGGCCAGGCCAGCTTCCAGCTCTCAGAAACACCTGCTCGTGGAATCAATGGCCACAAGGCATGGGATAGCTGATAAAGGGGTTTTCCTTCAAAGTTTTTCATTCTCTGCAGTATTTTGGCAGAATTTGCCAGAAAGCAGAAAGCAATGGTCTCTTTATTCTCCATTTCTGGAGCTATCTGCTCCTTTCGCCCCTCTCTGCAAAGACACTTGCCACAAGACAGCTGGACAGCCGGGCCCCTAATGGAGTCCTGCACACACATCACTCACACGAGCCATTACTCCGCAAGCCAGAGCTGACCTTGGGGAGAGAGGGACAATCCCCTCTCTCCCACACGGTCCACCCCCCTGTGCAGGCCAGACAGGTCTCAGGGAGGTAGGTTTCCAGAAAACGCGCTTCCCTGACATTCCTGGGCATTTTCATTGTCAGGGATGGAGAACTCGAGCTACCCAAATTGTATCAAAACATCTGAAGTCAGAGCAGAAATCTTAATGCTCCTTCCTCCAGGGCTGATCATTACAATATTCCTTAATGGGTAGGACATGGTCACTGACGGGTCAGAAGGAATGCTGCCTGGGAACTGTGCCAAGGCCTCCTGCCAAGTGCCAGTTTTGCCCCATCCCCCAACCACACCCCAGTTATGGAGAGGAAACTGATGAGTCACTGGCCGATTTGCTAACTTCAGTGTCCCAATGCCACACGCCTACAAGGTGACAAAGGGGGTTTCCATTTGGCTGTTGAAAGCCTCTTCTCACATTATGCAAGAAGAGGGCTGGGGGCGGGGAGGAGAGAGAGACAGAGAGAGAGAGAAAAAGAGAGAGAAAGATAGAGATTGGGTAAAATGTCTAAAATTCAAATCATAAGTTCAAGGGGGACTTTCTGTAAGTAAAGGAATCTTTGGTGAATAAAGTATCACCTCACTTTAAACAGTGGCTTTGCTCACACTGTAGGCGTTCTCTAGGCTGCCTGAGATAACTGTCCTGGCCCGTTTGCTGCGAAACCTGTGGGGGAAGCGACAGGACTTCCTAGACCGATCACAGTGCAGTGGGCTAAGAGCTTCCATGATCAAAACCATGATCGCGCTGGTAACAGTAATGATCAGTAGACAGGCATTCCAAGCACTTGATGTGGCTCTCCTCATCGAATATTCTTAACAACCCTAAGAATCAGGGCAAATACTGACCCCACTCTGCAAATGGGGAAATGAAGGCACAGCAAAACCAAATAACTTGCAGAGCCAAGATTTCAACCAAGCAGCCCTGCTCCAGGCTTTTCCCTACCACCCACACCCCATGCTTAGGATCACGGGCGCAGCAAGAAGCCGTGTCCAGTCAGACTGGAGATCACAAGAGGCTTTGCGGAGGAGGGTGTGCCCATGGCCAGCAGACTAGCTGTCAGCTAAAAGGAAAAGGTCATCTGCTCCCACCCCGTGTTAATGAGAAAAGCTAAAACTAGCCATTCTCTACCATCTCATCTCCAGTATTCCAATCTGGTGATTATGTTTTCAGCTCTGAACATGATCTTAGGGCTTCTCACCTGCCCAACACCCTCAGAAGGCAGGGCAGGAAATCCATATGTGGGAAATCAAAGAAACTGAAAAGGCAGAAGCAGAAACACAAAGCTGGAAAAGAGTGTGTGTGTGAGTGTGCATGTATGTGCATGTATGTATGTGTGTGTTTCTGTTGGTGTATATGTATAGGTGTGGGGGGTATGTGTGGGAGTGTGTGTGAGAATGTATGTGTGGGTGTGTGTTTATGTGGGGTGTGTGTGAGAGTGTATGTGTGGGTGTGTATTGGTTTGTGTATGTGAGGGGTATGTGTGGGAGTGTGTGTGTATATGTGGTGTGTATGTATGATGTGTGTGTATGCAGGGGTATGTGTGAGAGTATATTTGTGTGTGTGTGGGTATGTGTGGGAGAGTGTGCATGAGTGTGAGTGCGTGTGTATGGATGTGTTTGTGTGGGAGTGTGTGTATGAGTGTGAGTGCATGTGTGGGTGTGTATGTGTGGGAGTGTGTGTGTAAGTGTGAGTGCATGTGTGTATGGATGTGTTTGTGTGAGTGTGTATGAGTGTGAGTGTGTGTGTGTGTGGGTCTGAACATATGCACTTGCACATGTGTATATGCTCCATGAAGGAGGCTATGTTGGGGGTGGGTGGAGGAAATGGAGGCAGTTCATGGACGGTCTGGAATAGAAAAGCGGGGAAGGACCACCCTGCCCTGGGTGCCGTGCAGAGGCAGAGATTGCTGGTGGATTCAGAGTGGTGGGGAAGCCCCTTGGTTTTGAGGACTCGCTCTGCTACAGCCCTGTTAGCATCCTAAGGACTGAGGAAGTTGGGAGACCACAAGGCCTCTGTGGGCTGCTCTCACCAGAGTGCACCTGGCCAGGGTGGACCCCCCTTCCTCCCTCTCCCTGTGAGGCCAGCAGGCCCTGCAGCAGGCGGTGTGGAGTCCAGATTCTTCTGACTCTCTTGGCAAGCTTCCGCCTCTGTCCAGCTGTTGGCTTAGGTGAAGCTTTAGGAAAGCGAGAGGGGAAAAGGGAACTTAGATTTATTAAGGGCCTCCTCTAAACTAACATTTGTTGAGTTGAGCAATTTCTATGTGCTAAGCACAAGTATTTGATATGCATCAACTCAGTTCTCTTGCCACCTTTTGAGGGATTGGCTATTATTCCTGACTGAAGGTGAATCAACTGACAAAACGGAAAAGCCAGGCTCACAGGAGGAGGAAGTGGCAGAGCTGGGATCTGGACACGGGCAGGCTGGCCTCCAAAGCAAGTAAGCTACGAGCTGTCATCATACCCATTTAACAGATGAAAAACTGTGTTCTGGAGAAGCTGAGAACGGTGTCCAGGGTCACACAGCTAATTTGCAGGGCGCAGCTTGACCTTGGGTCAGCCTGGATCCCAAAGCCAGGCTCTCTGACCTCGTTTACTGCGCATGAGTTAGAAACACAGTCCACTGCAGAAAGGGGGAGCACTCTACAAACACAATGTAGGCCTGGAGCAGGGAGATGCCCAATTAACGTTTATGAATGAACAAAACCTCAGCGAATGCACCCAGGTCTGGAGGCCTGCATTCAGAATCCGGCCTCGGGGACAGTGGAAAGACCTAGAAGCATCCCTTTTCAAGGGGGAAAAAAAATCATTTGCACCATTTCTGAGAGCTGCAGGGGGAATGGATTCAAAACAAGCAAAGCTCTCCAAATAGCGATAAATACCTTAAATTACCCAGCAAGTTTAAAAGCCTTCATGCTGCTCTTTTTCCCAGTGCAGAACAGGCTCCTGATTGTGGCTGTTTAGAATGGAACATTCAGGAGGGCGTGGAGCTGGCGGGGCAGGAGAAGGGGAGGGGAGTGTGAGGAGGGGAGGAAAAACGCTCTGGCTGCCCGGGAACATTCACCCAGCTGGCTGGCAGGAGACACAGCGGGCGATTGTGCGAGCCTGTGCTTGCAGAGGGGTGCGTACGTCTAACGCACGCTGCAGTGGGGACTTCCTCAGTGCCTGGGGGCCGTGTTCCTTGCCCACAGAAATGGGGAGAAAGAAATGTCAGGGCTAATGTGGCTTCTCAAGGAGGCCTTCATTTCTGGAACCCAGAGTTGCCTGGGGGCCGTGTTCCTTGCCCACAGAAATGGGGAGAAAGAAATGTCAGGGTTAATGTGGCTTCTCAAGGAGGCCTTCATTTCTGGAACCCAGAGTTGCCTGGGTCTTCTCTGTGTTCTTACAGGAAAACAACTGTATTGGTTCCAAAGAGAACAGTTTGCTGAGGGCTGTGACTATCAGAATCTCATTCCCTCCAAATAGCAAGAGTCTGGGGTTTCTCCCTCTTCCGCCATGACCCATACATCTATGGGGGTTGCTGCCATCGGACAGACTGGTATGAATTAGTGCTATCCACCCGGGGGGATAATAAACGTCGGAACTAGGGGACGATAAATGTTCACAGGCAAGACAGCTGGAAAGACCTGGAATGCCTCTTCCCTTCTGCACAACACAGCTAATCTCCAGCCCCAGATAAGATAAACATGCTTTATGGGGACTGTATTCAGTTGCCCACTTGTGTGGTCAGCTGCAGCTCAGGGAGCTGCACTCACAAGTCCTTCAGCTGACCCAGCTGACGTCCCAACGCAGTGTGTTCTGTGTTGTCATGGTGTCTCGGGAGTGGGTTTAACACCCGTGACCTTAGAGGAGTTACAGAGATGCTCCACATACGGAAACTGGATAATGACATAATCTACTACCCAGGGTTGTTCTGGAGAGTGAGTTAACATGTATCATGTGCTCACCGCTTCCTGGGGGCTTCCTTTGTGGCAGGCACTTTTTAATATAAGACTTGGCATGGATAATCTCATTTAGTCCCTATATGACCCTATGAGGGGTGCTCATAAATACTGTCCTCACTTTCTTATTGTGTAAACTGACTTCCAGGGAAGTTAAGTCGTTAGCTCAAGGTCACACAGCCAGGGTATATGGTGTGGGGGTAAGCCAGGGGTGGTACCGGGATTGGAACCCAAGTATTCTTACTCCAGCTTCTGTGGGTTGGCTCTACTGGCTAGACTCCCTCCTAAAGACAAAACCCCATGAATCCAGTTCCTTTAGAATTAGTGGTTTCAATCCTGACTAGGCACACAAATCATCTCTGAGGATTTTAAAAACCATGAACTCATGGGTGCATACCCCTAGAGATTCTGATTCCGTGGGTCTGGGTGTCTAAGGTGTTTGAAAGCTCGCCAGGTGCTTTGGATGTGCAGCTGCAATAACCAGCATCACCAGAGACCTTAGGTGGTGCTAAGAAGCTGACAGGCAGCATCTCATTCCATCCTCACAACCAGCCTGAGGTAGGTCCATGACTTGCTTGCTTTACCGATGAGGAAACTGAGGCCCAGAGGAATTCATAGCTCCCCTAAGGTCATGAAATGAGCAGAAAGCAGAGTCTGGATGCATGCGGAAGTCCTAGCTCCAACACTGGATGGAAATGCAGATGAAAAAGTTAGGACCACTCGTCTAAAACCATCCTGTGTCCACTTGGCTCCTTCCCAAATGACGGCCAAAATTCTGTCCCTGATTGAGATGCAAGGTAAGGACTGGGATGAAACTCCAAAAGCTGGAGTTTTAAGGAACATATATGTTGTCATCCAATGACATTTATCTGGAGCCGGATCAGTATCTAGCAAAACCAAGGCTAGATTGCACAACCTTGGTGTGTAATCTGGAACACACAGTGAGCTGAGTGAGGCTGGACGACTTTCATTTCTCATTACCAGAAGCGTGGTGGGGGAATAAGGACACCTGTAGGTCTCCGTGGTGCCAAAGTGCTGTCAACTTCTAATGAGACGGCCTGGAAGAATCTTAAAAGTTTGCAGTCAATAGCTCAGGCCAAATGACTGTTAAAAACCAGACTCTGCTGGACCAAATTCACGGAACTGAATAATTCTTGTGGACAGGGTCAGGGTCACTTACCTCTCAAAATAACTTCGTATCATTTAACATAAGTTCTGTCAATGAAAATGAATGACTATGTTCATGAAGAACTATCAGGTCAACTGGAATGTTCTGCTCAACAAGCGTTTTAAAGGTACCTCCTATTTGCCAGGCCCCATGCCATACACTGGCAGGAGTGTGATGCAGACAGAGTCCTGGCCAGCTACCCTGGGCATAGTTTTGGGGGATGGCAAGGGGCAACGACTTATCTGTTCTGGCTCACTCCAGACCCCACCGCACACGGTACTGTAGAACGGTGAAAAAAGGGGTTATCAGACCTTGCCCCGCCTCTCTGATGAGGTACCTGATCCCAGCTCTACTGTTCCACACAGGACTTCCCTAGCTTCTCCTTCTCTCCCTTCCCTTTCCTTCCATCTTTTTTCAATCAGGAAACATTTGTTGGCCATCCACTGTATTTCAGAGTAAATCTGTATTTCAGGCATGTGGAGCCTTGGATACTGAATTTGAATACCAATGCAGCAGGACACTGGTATTATTCCATCCCATTTTATTCTTCCATCATCGCACCCTCTAGAATTCAACACGCAGACAGAGGCAAACGAGTTGCAAAAACACAGAGTCCCAAGAACAACGGAAGGAAATTGGATAGTCCTATCTTAATAAAATCTTGCTTTGGCAAAGCAGAATTCAAGGTAAAGGGGACTACAAAAGCCTGCCCACGTTTCACAATAACCCCAATCTTCTGTATTGCATTTTGGAAAACAAATAAAAATCTTTATTAAATTTCTCCATTCTCGCTTGCATCCAAAGTTGAATTGTTTTGGAAAGCTTGAGGGAAACAGTTCAGGTGTTTTTCAGGGACAGAAAACCTATACCCGTGATCATTTCAAATGCTAAGCATATTCTAAACCCCTACCAAACAGAACTTGCAATTAGTAGCAATTTAAATAAAGTATTCAATCTTAATTCTATACATGATAGTCTAAATAAGATTAAAAGAGAAAGAGGCCGGGTGCGGTGGCTCACACCTGTAATCCCAGCACTTTGGGAGGCCGAGGCGGGCGAATCATGAGGTCGGGAGATCAAGACCATCCTGGCCAACATGGTGAAACCCCATCTCTATTAAAATACAAAACATTAGCTGGGCATGGTGACGGGCACCTGTAATCCCAGCTACTCGGGAGGCTGAGGCAGGAGAATCACTTCAACCTGGAAGGCAGAGGTTGCAGTGAGCCGAGATCGCGCCACTGCGGTCCAGCCTGGTGACAGAGCAAGATTCCGTCTCAAAAAAAAAAAAAAAAAAAAAAAAAAGAGACAGAGAGAGAGAAAGAGAAAGGGAAAGAAAAAAGAAAGACCCCCACCCCCCACCCCACAAATCATGGACATTTGCTTGGCATCCAGAGAAAATTCCAAGTATGTTGTTTCAAATTTAAATGCAGAGTGTTCAAGTTTTCAATAGGCATAAAAAGTTAAAAATTAGAAATACAACTACTTACATTTATTGAACATGATGTACCCGATGCTGTGCAAAGCACTTTAGGTTGATGAACTAAGTTAATACTCAGAACCGCCCTGTGAGTAGTCATTATGATCCCAAGTTTACAGATGAGGAAAAAGAGATTCAGCTGTGATTCACACCTAGGCAGCGTGACCCCAGGATTTGCACTTGTCACTGTTACATTCAACTACCTCCATGCAGATGGCACAGTTTGAAACAAGACTTTCTGGACTATGATACATTTGTAAACGTTTTTAAGACTAGACTCTCTTCTTTTCTTCCATGCTGCTCCTTGCTCCTCCCAAAGTTCTGTTTCCCCTCAAATCCTGAGATGAGTGCTATTAGTATGCTGGCCTTTTATAGATGTAAAAATAAGCCCAGAGTAGGACAGTGACATAACCAAGGCCACACAGTACATAATAAATGGGGTAGAATCAGATCTCAGAGTCAGGCCTTTCGATCCCAAATCTCAAGGTTATTCTCATACATCTGCTATTCATCCAAGAGTGACCAGATTACCTAGAGAGGTGAAAGTGGGAAGAGGTTGGATGATGAAAGTTTATGGAGTTACCCCCTGAGTCTGCTAGCACAAGGTGAGGCACTCAGGCAGAGCACAGAGCCACTCTCTCTTCCTGAATAGCCCGGGTGTTGGCCACATTCATTACTGTAATTAACCCTCGAGGTTTGCCTCCGGGTTGAGGTTATTAAATATATTTTGGTATCTTTAAAAAAGCACATACAGCAAGTTCCATAAATTTAATAAATGGGCCTACATTGGTGACATGGAAATGTTTCCATGAAACAGTTCTTGCAATTTCATAACCGGCTCGTGTAAAACTTTAGGATGTCACTTAGGCCCATTGGAGGAATTATTTCCTTATAAATCTATGGTAGTCTTAGGAAGTCAAAATGGCACCATAAAAAGAAATAACCCCACTTCCCTGGAAAAAGGGCAGCATGCTCTGTCCGAGGAGGGGACTGGGGCTGTCTGCACTTGTAACATTTTACAGTGACTGTTGCCGGCATGGGCAGCATGCTCTGTCTGAGGAGGGACTGGGGCTGTTTGCACTTGTAACATTTCACAGTGACTGTTGCTGGCATCCAGTGAGGATGTATGCTGTTGCTGGGCTGGGCTGTGTGTTATATTTTACTGGCAAAAATAAATCTTACATTTTTACATAAAGCCGTGCTTCTCTAGAACACACCAAGAGAAAATGTGTCTAAACCTTAACAAAAAGGCCTTGCTGTCTCTCAAAGACCTAAGAAGACCACACTTAGAAAAATAAAGTCTTAAGTAATCAAAGAACATTTTTGTTAGCATCCTCATTTTTCTTTGATCGATGACATACATAAGAGTTGTGTTGAGAAACAGCTTTTTAAAAATGTTCCCGCCGCTTCACCCTCAGCTCTAAAATTCAGTTCACCTCGTGGTCTCCCTGAGTATTAGGCTACAGGCACAGTCAGCATTTCGCGGTTTATAGAAGAGAGGTGATATACAGTTCCTACCCTTGAGATGCCTCCACTGTAAAGGGAGGAATTATCTGCTAGATAGCTCGCTGGAAGTAATCAACTCCATAGTGAAGAAATAAGATGGAGGTCCCTATCTCATGTCCAGGGCAGATGGAAGTTCTGGATGGAGACTGGTACCCTAGTGGACAGGGGCTGCTGAAATTATGTATCTGTGTTTTTATCAGCAGACACAATGCCTGGCACAGCCTAATTGCTCCATACATGGATGGATGGATGGATGGATGAACAGATGGATGGGTGGAAGAAAGGGAACAAGAATAACAAAGTCACCCTTGGGAACTTGTTAATAAAGTACCTTAAATGGGCTAAAGAAAGGGGGAAGGGCATTCTTATTATGTCAGTGCCCTTGAAATGACATTAAAGCGACCCAAACAGAAATGCACAGCTCTCTACAACGGCACAATGCACTTGGGCAAACCATTCCTAGTAAGATTTTTTTAAATTAGGGTTGGTCTGTATGAGCCCCCTTTGAACACCAGTCTAAGCAAAGCAGTTGAATGTTATGGAGAAAAACTGCTCAAAAATGACACATGAATAAAAACAGGTTACCAAACAATATAAGCTAGGAGTATTCATTTTTTAAAAAATACAAACATGAATATCAGAGAAAAAGTCTGGAAAGATATTTATCAAAATTGTTAGCAATGATTATCTCTGGGTGGTGGATTTGCTGGTGATTTTTACCTTATTCATTTGACTTGCATTTATTTTCTATACTTTCTATACTAAACAAGTATTTGTCTCATACCTACAAAAAAAAGTTTAAAAATTGCAAGAAATCTCTGATGATGCCAGAGAAGAAAAAGTATTCACAAAACAAACCCACTGAAATCAACCTTAGCGAAATCACAGATTCAGTAGAACGTCACGAGATGGAAGTCGCACGGAGGTGAGGATGGAGTAGGTTAGACAGGGCTCGCCCAGGCCTCTGGAAGGAAGCCTTGTTGCACTGACCCAACACAGGCCAGCCTGCTGGATCCTCCCGGGTGCTCCCTAGTCTTTGGCCCAATCCCTCGGGGCACTCCCCATTTTTCTAGGGGAACAGTTGGTGTTTGTTTTTCCTTTGTCTGTGGTGAGGAACAGCTGTACAAACCAAATCACATTAAATAAATTAGTGGCACCTGAGTGGGCTCCGTGGCACAATTTCTAATTCACACAATGCCTCCAGTTTTGCTATTTCAACTAAATCATTTATCAATTCCTTCACGGAGGTCAGTAAATCTCAGCATCTGGGGACCTGTAAACATTAAAATAAGAAGCTATAAAAAATATTAGTAAATCAATTAAAAGCTCAAACAGCAATAAACCCTACTTGTATTACACCTAAAAAACAAAAACAGACCCTCCTCCTCTGAAATTAAATAAACATTCCATATCAGCAGTTTTCAATGAGCTTTTTCTTTCTTCTCAAAAGACCTCCTGATCTCCCATCTGGTACCTTGGTGAGCTGGGAATTACACATCAGTTGTAAAAAGGAATAAAGGATGGAAAAAATCTGAATTTCTGACTCCAGAAAGCAAACACGATCCATATTTCATTGCAAGAGTTAGGAAATGGCCTAAAAATCGTTATCATTTGAAAAATATCTAGTTTGAGTCATGACTGGGAATTGGCTAATATTTACCCAAGTCAAATGAAAAAGATACACAATTATCACTAACCGCAATGATAAGGAGGAGGAACTACCATTCTATGGAGTTCTGCCATTTACAAAGCCCTTTCATTTGATGATTCAAGCCTCACAACCACCCCACGAGGTAGGTAAAAGTTGCAATTATTTCCAGCCTTTAAGATGAGAAACGTGGGGCTCAGAGATGTTAAGTGGTTTTCCTGAGGGCACACAGCTAATGAGAGGACGTGCTGACACTCAAACCCAGATCTTGGACTCCCAGCCCGTTTCCTTTGCTTGCTGACCTGCTTCAGGTGTGACATCAAGGATAAGAAAGTAACATACACTGAGATCCTACTATGTGCCAGGTGCCTTGTTACCAACACGTATCCTTGACTTTAATCTTGTGGCCATCAGAGTTTATATTTCTATTAAAAATGATTTCCTGCTCTCCTTCACCTCCACCCAGATGGAGCTCACTGATTCATCTCAGACTGAGAAACGAGGCTCAGGATGTTTAATTAAAAGTAACATCTTCTTTTTGCCAAGATTCCATGTTCTAATCCTGACACAAATAGAAAGAACAGGTGTTTTCTGAAAAGCAAGGAGGTGGAAACACTAGTCATCTCCAACTTCCAGAATACTTTATCCAAATTTTGTTGTGGAAGAGACCCCATCACTGGGTATGGTTAAACTGGGGTGAAAATCATGTGGCTGCTAGGAAACCAGGCATCCCGGGTCCTGGTCAAAGACAGGAGCACCTTCACCACTACTGCTGTGTATCAGGAGGCAGAGGAGAGTGAGACAGAAAAACTAGCACTCAGGACCCAGGAGAGAAGGGGCTCTCTTGCTTCCTAAATGTCTACCACATGCTAAGCGCTGTTTGCTGCTTTTTAAAATGTGCAGCGATGGTGCCACTGCACTCTGTTGCCCAGGCTGGAGTTCAGCAGCGCCATCATAGCTCACTCAAAGCCCACCTCAACCTCCCAAGCTAAGTGATCTTCTCACCTCGGCCTCCCAAGCTGCTGGGACTACAGGTGCATACCACCACATCCAGCTAATTTTTTGTATTATTATTATTAGTAGTAGTAGTAGTAGTAGAGATGGGGTATTACCATATTGCCCAGGCTGGTCTTGAACTCCTGGGCTTAAGGAGGTGGAAACACTAGTAATCTCCAGCGATCTACCCGCCTCGCCCTTCCAAAGTGCTAGGATTACAGGTGTGAGCCACTGTGCCTGGCCTGTTTGCTGCTTTTTACATATTGTCTCATTTAACCCCACTGACAAATGAGGCAAGAGCTACTCCTTCCGTTTTTATGGATGAGGAAACTGAGTCTCGGAGAAGTTGTCACTTGCTCAGAGACACAGAACTCAGGCGAAGCTATGTCAGGATTTGGGCACAGGTGAATCGCTCTTCTCATAGATTCAGCTACATCACCCTTCCCAGGCTCATGGCAGTCTGGAAGTGGACAGAGTGGATCGAGCTGAGGATGTGGTCATCTAGGCTCATTTCTCTTGCATGCTGAGCCCTCAATAGCAGCAGAGATGTCACAGAAGGATGAGAACCACAGAAACCCCAAATGTAAGTAGTTTAGACTAAGACCCCTTTGAACTCCAGCATCCTTTAACTATAACTCCTTCCCTGTATTGCTCCACCCAGTGGCCTCAAATCTTGGGATTGATCAAGATTGCAGGTGGAGCTAGACTCAGTTTTCATAAATGTAAGGTCAAAGAGGAATGGCAGATACGCACCCCTTTACAAGAGCTGGGTTTCGGATTTTCTTCTGAGAAGAAGGGGGTGTGAAAAAGGGCCTGGGATAGAAGGAGTACACTTCTATCTTCACAAGGCTCCTGTGAGCAGCCAAGTCCAGGAGAGGACCTCAGCCGGGATGGAAATTTCCTTCGGGTCTTTCTCTCCTGCTGTTTGCACACAGTGTTCTCTTTCACGGGCCTCCTCTGGCCTATGAAATGAGCTTTCATGTCCTCCATACAAAGTTGGTTTCTCTAATGTGCTGAAAATAGAAGAAACTACCATAGCCATGTTTTCCCTTGGGCTGAAGAGCAAGACGGTGGCTCTGCCATCAAACCCAGCCATTCAGCTGGGGGCCCACCTGCGCCAAGCCCGTGGGCAATGGCAATGCCGCAGAGACCCAGTGAGCTAAAAACCCAGCCTGTAGCCCTTTCCCTGAGCTTTGGGAACGAAAGACTTTCCTCTGGTCCTGGCGTGGTACCCAGGAGACCTTTCTGGGGCTAAGAACAGAGCATCTGTACAATCAAAACAGCATCAACAAGTATTTTCTGAGCATCTACTGTAAAGCCAGGATCTGGGCTAGGTGCTGGGATACAGCGATAAGCAAAACAGATGTGGTCCCTGGAGCGTCTCATTTCTAGTCTAGCCCAGTACAGTCCAATAGAAGTATAATGTGAGCTACATATTTAATTTTAAGCTTTCCAATAGCCACAATTTTAAGAAGTAAAAGAATGAAATTAATTCGTTTTCTTTTAGAGACAGGGTCTCACTCTGTTGCCCAGGCTGGAGTGCGGCAGTGCCATCATAGCTCACTGTAACCTCAAACTCTTGGGCTCAAGCAATCCTCCCACCTCAGCCTCCCTAGTAGCTAGGACTACAGGGGCACGCCACCATACCCAGCTAATTTTTAAAAATTATTTGTAGAGATGGTGGGGGCGGGGGGGGGTCTCACTATGTTGCCCAGGCTGGTCTCGAACTTCTGGCCTCAAGCAATCCTTCTGCCTTGGCCTCCCAAAGCACTGGAATTACAGGCATGAACCACTGTGCCTGGCCATAATTAATGTTAATAATATATCTTTATTTAACCCAACATACCTAAAACATTTTCATTTCAACATAAAATCAATATAAAAATTATTCATGAGATCATTTACATTTTTTGGTACTTATTCTTCAAAATATGGTATGTATTTAACCCTTACAGCATGTCTCAATTCACACTCGCCACATTTCAAGTGCTCAGCAGCCATTTGGAGCTCAGGGCTACCACCCTGAGCAGCACAGCTCTGCACTGTGGGGATGGAGGATCGGGGCAGTGATGGCTCTTGGAGATCCCCGGAAGCTCTTAGAGATACGGAGAAGTAATATTATCACCAACGATCATATGTCTTGAGCAATTATCATGTGCCAGCCCCTCAAGGAATCCTCCCTAAACAACCCTAAGAGACTGTCACCCCACTTTGCAGATGAGGAAAGTGAGGCACAGAGAGGCTACATCACTTGCCCAAAGTCACACAGCTAGTCAATGCAGAGTCTGTGATGCAGAACACAGAGCTGTGCTCTTATCCATGGCATCATCCCAGTTCTTGAGCACGGATCCAGACACATCACATGTTAGAACCCATTCCTCTGAGCCCCTCCAATGGTGCTCTTTTTTGATGGAGATCAAGTGAGAGAACGTTTTGGGAGCCCTTGGTAAGATGTGAAGGGCTTCAAGTGGAATATTACGCCTATTAAGTGAAGTAGAAGTGGTTTATAAAGTATCCTCTGCAGCCAGACTGCCTGGGTTCAAATCCCAGCTTCACCACTTACTAGCAGCGTGCCCTTGGGCAAGTTACTAAATCTCTCTGTGCCTCAGTTCCCTTGTTTATACAATGAGAACGGCAATAGAGCCTATTTCAAGGGTCATCATGAGGATTACATGAGTTAATAAAAATAAAATGCCTAGCACTTTGCTTGGCACCTAAGAAGCAACTACTAAGGAGTAGTTATCATTATTATGGAGCGAACAGGGTACAGATGCGGGGGTTATTGGATGAGAGAGTCTGGGAGGAGGAGAATGGAAGCAGAAGGTAGGAGAAAAGCCAATCATCAAGGCGCTAGGAAGTGCCAGAGTTACGGTCCCCAGGGCTACCTCCCCCTCTCCAGATAAACACCATGGAATGTAAGGTACACGCTGTCATGAATTAACTGTGTCTCTCCAAAATGCACATGCTGAGGTACTAACCCCCAGTCGTTCAGACAGTACCCTTATTTGGAGATAGTGTCTGCACAGAGGTGATCAAGTGAAAATGAGGTCCTTAGGGTGGGGTCCCAATCTAATGTGTCTGGTATCATGACAAGAGGGGGAAATTTGCACAGAGACACAAGGAGACTGCTGTGTGAACATGAAGGTGCATCTACCAGCCAAGGAGACAGGCCTGGGACAGCCCCTTCTCTCATGGCCTGAGAAGAAACCAACCCTGACCACACCTTGATCTTAGACTCCCAGCCTCCAGAAGTGTGAGAAAATAAATTGCTATTTAAGTCCCTCGGCCTCTGGTACTTTGTCATGGCAATGATTGCAGACGCTCATCCTGCCTCCTCTCCTCACCAAGAGGCACTGCAGGTTGGGGGCGGCATAGGGGGCTCTAAGCCAGCCCCCGCCCCAGTCCACACAGCATGCTTGTAAAACTCTGAGTATCCTTGGCTGGCTGGCCTCGGCGGGTCTGTTGCAGTGGAAAACTACCCAGGAAGGTGGGCTGCGTCCCTGAACACTGCTCACTCTGTTTCCCCTGCTACCTTCAAAATCCCCCTCCGTCAACTGAAGGGGAAATAAAGCGTGTCTTTATTCGGGTCCAGGCTGCCTTGGACACCCTGCTCCAGCTTGAGCCAAGGCAGACACAGATGCTTATTGAGCAAGGTTCTCCCTATGTTCCCGACACACCACACTGGAGCCTGGGGACCCTCAAGAATGCAAGTCCAGCCATCGGAGTCCAGAGCGTGAAGGTGGAAGAAGCTGTCTAGGTAGCCAGCGCCACCATCACCTGGGTATTCAAACACATGGGGCACTTGGAAAAGTACAGAGAAAATCCTTCCAAAATTCCAGCAATCTGAAACAACTACTGCTGATTTTCCAAGCTGTGAAATGGAACATGCATTATTTCTCCCATGCTCTTCAGAGAAAAAACATGGGAGCGGGGCTGGCCTGCAAATGATCTCGAGGGTTTTTTTTTTCATCTGCCAGGGAAGAAAGAAGTGCTGTGGCTCCCAGATCAATTCTCCATTCCCAACAAAGGCTGGGTGAGAGGCGTGATCCTGAAAGACTTATACTTCTCTCCATGAACGGCTGTTAAAGTTTCTAATCAATCATGTCTCTCACCCAGGAGAATTAGCTAAACATAGCAAGGCTTGTATTTTAAAACACAAATCGCTGACAATAACTTAAAATGTGCGTAAGTGGTCATTTAGGGTGAAGGATGTGAAAACCTTTAAGGTTTACTCTTTTTGTTTCGCTCCCAGAGATGAGAAGAAAGACATGCAAATAGTGGATTGAAGATGCTTGCTAAACCAGGAAATATGATTCCCCTTGACTGTTAGGTAACAGGAAAAACAAACTGGGATGGCAGCATGGGCTTGGGCTGACAGCCCGGAGCTGAGGCTGGGCTCCATTGCTTCCAAGTTTTCTGGCCTTAAGCAACTCAATTTCCCAATGCCACGCTTTCTTCATCAATTTAAAAAAAAAAAAGGATGAAGTTTGATCAGACGATGCCTGAAGGTCTTTCCCAGCATGCTGTGCCTTTGTAAGGAACACCATATCTTAGAAACATTGAAACTTCTGAAGTATGAACTAGAGGTAGGGAACTGGGACTGTCACCTCTGTAGCCTTAACACCTAGATGGGGTCATTGAAAGCTTGTTGAACAGAAAGACAGTAAACAGCAACAAAAAAAATAAGGATTTGGTCTTCCTTTCTCCTCCACTGTCTCTGGCTTTAAACCAGCAACCCCCCACTGTGGTCACGAAGATGGTTTGTGAGTGTGTATCTGTGTCTCACTGGCTGAGGACAACATCCCAACATCCCATGAGCAAAGCCGGCAGGGGCTACTTGTGCGTTAGTGAGACCAGTCGCAGTAAGTCTGGGGCTGGGAATGTCCTGCGGTGCAAATTCCACAGAGGCCAACGAAGAGTCACCGCATGCACGCTGAGCTCTGCCAGCATGCCATAGTTGGCTTCATAGGAGATGACACGAGATGATAAGACTGGATCTATGCAAAGTTACTGTGGCCACCTGAGACGGAGCCTGAGTGCTGTGCTCAGGTCAAGGCACTATCTTTAGTCTGTGAAGACAGACCCAGGGCCTCATCCCAGGCTGACCACCGCACCTCAGCAGTAGGGAGCCTGATGCATCACTTGGAAAAAAGATAGAAAATGAATGAGAAAAAAAGAGGAAAAGTGGGTGGAGGGGTGATATGCGGCTAGACTTTGATTTAATCCAAAAGAAGTGCTACAGCAGGGTTGCTAATTACCTACCCAGCATCTGGTCTTCCCTCTGTTCCTCACTCATTTGTTTGATTTGATTCGAGGTGGACACCAAATTTCCAAATCTCCCTACCAGTGGCCAACTGACATAGTTCTACGCAAAGAATTGCAATCAGAAATCTTTTACGGTTTGTTCGAAAGTCTTGCTTTCTAGGTCTAGGAACTACCCCTTTCGTCTTGCTTACCTTCCTTCTTTCTGCTGCCTGGAATCTAGACATGACGGATGGCACTATAGCAGCTATCTTGGAACCAGAGGAAAAAACTAAGAAAATCATAGAGACTTCAGCTCTGCCATTTTTGAGCTGCTGACTTAAAAGAGTAACTCCAACTTTGACTTCTTGCAACAAGAGAGAAAAACACCCTGAATTTACATAAGCAACTATACAGGGAGCGGGGCAGAAGAACTCTCTGTCACCTATACCTGAATGGGCCCACCCTGGTTTATACACGAGCACAGCACCCCTTTTGTACTCAGGGACTTTTTAACTCAAATGTGTTCCTTAGGTTCAAAATGATTACATTTCCACTCCCTTCTTTACCCACATCTCTTACCCATTGCTCGTAACACTGTTTCTCTGTTAAACTGACTCTCTGGTATATCTTTCTGAGCAACAAGGAGTGAGGCAAGGCAGCCCCACTTTTGCTAGTGAACTCTGGCCATGAAAAGCAAGGAGGCTGTCCCTTACTTCCCACCACCTTCTCCACCTCCCCAGGACTCCTGCTCCCAAAAGGAAAGTCAAATTCCTCAAACCTTTGCTGAGAAACCCCGGGATCCAGGATAAAGGGATGCTGGGGGGAGTGAGAGCAGTGGTGGAATCCATCCCTAGCTATCCTGCCGAGGCTGGAGGGGCAGAGCTGCCTTCACACTGGCATCTCACGCATCAATCAGGAAAGAATTAAAAGAAATGCTGTGAAGTGGAAAATACCTGCCCGCGCCTCCGGCGCGAAGGTCAGGGGGATTTGTACTGAGCAGCTGGAAGCCCGCTCTAGGCTCTGCGAAGTCGCTCACCCTTCCACCAAAAGCAAGGCATGCAGAAACCTTCCCCGTCAACTTGACAAAGCCCTCTGCCATTTCCATCAGCTATTACTGGACATGAATGTGCCCTCACCAACCACCACTTTCTGAGTGTTTCCCAGAATTCCATGAAGAGATAAGAGAGACACAGACAGACAGAGATCCAAGACACACATGCAAACAGCCAAAGGATGAGAGAAAGGAGAGCTACATGTGTGTTCCTTAAGTGCCAGACACAGGACCAGATGCTTCAAGTTTCTTTCATTCAGTCATTATAATGAGGATGCTATGACCACTCCTGTTCTGGAGATGGGGGAGGGGGTAGCGGCCTGGTGATGACTTCATAGCTAGGGGGATGTTGGCAGTGGAAATAAATAGAAAGCAGGGGTGGAGGGGCTCATGGTTAACTCAGTTCACTTCTGTGGGGAGGCTAGAGGTTGGCGTCTGTCTGCGTGTGACCTTGCAGCATCCAGCCTCAGCTATGAGCTGGGGTTAGCAGGTACAGTTCCTTGCTCCTGGTGAGTGGACAGGCCGAAGTCTCTGGAGCACTGGGCTGGGGGCAGGGGGTGGCATGGGGGACATTACCCCCCATAGGAATGGCAAAGCAAGCTTCCCTGCCAGGTGGACTCCTCCTCTGGACTCTCACTCTGTGCTGTGTATTACCACCATGGGGAATCCAGGGACCCCAGGAGTGACCACCCAGCAGTGCACTGCACTGTCCTCACTGCACAGCCCTCCCCCATGTTTCCACGTCCTTGGTCACTTCCTACTGTGTCCATGGGTGTCTTTCTGTGGATCTCATCATCATCCTGTTGAGACAATCAAGCAGCTTCTCACGCTCTCAGCCCTACACCTTCTTATACAACTGTCCATTATACAACTGTCCAAAGAGGACTCAATGGAAAATTTTTGGGTTCTACCAAGTACTGGGACCAGCTTGGATGATTCTGAACACCAGGGCTTATTTGTCCAAGACTCCAGTGACTGCAGGTAGCCTTGGAGCTCCCTCCCCCGACTTCCCTGGCCCTGTATTCAAAAAGCTCCCCTTACTGAAGGCAGGGCCTTGCCTTCTAGATCACCTCTGCATCCCCGGCACCTAGCACATAGGAGGTGCTCAATACTTGTGGGATGACCCTCTTCAGCCTGACACCCATACAGGGTTCCATTACATTCTGCAACTGGGAAACCAACCACATATCTACGGCTTGCTCGAGACCATGGGGCAGAGGTGGTGTCGGGGACGTTTTACTACCCTGGGAAAAGAATCTTGGCCCCCTGCAGGTGAAATAGAAGCACAGCACCCGTTTGAGGTTTTTCAGTCTAACTACTGCATCTGCAGTTCAGGAACCTAGAGCCAGATGGCCAGGGTTTGAATCCTGGTTCTGCCACTACCTGCTACATGATCTCGGGAGGTCACTTAATCTCCTCGAGCCTCCGTTCCTCACTGGAGATAATGTTAAGTTGATGGAGAAGGTTTCTGCATATAGGGTTGTTAATGATTGAATGAGATCACATAAGATGGAGACACAAATACAGACATCAGACCACTGTCAGGCACATGGTAAGGGCCCAGTAAACATGGGCTGTTGTATTATGGGGTGGCTATGATGGTGGTCCACATTTAGTTTTCACTCAGTGGGAGACGGCGTTTGTTTTCTTTCCTCTCAGGTACTCGGATTCACTCATACTGCCCCTCCATGAGTACACATTTTAGCACTAAGATAATGGGGTACTGTCTACCACGCAGTAGGTACTCAGTACTTGTTAAAGAAGGGTAAACTCTGGTGGAAGAAAGCCAAATGTCTATGAACAGATGAATGGAGAAAGAAAACGCAGTACATATATCCAGTGGAATATCATTCAACCTTACAAAGACGGAAATCCTACCATGTTACAACATGGAGGAGCCTGAGGACATTAGGTTAAGGGAAATAAGCCAGTCACAAAAGGACAGATACTATATGAATCCACTTATATGAGGTATCTAAAAGCATCAAACTCATAGAAACAGAAAGTAGAATGGTGGTTACGAGAGGCTGGCGGGCAGGAGAAATGGGGAGTTATTGTTCAAACGGTATAGAGATTCCATGTTGCAAGATGAAGCAGCTCTGGCGAGCTGTTGCACAACAGTGTGAAGGTACTGAGCTCTACAGAACTGTACACTTAAAAATGGTTACGATGGCACATTTTAGGTTATGTGTTTTTTACAATTTAAAAAAAAAGCTCACTGCCTCCCTAGATGGAACGAGTGGTCATTAGGCCCAAGGTGAAGCAGTTTGACTAAGATGTGCGTAGGGAGTGTGTAGGGAGCGTGTAGGGAGCAGAGGCCAAGCAGGGCAGCCTCCCTCTTCGCTGGCCAGGATGAGACTGTCCTGAGCAAAGCCACTGGCCCCTTGGGCCAGCTTCCACAGGCAAACAGAGGTCAGGATCGAAACCAACAAGACTCATCCATTAGCAGCTTCATTTCAACCCGGGAGCCCTGTTGGGGCTTCGGGTCTTCCCCCAAGATGAACAGGGTGGCCCTTCCTGGGCTAGGTTTGTAAATCACTTCCTCTGTCTTGGGCCTTGGGAATGTACCACTTTCCTCACCATGGCTGGGAAAGCAAACAGTAAATACAGCTGCAATAAAATAGCATCTAAACCATTCCAAATCTGAGCTCTGTTCTCCAGAGGCAGTCCAGCAAAATACACATCAGTGATCATTTGTGGGGAAATTGGAACAATTTCCGCCTGAAGACATGCTGCTCCCGTGACTGTCTCCTCACCTTGTCTTGAAACTTCTGATTTTCTTACAGCCACTCAGGACCTGGGACACGGCCTGAGCTGCTGCCTGCAGGAGCCCACGGGCTCAACTCATCGGGGAGCTGCTTTCCTTTGTGTAATTAGATCAATTATCCCGCTGCCGACAATTACCATCATTGTCCGTGCCATTTTTAGTTTATTTGGCAGTTATTCTTCTCATCTAAATCAAACTACAAGTTTGATTGCACTGAAAATGTAAATGATTGTTAAACAACACTAAAAAATCTTCACATTTTTCCTGAGTCTCTAAGAGCTGGGGGTGGGTGGGAAGGATGGAACGTGGCATGGAGCGGCGACTGCATTAGGGACAGTCACACAAGCCACCTCCTTTGTGCCTCACAAGCCTGCTAAGTGGGTATAATTATCCCTGCTCAGGAAAAGTATCTTCCTTGTCTAACGTCACCCAGCCAGGAAATGCAGAAGTCAGGGGCTGTGGCTCATGCAAGGAAAGAATGAGAACGAAATGTTAACTCTATTAGATGAGGTGCAGTTGGAGAACCCTGCAAGGGGATCTTCCCAAATGCATCGATTGGGAGCTTCTCAGAGCAGCATCCATGCATGAGAAAAGAAAATGGGTCGGGTTAGCAAGAGCTGAGATGGGGAGAAATCAAGAGGCAGTAGAAAGCAGGAGGCATTTTTACAATTACGCGCAAAGAGCAATAAAAAGCAAGAAAAGGAAAAAGGGTGCTGGGCTGGGAATCATAGGCCCTGGTTTTGTTTCCTTAGAACCTTCTAGAATGGCCTTGGGTGGGTCACTTCTGGTCAGTTCTTCTCAAGGCACAAAGGAGGAGTGACCAGGGGTCAAGGCCAGAGAATCCTAAGCAGGACTGGCCCCCAGGTCAAGGAGAGGCTGAGCAAGAGAGGTCTGGGCTTCTCCCACTCCTACCCCAATCCTTTTGGCGAGGGTTCCAAGGTAATATTTTATTTAAGCTGTTTTTCTTCCGAAAAACAGTGGTGGGTAACACTGTTGAGGTGTGCAGTGATGAACGGCACGGCACCTCCAACAGAGTAGGTGTTCAATACTTGTTAATTACATTATATGCATCCAAGCAGCTTCCAAAGAAACAAACCAGAGTGTCACATTCTTGGCTCATATTAACTTTTTCAGGGAGAAGCCACAGATCATCTTCATGTGAACTGATGCCAAATTGCAAATCAGGTCTCTTACATCTGGTATTAATTTTTTAAATGCAAATAAGCAATGAACACAAAGTTTTAGGTTAATTTAGAAATTAATCTGATGGTGATGTGCTGGATGGCTTTGGACCAGGAGATGAATCGGCAATTGGGCCACCAGACTGAGGGTCTTGAAAACGTCTGGGTATCAAAGGTTGGCTTGGCTATTTGAAAATGGGGCTAAAAATTAGACATAATAATAATGACTAATAAATACTATGTGCTAAGCTCTTCACAAGTATTAAATCATTTAACACTTGCAACAACCTCATGAAGCAGGGTGATTATTATCTGTGACTTGCCCAGGATCACAGAGGGCAGGATGCAAATCCAGGCCCTCTGGCTCCCACGTCCCCATTCTTAACCACCTCCACACTGGCAAGGTTCTTAGCAATGCTGGCTGAGGAAGCACCTGCTGTGTGCAGGATCCTGGGCCAAAGTTCACCCCAAGTGCTATTGTGCCTCTCACGTTTTAGGCTCAGATCAAATTCCATTTCCAATTCCAGCCTATGTGGAACTGTCCATTGGCTAGCAAAGCCTTGGATGGGTGCCTGGTCACCTCTTTAGTGCCCTGGAGACTTTGTGAACACATGGGCTGCCCACCCCCACCATCATTTCCTCCCTCCTGTGTCCCACTCCCCCTCGCACTGTGCCCGCGTCTCCAAAGTGAATAAGCAGAGAGTTCTGGTGACCCTTCTAGAGACTCCTCTCATAGACATAGGTTCTAATCAGTGAGATTAACTTGGCAAGCATCTGAGCATCTCAGGGTTGATGAGGTATTGCAATCATGGCATCCAGAGTTCTGAGGTATAAACAGATAATTCTCTACCTGGTAGAAAAACACAAACAAATCCGCCAAACCCATCAGGTTCCAGCTTCAGCTCAAGGAGAGGCTGACACAAGAGTTGGGCCAAAGTCTTTGGAGACTGTGGGCTTTTGGCCACTCTCCAGCCCATCCTCCACCCTGTGACCTCCCCAGCACAATCTCATCAAGTCCACTTTTCCATTTCAGGAAGCATCCAAAGGATATAGACCAGAGAAGTTCCTAAATTTTTTGCTACACATCCAGTGCTGAAGATAGAGTAGGTAATTTTCATTATTGCAAAATACCAAGTGTAAAGTAATGTCATTCTGTTGCAACTCTCTCCCTCTCCCCTGCCCTCTCTGACTTCTGCCAATCCTTCTCTCATCCATCCATCTGCACTGTGGGGGAAATTTTCTTCTAAAACCAAGTAATTGATGGAGTGCCCTTTGGGTGCCCAGAGCTGCCAGGGCACTGTTTTCAGAGCCACCAGGGGCACTGAGGGATGCCAGTGTGCCTCGTCTATCAGCAGCAGTCTCTGCACAATAATTTACTGAGCTCTCCAAGGTGACTTTATTATGTGAGCTCACCATGCTGAGTGCTGCATTCCCCATCCCATTATTTCAAGGGATCTTTTCCTCACTTCTTGCCTACTTTGTATGCACTGACACAAAACTCATAATTTGCCAAACACACTATACTCTGACTCCTGGGCAGTTGTTCAGATGAGTTGGCATGCTAAAGATTTTCTTCTCTTCCTTCTTCTTTTTAAAATTATTGCTCCACTGTGGAAGAAGGCATTGAAAGCTTCATACAGAAACCACATTGGTTCGCCTACTCCCCCTTAGGTTGGTCTAGACTGCTTTTAGACAGAAGCACTTGGAGTTTAGAGTAAAACAGACCTGAGTTTAATCCTAGCTCTACTACAGATTTTGTGACCTCAGGCAGATACTGAGCCTTTCCAAACTCATTTTTCCTTGCCTGAAAGAGACTCATAATAACATGTGCCTAACAGATTGGCTGTAAAGATTAGAAATTGTATGTGTTAAATGCCCTGTAATGTAATACAATGCCCTGTACATGGAAAAGACTTAACACAGGATAGCTAATATTGCTGTTAAGATTATTATTAATAATAAAATTACCCCAGATCTACAATAGGGCAGGAGTCAGTAACCTCTGTTCCGATACACTGTTCTGTGTCTTAATGATGTTCCAAGAATATTGACTGAATGTGTTGGCTTTCCCATTCCCTCATTTTCCCACCCCTAGCCCCATCCATTCCCCACCCTTCTCTACTCTGCTTCCCCCATCCCTGAGGCTGATTCCCATCCTACATCAGCCGGGCTCCATGCTGGCAGCTGGCTGACCTCTGTTTCAGTTTGGCCAACAGGAGGAACCAGCAAGAGGACAGAAAGGAAGAGAGGCAGGAAGGGGAGGTTGATTGGAGTAAGGGTGTATTTCCCCTGCTTCCACTGCAGTTCAGGCAGCTGTCACCCCGGCTCTTCAGGCCTCAGGGTGACAATGGCTCATCTCTGTTGCCAGTTTCAGGGTGCCTCAGATCTTGCTGGTTTGCTAGTCCCTGCTCAGATCTTTCTTTTCTATTTTTTTTGAGAGTCTCGCTCTGTTGTCCAGACTGGAATGCAGTGGTGTGATCTCGGCTCACTGCAACCTCCACCTCCTGTGTTCAAGTGATTCTCCTGCCCTGGCCTCCCGAGTAGCTGGGATTACAGGTACACACCACCACACCTGGCTAATTTTTTTTTGTATTTTTAGTAGAGATGGGGTTTCTCCATGTTAGCCAGGCTGGTCTCGAACTCCTGACCGCAAGTGATCCACCTGCCTCAACCTCCCAAAGTGCTGGGATTATAGGCATGAGCCACCATGCCCAGCCCCCTGCTCAGATCTTTATAAGTGGGGCCTTCATGAGAGTCTCTGAGTTGATTTTTGTTTCCTGCCAGACCTTGCTAACCTACCGAACCACGATGACCATCCCTTCAGGAGATGGTCTGTGAAAATGCTTAAAGGGAATGGTCCAAATGGGAGGCAGCTTTGGGTATGGCCCCAAAATGACTCTGCTCCTAAGTTGTAACTTTGAAACTCTGGTTGGACTAAGTGAATTCAAATGTAGATCAGGCACTTGTTCCACATCAGGTACCTAAGGTTTTCGGGAATGTACGTGCCCTATGAGAGTGAAACAGTGGAAACAATATAGATACCCAACAAGAGGGGACTGGTGAAGAAGCAATTATTGCAGAAAGAGGATACACAGTAGTCAGCCTCTGAGGTGTCTCCAAATAAACTTCACCTCCTTGTATTCATACCTTATGTACACATGCTCTCAAAACACAATAGATTGACCTATGTGACCAACAGAATACCATGCAAGTGACAGCATGTGGCTTCTGAGACCAAGTCATAGAAAAGGCATATCCTCCACCTGCCTCTTTCTCTCAGACCGTTCACTTGGGGAAGGCAGCCACCATGTTGTAAGGACACTCAAGCAGTCTAGTGGAAAGGCCACGTGGAAAAGTACGAACTTGATAACCATGTGAGGGCACCACCTTGAAAGCTCCAATCCAGTCTTCAGATGATGGCAGCCCCAGCCAACATCTGACTACAGCCCAAACCACAGACCCCACACCACACATGTCCAACTAAGCCACTCTCAAATTCCTGACCCACAGAAATCAGGAGAGATCACGATTATTGTTAAGCTGCTAACTTTTGGGGGGATAGAGCATACCAATAGATAACATATATATATGGAAATATCACACAGAGGTAAAAATCTTATTTTGAAACGATATTTAGCAAAGTAAAAAGTACTCACAATCTTTTAAATGAAAGGAACAAGATAGAATATGTGATCTTGTTTTTAAAAAAATGTATATTTTTATATATTCATCAAAAAGGCCATTGTTAAATGTTTACAATAATTACCTTTGAGTAGAGGAATTAAAGTCCTTCCAATTTTCCTTTCAGTCTTTCTGTGTTTTCCAAAATGATCATTTTTCTTTGAAAAAAATATAGCTAAAAAAATAGATTTCCTGGCATTTTTTAAATGAAAATTTATTTTATATCAAAGGCAAGTGTTTAGCTCTGGTTTTCAAGAGAAGCCAGTTGGCTTCCATCAGGAAAAAACAAAGATGTCTACCTTGCATGCTGCTGCCGGACTCTGACAGCCACACAACAGCAGCCACCCGATGGCATCCTCCAGAGAACCAGAGAATCGTGGAGGTAAGAGGGACCTTCAGGAGCCTCCACTTGCAGCATCATGACAATGGGCTCTTTCTTATCCAGGATCTTATTGAATACTTCCTGTGATGGGGAGCTCACCTCCACATGAGGCAGCCAGTCTATTGGCTGGCAATGCTCATCATTAAAAGTGTATGTGAGAATGAATAGGCATTCCTCTTCCTGTTGATCACTTATTGAACACACACAGAATGAGTGGCTGGTCTGACAGCAGGTACTTGGCTTTGCTCACTGTTGTATCCTCAGCAACTAGCATGGTACCCAGCACAGAATAAGCACTCAGGGATTATCTGTGGAATGAATGATTGAGTAAATGAATGGATGAATGAATAAGTAGTATTTATCAGACACTTTAGGCTCTGATGATTCAGCGCTGAGCCTGGCACATTGGTCCTGGTCTTCACTGAGCTTAGAGTCTGGGACGGGAGAGGGGTGCAAAGGAAATAATAAGTTATTTTGTCTTTTTGAGACGGAGTCTTGCTCTGTCGCCAGGTTGGAGTGCAGTGGCGCAATCTCGGCTCACTGCAACCTCTGTAGTCAACTAGCTGGGACTACAGGCACGTGCCACCATGCCCAGCTATTTTTTGTATTTTTAGTAGAGGTGAGGTTTCACCGTGTTGGCCAGGATGGTCTTGATCTCTTGACCTCGTGATCCACCCACCTCGGCCTCCCAAAGTGCTGGGATTACAGGGGTGAGCCACTGCACCCGGCCAGAAATAATGGTTTAATCACCACTACGATGAAGGTGAACTCCAGGGTTCCATGAGAAATCAGTTTAGGGAGGTTAGGGAAAGGTACCCTGAGAAAGCAACATTTAAGACAAGGTCTGAAGACTAAGTAGGTGTTGGCCAAGTGAAGTGGAGGTGAGAGGAGGAACACTGCCAGCAAAGGCCACCAAGAGGTTGCAGCAAGAGAGAAAAGGAGGAGGAGAAAGTGGGGTGGAAGCGAGGCATGGAAGGAGGGCAGACTAACGGGATGCGGGGAGTGGATCTCGCAGGGCCCTGGAAAGTGGAATAGAGGATATGAAATGCAACTTCTCCCCTGTAGGGGAAGCCAGCATGGGAGCCATTACCTGGGTCCATTCACCAGGGAGGCACTGGCTGAGCCGGCAGCATCCTGCATGCGGGACTCAGAAAGAAATCAGGGGAGGGGCTAGTGTGAGCAAAGCGCTGGAGAGTATGGTGCCATCACCAAGGTCCCCAAAGAACATGTTTGCTGAAGCCACCATGATGACGAGCTTGATCATGACAGGCAGAGCTGGTGAGGGTGGAAGAAGAGATGATGGCCCCACTGGGAGCCACACCCTAATTTGTAGGTAGATGGATACCCTTTAGGATAAAGAGTGGTGCTCTGTCAACTCATCTTATTTGGTGCTGTTGTTTTTTCTTGTTTGAGGTTTGTTTATCCTTTCATTTCCTAGTTTAATTTCCTTTTAATAAAGCTCTAATCTTGTCTTGGCTCACCTAATGGGAAAAGGGATTAGTCCACAGCTAAGCCAAGGGGAGGGTGGGGGGGAAGGACTTGGAGCCCTTGGAGGCCAGGACCAGCAGGGGAAGGTGAGTGGGTGGGAAGGGCCCCCCAGAGCCCAGGCAGACAAACAGCAAACTCAGAAGGGGCCAAAATAAAGACAACTGCGGTGCCCACCCCCACCTGCAGGTTGCTTTTCCAACAAGCCCAGCTGGGCTTCCAACACAAATATTTCTTGCAAAGCAGAATAGGAGGCCTGAGCTCCAGTCCTGGCCCAGCCCCCTGGCTCTCTGTTGGGTCAGTTCTTTAACTTCCTGAGCCTCAGTTTCCTCACCTGTATGGTGGGGATGAGAATCACAGATTCCACCTCAGAGGATTATTGCCAAGTACCTGGCTCAGAGTGGGTGCCCTCCAACCATGGGAACTATTATTATTAATTTAAAAGTGGAAGGCCGGGCGTGGTGGCTCACGCCTGTAATCCCAGCACTTTGGGAGGCCGAGGTGGGCAGATCACGAGGTCAGGAGATCGAGACCATCCTGGCTAACATGGTGAAACCCCGTCTCTACTAAAAATACAAAAAATTAGCCGGGCGTGGTGGCGGGTGCCTGTAGTCCCAGCTACTTGGGAGGCTGAGGCAGGAGAATGGCGTGAATCTGGGAGGAAGAGCTTGCAGTGAGCCATCATGCCACTGTACTCCAGCCTGGATGACAGTGCAAGACTCTGTCTCAAAAAACAAAACAAAACAAAAAAAGTGGAAGAAGGCTCGCTGCAGTGATCTGTCCTCAGGTTTCATGCAGATAAGCCATGGGCCTGTTCCAGCACAGGGCTGGTCTCTACAGCAAATCCTACCAGCTCTGCTCCTGCACTATCTTCCAGACTGAAGCCTCTAAGGGGTCTCATCCCAACCCTACTTTCAAGGGACAGATCTGAGATGGAGGTCCAGCCAGTCTTCCCCTACCTACACTGGTCAGTCTGCCACCGGGCTCTGAGACAGAACCACCCCAGCTGCACTCTGCCTGCCAGGGCCAGGGCCAGGACTCAGCCAGAGACTCCAAACCTGACCCTCTTCATCGCCTCCCCAGTGCTGCTTCAAGGATTTGAAAACCAGAAGCAGGAAAGCTCCCCTAGAAAGAGGGCATGCTGGCTTGGCAGGATGCCCAGGCAGCACCACGCCAGCTGCAGGGAGCCCAGGTGTGTCTTTTTGGCAGATGCAAGCAGGGCCACTCTGCCTTTGAAGAAAGAGGATTGGCCACACGTTAGACACTGAAGGCAGGAAACAGAATCTGGCCTCAGTGAGGGCTGGAACCAAGGAGAAACCACTTACAAGATGGCTGAGGAAAGACATCAGTAGGGAGGCCACCGAGTGGAATCATAAGCGGTGGAGAGTCAAAAGGCAACCTGAGACGAAATGCAGCAAGTGCATGCGGGAGTCCACCCAGATGCAGGGAAGGTAGGGGGTGTCCAGGAGCTTCCATGGACAGATATCCAGGAGGTGCACGCTGGGAGGGTGGCTGCGGCAGAGATTTCCCAGCAGCCTCTGAGCAGCAATAAGCACAGTGAGGAGGAAGCAGAAGTCCCTCTCTTCAGAGGAAGCAGTTCTCCATCCCGTGAGCCAATCCACAACTGGCCGGACAGCTCCTTGCAGAAACCGTCCAAGAAAAGCAGTCTCCACTAGCAGATAGCAAAGGCAGAGAGACCTAAGAGGTTCCTTTGTTTGCTAACTGCACCCCTAAACTCCAGAGGAAATAAGAAAATTCAAATTGCTTCCTCTTGGTACCAGAGGAATCAGGTTTGACAAGTCTCTTTATGAGATGACAGCTGAGAAATGTTCTAGAGAGGTCCCTTCTTACCCTGGGTTAAAACAGTGAAGTCTTGGCTTTCCAGGAGCTGGAAAACACGCTCATGAGACCCAGACCAGATTCTCAGGCACAACTGATGTTTCCATCCCTGATCTAGAATAAGCCATTCCAGGCAAAGGAATTTTCCAGATAGGAAAAACTCCTCAAGTGCAACAACAAAAAAAAGTCATGAGAACTTTGTGTGTGTGTGTGTGTGTGTGAAGAAAAAGTCTCTGAATGTCCTCTTAAGTTCCTCAAATGGAAATCCCCTAAATGTGCTGGAGTTCTTGAAAAGAGCATATTGGAAGAAATCTGTTACTGATAATCCCACACAAACACGCTACCCACTACAGTGGCACACTGCCCCTACCATGGTACAGAGGGAAAGACTTGGACTTTGAAAACACAGGGTAGAACCCCATCTCTGCATCTGACGTATCTAACCCTCCAAACTTCTGCTTCCTCATCTCTAAAATGGGTGGTGAGGAGCAACAACAAGGTTTGCGGTTTTTTGTTTTGCTTTGTTTTAAGAGATAGGGTCTTGTTCTATTGCCTAGGCTGGAACACAGTGGCACAATCATAGCTCACTACAGCCTCAAATTTTTGGGCTCAAGCTATCCTCCCGCCTCAGCCTCCCACAAGTAGCTGGGACTACAGGCATGTGCCGTCATGCCCAGCTAATTTTTTAATTTTTTTGTAGAGACAGGGGTCTCACTATGTTGCCCAGGCTAGTCTTGAACTCCCAGCCTCGAGTGATCCTCCCGCCTCAGCCTCCCAAAGTGCTGGCATTACAGGTGTGCACCACCATGCCCAGCCTACAACACGGCTTTTTGAGAAGTAAATGAAATGTACAAAACCTGCATGTAGTGGGCATCTAATTGGTATGACAATGTGTTCCTTAAAATACTTTTGAAAGTAATTAGTAGTTGAAAATAAACCTTAGTATTTAAGCAACCTCTACTTGACTACATATCTAGTTGCATAATTTCTTAATTTTAAAAAGTATTCTTGTTTTAATTATAAAAGTAATAAATGTTCATTGTAAAAAAAAAAATCTAAATCCCCAAAATAATTTTAAAAGTTAAAAACCACCTATATTCCAACCACCTAGACACAGGCTTGAGATTTTGTTATGTGTCTTCTCAGAGATACATAACAGGCTGGGTGTAGTGGCTCATAGCTGTAATACTAACACTTGTGAACGCTGAGGCAGGAGGATCGCTTGGGCCCAGGAGTTCTAGGCCAGCCTGGGCAACATGGTGAAATCCCATCTCTACAAAAATACAAAAATTAGCCAGGCATGGTGGCACACGCCTGTAGTCCCAGCTACTGAGGAGGCTGAAGTGGGAGGACTGCTTGAGCCTGGGAGGATGAAGCTGCAGTAAGCCACGATTGCGCCACTGCACTCCAGCCTGGGCGACACAGCAAGACCTTGTCTCAAAATTTAAAAAAATCAAATTAATTTGTAAAAAGTAAAAAAAGAAATGCGCATAGGTACTCTGTCTTTACAATGATACAATTCTTCTATGCATGTCGCTTTGTAATTTTTTTCATGTATGTCTCATGAGCATTTTTTTTCATATTAGAGATCATACTCCCATACTGCCATTCTAAAGGCTGCACAGGATCCCATAGTATGGATATACCATCCTTTAATTACTGCCACATGATATTTTGATCATTTCTAATTTCTCACTACTGTGAACAATACTGAGATGAGTACTATGTACCTACCCAGTTCCTCATTTGGGCTTCTCAGAAGTGTCACTAATGACGTACAGGATCAGATGACTCTGTTGTAAGGATTGTCCTGTGCACCATAGGACGTTCAGCAGCATCCCTGGCCTCAACCCACTAGAGGACAGTAGCAGCTCCCCAGCTCTGACAATCAAAACTATCTTCGGATGTTGCCAAATGTCCTCCCTGGGGTGGATGGGGTGCAAAATCCCCCCTGGTTGAGAACCATGGCTTTAGGATAAACTCCTAGAAGTGCCAGATCAAGGTGATTACAGACTTTTTATTTTCTTATCCATTGCTAAATTGCCCCCAGAAGGTTGAGTGCCCCCGTCAGCACTGGGGAACAGCCATCCTCCTTCTCATGTTTGCTGGTAGGAAGGTGGGTAGGGTCCACCCAGTTTTGTTTTTAATTAAATTAATAGATTCTCTTTTTTGAGCAGTTTTAGGTTGACAGAAAAATTGAGTGGAAAGTATATAGAGCTTCCATATACATACACTCATACCTTAACCCCCAGTTTCCCATTATTAATGAAGCAGGATACTTCCCTGACCCCTTTGCAGGCAGGAACTGGAGTACATGGGTGCTGGCAGGGGCAAATTCCACTCACTCACTGTTCCACCCCTCAGAGGAGGGGGAACACAGGTGAATGGGTGCAGGAGGTGGGGGTGAACGCTTTTGGGTGCCAGCAAGAGCGAACTCTGTACTGACCCTGTGGCAGCATCTAGGGGAGGGTGTCCATGACCCCTGAAGCCCCGGAAGAAGTGTTACAGTGCCCTTTTAGCTTTGCCATCCATGGACAGATTAAGTGTTAACAGCTCAGTGGATGGTCCATGTGACAGACACCCTTTTGCATTCACATTTGTGGCACCTGAGTTCTTGTCTGGCATCCAGGAGGAATGAGGTCACACAAATGACTTGAAGATGGCCAATGTGGGGGATTTTATTGCCAGTGAAAGTGGCTTTCAGCAGGAAGGGGAGCTAAAAAGGGGAAGGAGTGGGAAGGTAATTTTCCCCTGGAGTCCAGTGGTCCCCGATTGGACTCATCTCTAAAGCTATGCCATCAAGCTGTCCCTCTGAAGTCAAGCTGCTTCTGACATCCAACTGTAGTCTCCAATGTCCAGCTGCTTCTCCCCTCTCTGTTGGCTGAGCCTGGGGTATTTATGGGCACAGGATGGGGGTCGGGGCAGGCAACATTTGAGCGGGAAAACAGGGATGTAAGGTCTCACTTTGGGCTACAGTATTAGGCTTTTCAGCTTGAGGGTAGGGACCTCGCTGGGGACCAACCCTCTTCTGCCCAGAATTTCCCTGCCTCCTGTCCCTATCATTAATATCTTGCATTGGTGTGGTACATATGTTGTGACTGATGAGCCACTGTCAATGCATTCTTATTAATTGAAGTCCATAGTTTACATTAGACTTCATTCTTTGTGTAATGTCATGTATCCACCATTAAAGCATTGCATAGAGTAGTTTTCTGTCCTAAAAATCCCTTGTGCTCTTCCTGTTCATCCCTCTCCCCACCTCCTGAAACCCTGGCAACCACTGATCTTTTTACTGCCCCCATAGTCATTTACTGCTGTTTACAGACATTTGCCAACTTTTACAGAATGTCATATAGTTGGAATCATACAGAACGTAGCCTTTTCAGATTGACTTCTTTCACTTAGTAATATGCACTTCAGGTTCCTCCATATCTTTTTGTGGCTGGATGGCATATTTCTGATTGCTGAATAATATTCTGTTGTATGGATGCATCATAGTGTGTTTATCCCTTCACCTGTATAAGGGTATCATGGTAGCTTCCAAGTTTTGGCAATTATGAATAAAGCTGCCATAAACATTTGTGTGCAGATTTTTGTGGATACATAAGTTTTTAGCTCATTTGAGTAAATACTAAGGAGTGCAACTGCTGGATCACATGATAAGAGGATGTTTAGTTTCATAAGAAACTGCCAAACTGTCTTCCAAAAGGGCTGTATCATTTTGCATTTCCACCCGCAGTGAATGAGATTTCTGTTACTCCATGTCTTCACCAGCATTTGGTGTTGCTGGTGTTTTGGATTTTAGACATTCTAATAGGTATTAAGTGTTATTTCATTTTTGTTTTAATTTGTAATTCCCTAACGACATATGATGTAGAGCATCCTTTCTTATGCTTACTTGCCATCTGTAGATCTCCTTTGGCGACATCTGTTTGTATCTTTCACCCATTTTTAACTGGGCTGTTTGTTCTCTTATTGTTGAATTTAAGAGTTCTCTGTATATTTGGTATATGAGTCTTTTTTTAGGTATGTGTTTTGCAAACACAAGCTGGTTGAGACCACCGACCTCCAACTGGGCCTGCACAAAGGCATGAGAGGTGACCTTTTGACATCAGAGGGCCAAACACTACTCCCTCAGATCATGTTAATGCCACCATTTTCTGAACTCTTATTCCGTGAAGGGCAATGAAGCTTGACCACGTATGCATGGATTGCCAATTACCTCATGTTCTCTTACCCACAATCGCCTTTCCCCATGCCTCAGGCCACCTTGCTCCTCTATCCCATAAAGATCCCTAAAATCCCATCTTTGGGAAGGCAGATTTGAGACCTGTTCTCCTACCTCCTAGCTTGGCTGCCTCATGAAAAAATTACTTCTCTTTAGGAAAATCCATCATCACAGTGATTGGCTTACTGTGTGTAGGCAAACTAATGTGGTTGGGTATCAATTGTATGGATATACCATATTTTGTGTATCCATTCACAAGCTTATGGACATTTGTTTCCAGTTTGGGGCCTTTAGGATTGATGCTATTTATATATAGTCCTTGGGCTGTGACCAGTGGTGTTAAAGTATTTTGCCATCTTAATCTTCAACCTGTAATACACAAGTATGTCTTATTATACTTCAAACTATGTGAACTGATACCAGAAATGCCAACATGGGTTATGTGACTCCAGACCTGAATTTCAAAGCATATTAATCAGAAGTTCCTGCCACATGCCCTGCAAACTCCAGGATGGCATACGTTTCTAACAAAGGTCATGGAAAGGCACATGCAATTCTGAGAACCCCAGTTCCTAAAAGTCACCAAGCCACAGACTAGCAAGACTGACATTTTCAAGCTTCCCACTCCCAAGCTGACATTTCTAAAAGAGACAATCTCAGCTCAAGTGCCAGGAGAAAAGCCACATGCGCAGCTTTTGGGATCTGTGCCTGCCACTGGTATTTGGGATTTGTTCAACTCAAAAGCCACTGCACTTTGCAGACTGCCTGTACCTTTCGAGTTCTAGGAAGCAGAAAAAAAGCGGCTGAAAACTAAAGTTATACCCTATGAAAGAAGTTGCAGGACCTGGATCCATTCAGATAGAGAAATTCTTCCTTTAGGTAAGCTGCACATATTCATCGGAGATTTCAGCCAAAGCAACACAGGATAAGGAACTTGAGACAAATGTCCCACACCCATTCTTCTGCAAAGTTAGCAGGCTTAAAGAAGGGGATTTCTGGCAGAAATGCAAGGCTATTTTTTGTTACCCCAACCCTTACCTCACAATACCCTATCCTGCCCACTACCCAAATCACCCCCACGTACACCCTTTATCATGAGAGTAGTGGATGTTGGTAATTCAAGTGGCAGTTGGATGCTGACTGCATTTTCCCATCCCACTCCATTGGGAAGGGCAGGAGTTCAGGTTGAGTCAAGTGGTTGACACCTATTGCTAATATCATCACACTTTAAGTCAGGTAACTTTCCCACCTTTTTCTTTTTTACTTCAACCTATAGTAAGAACATATTGTACAACTTCACACACACACACACACACATCTGTTCACACATATACAAAATGAAAGTCTTACGAGACAATATTTTTCTCCTTTCACATGCAATGTCTTCTGATATTTTCTATTTTGTTTTGTTCTGTTCTTTTTCTTTCTCTCTTCCTCCTTCTTTTCCTCCAGCTCCTTCTCATTTTGCTCCTCCTTTCTCCTCCTCCTTTTCCCCTGCTTCCAAGGTTGGTTATGACCCGGAAGACCCATTTTACAATAGGTCACAACATACCACTGGTAAACCATTGCCTGGTGCTTGTGCCTCCTTGAGTTGCTCAGCTGAGAGAGCCTGCTCTATGCCAGGACCTGTGCTAGGCACTGAGGAGGTGGTGGTGAATTTTGTAAGGAGTCCCTGTCCTCATAGAGGTTCCAGCCTGGCAGGACCCAGACACAGAAAGAGAAGTGCCGGGAGCTTGTGACATGGACACCTGATTTGGGGTGGGGGGGTGCGGCAAAGGGAGAAGGGAGGAGATGATCATTTTGCTGAGTCCTGCTGAGCAGGAAGCAGACCAAGTGCATGTACGTGACCAGATGGGTTGAAGGTCAGAGCAAGAGTTCCACTCAAAGGGGACAGCAGATGCAGTCTCTCCGGCAACAAAATCCAAGTCTCAGTGGGGAACAGGGAAGTGACCAGCTTTGAGTGCCAGGGTGGAAGGCAGGCAGGGGCTAGTGGCGGGGCCCTCATGGACGTTGTTAGAGACTTTGCATTTTATTCTAAGTGCAACAGGAAGGAAGCCATAGAAAGGTCTCACACAGATTTTAATCTGGATACAGGCTGGGCATTTTGTAGCCAAAGGTTTTTGTGGTTTTTTTAAAAATTATTATTATACTTTAAGTTTTAGGATACATGTGCACAACGTGCAGGTTTGTTACATATGTATACATGTGCCATGTTGGTGTGCTGCACCCATTAACTCATCATTTAGCATTAGGTATATCTCCTAATGCTATCCCTCCCCCCTCCCCCAACCCCCTTTTTTTTTTTTTTTTTTTTTTTTTTTTTTTTTACAGGGTCTCACTCCCATGGCCCAGGCTGGAATGCTGTTGGTGCAATCACAGCTCACTGCAGCCTCAACTTCCAGGCTCAGGTGATCCTCCTACCTCAGCCTCCTAAGTAGCTGGGACTACAAGTGCGTGCCACCACACCCAGCTCATTTTTTTGTATTTTTAGTAGACATGAGGTTTCACCATGTTGGCCAGGCTGGTCTCAAACTCCTGGGATCAAGCAATCCACCTGCCTCAGCCTCCCAAAATGCTGGGATTACAGGTGTGAGCCACTGTGCCTAGCCAGCCAAGGGTCTTTCTTTTTTAAAAGCAAGACTTGGAGATTTCAGTTTAGTCACTAAGTGCTTATCCTTACAGATGATGACAGTCAGTGTTGCTTACAGAAACCAGGCCCAAGATCATCTATTCCAGTACAGGGGTGCAAAAATAAAAGTTGTTTTAAAAAAAAAAAATAGGAGTAGTAGGAGTTGCAGTAAGAGCTAGATTTTTTTGTGAGCCTCCTATTAATATATATTGGTCATGCTCTAAGTGCCTTACTTTGATTAGCTCCTTTGATTCTTACAACAATACCATGAGCTAGATACTATTATCCCATTTTACAGATAAAGAAACCAAGGCACAGAGAGGTTAAGTCACTTGCCCAAGGTCACACAGCTGCAAAGTAGCAGAGCCGAGACTCACATCCAGGCTCTTAAAAGGCTAGACAATACTGATAAATAAATAAACGGCACAAAAATCAAGGGGAAATAAAAGGGGTGTTCCTTCTTGGCTCTTTACCTGAAGGCCACAAAAGGTGCCATAGAGAAAGACGGTACCAGAGCGCACCTAAAGGGCCAAGGACTTTTACAGGAGCTTCGAGCTCCTCAGAGGCTGATGGAGAGAACATGGAGAACAGACGGAGAGAACTGTATAAACAGTTGAGCCTTAGGAAGTTTCTTTGGTTCAGCCTTCTCTCTCCTGGCCTCCACTGTCCTTCCCTGTAAAGCACTGTGTGTCCCATCATGTGTCTTTGAGTTAGAGAGGAACCCAGTCTGGCCAGGGTAGAGGGTGGTAGCGTTGAACAAAGAAATGGAGCGGGATGTCTGAGGACACTGAACAACACAGAAATGAGGACACGGGAGGCCAATGCTTGGATCTGATCTGGCCTCTGCCACAGCCCTACTGTGTAACCTGGATCAGCCACTGAACTCTCCAGGCCTCAATAGCCACATCTGTAAAATGGGGGTGATCATGGTCACAATCCAGAGTCAAACCTCATGGCAAGCTTATAGTACATAATATACACTCTGTAAATGTTAATTATAATAGTATTAAATTGTACTGCATCCAGCAGCCCATCCTGTCCGGAATGAAAACTACACAGGTTGAATGACAATGATGTTCATTAAGGCGGTGTTGTGTGTTGGCCTGGGAGCTGTTTTCTTTTTTAATTTGTAATTATTATGGATACATAATAGTTGTACATACTGGGGTCTGGTGAACACAGAGGACTTGATCACCAGCAGCTGCTTCTCCACTGAGCAATCACCAACCACGCCCCAACATTTGCAAAGAACAGACTCCCTAATTTGCTTCTTTGGATGAGACCAGCACTGATGAACTCTTCCTTCATTAAAAGAGAGGAATGGGAATTAGTAACACTCAGTTGATGTCAGAGATGGCAGATGTGGCTACAGACATGTCCTAAGGCTCTGTCATTCCACCAAATGTTGGAAAACGGCGAAGCCATCAACACAGTCATTTTTAGTCTTGTTCAAAGACATCATCCAGCGGAACTGGATCTGCCAGGTGCTCTTGCGGCTGTTTGGCTCCTGAATTCTCCTTCCAACCCCCCTGTGATGAGATGACTGCTTGTAAGACAACCGGCAATTACATCTTCTTAAGGGTCTGGGTTTATATCAAAACACTGGAAGCCCCGGGCGTGTGCCACCGGAAGGCCAGGCAACATTTGCGATAGATGGGGCCTTTAAGTAATCAAGTAAGTGTAAAAATGTACTTTTTATTCCTGAAAATGTGGAGAGTCTCACTTCCCTCCCACGCTGTCTTTCACAGACTTTTGCTACATACAAAGCTTGGACATGGTGGGGAGGTGATGTGAGGGTGTGCGGAGGCCCCTCGTGGGTTACCTGGGGTCACCTTTGGAGCTTGGTCATCACCTAGTGAAAGGCTTTTGTGACAAATGAAATCTCAAAGGAGAATGAAGCTGGGTACGGGGGCAGGACAGGACTCCATACCCAGGAACAGGACTGCTGACTCTGCACTTGCCTGGTCCTGAGGGTGAATGCTGCCTTAAATTCTGCAACCCAGGAGCCCAGCTTGCCTTACCTAGTCCTGGCCCCAATCCCTCCCTCCCTTCCTCCCTCCTTCCCTTGATGAATGACTCAACAAATGAATGAATGAACAGCCAAATGGACAACCCCAGGAGTAAATGGAGCAAATGCATATTGTTGAGGACAGTGATGATCTGTTTTTCAGCTGAAGGTGTGGGGTTTTTAAGAGGTTAATGCCTGGTCTGAAGACATCAGTAGGAAGCCACTAGCCCTGGGTTAAAAGCAATGGTGAAACAGAAGTTGCTCAGCTAACCCCAAACAGGGAAGACCCCTCTTGACACCTAGAAGAGGTGCCTCAGGGCAAGTAAAGGGCCCTGACATGATCACCCAGCCAGTATATATTTGACATAAAGTAAAATGACCCCAAGAAGTTGTAAGTGCAAAAATACACAGAAGTTGAAGAGGGGAGAGACCCTCGAGGAGCGGTTTGGAAATGGTGCGAGACGTGTCGGGCACGTGGCAAAGGACAAACCGTGAGCATCCTGCGGGCCCTGGAGTTCTTCAGGGACCAGCTCCAGGCCCGGCAGCCCTGTGGTGGAGCCAGCTCGGCTCCTCTTATATTCCCTCTAACAGGCTGTGTAATTCAGTCTTGAGGAGGTAATTCCACATGACGACCTCTGGATTCCCAAGGAAGATGCAGCTACCTCAGAGAGCCTAGATGGCCAAATGGCAGCCATCAATCCCAGAATGTCTTTCATTCCCCAGGAACCTACTGAGTGCCTACTATGCACTGGGGATTCATGGTACTGTGAACGAGACAGATATGGCCCTGTCCTCATGGAGCTTCCAGTCTAGTGGAGAAGACAAGTTAACAAACCAATTGCTGAATAATTACTCATCAACACAATGGCAATGAGCTTAGATTACCAGTTCTATAAGGACCGAGCTTTGTGTCTGTTTTGTTAATTGCTATGTCACAACAGCCTGGCATAGTAAGTACTGAAAAAATATTTGTTGAATGAAGTGCTATAAAAGAAAAGCAAAAGTCAAGGGAAGGGAATAGGAGAGGACCTAAGCTAGCTGGGGGCACCAGGGTCCCCTAGAAAGAATGTGGAGGATGCTCCAGGCAGAGGGAACAGAGAGGTGGGGCAGGGGGAGCTGGGAGTGGCAGAGGACAGGAAGATGCAGCTGTGGGACAGAGGGCTCTGAGATGTGGCAGAGGTAGGCAGGGGCCAGATCACACAGAGCCATGTTCCAGGGCCCTTCTGAAGCCTGACTAAAAAATAAAATAAAATTCTAAAACAGGACAAGAGGGAGAGGCTGGGCACGGTGTGGCTCATGCCTGTAATCCCAGCACTTTGGGAGGCCGAGGCAGGCGGAACTCCTGGTCAGGAGTTCAAGACCAGCCTGGCCAACATGGTGAAACCATGTCTCTACTAAAAATACAAAAAAATGAGCCGAGTGTGGTGGCGGGCACCTGTAATCCCAGCTACTCGGGAGGCTGAGGTACGAGAATTGCCTGAACCCAAGAGACAGAGGTTGCAGTGAGCCGAGATCACGCGACTGAACTTCAGCCTGGGTGACAGAGTGAGACTCCATCTCAAAAAAAAAAAAAAAAAAAAGACAGAGGGAGAGGAGCACATGCAGTTCTTTCCCTCACTGTTCTCTGGCTTCCAACACCACTCAATAATTTAAAATCATTTGATCATATATATTCATAGAATAATGTGTGCCTTCTTTTAATTGCTTAATAGGAGGCAGTGAAGAAATCATGAGTTATTGTCCCAAATGAGGCATTTGTCAAGGAAGAATTATGAGCCAGCCTCAGTTGGTGCTCACATCCAACCCAGGAGCAGCTGAATATTTCCAGCATTAGAAGAGAGCACAACATCAAACCCAGGGCAGCCCCCTCATCCTGCTTCCCGGCAAAGCCCAGCTGCTTTCGTGCATTTATAAACTTATTCCCGGATGGAAGAGCTCTCACCCTCCCTGCCCATGAGCATGCTCTGAAAAATGAGAGATGGCTTCAGCCTGACAAAGTCGATGATAAAGAAAAGAGTTTCCCAGGGCCCCTGAGAACCACAAGCGTTTCACCAACACCTTCCCTCACCCCCTCCAGGGAGGACCGCAGCCAGCTGCCCACATTTCCCAGCTTAGAAGAGGCTCCTTAACGTCAGCGATAGCTTCAGTGTACTGGGAAACCAGTGTGGTGTCTGTGGGCTCCTCCCGGAGGAGGACCGGGAACGAGTGGGCGCCTCCTGCAGAGCACTGTCACCAGCCCAGGTCAGGGTGCAGCTGCAGTACTGACGGACCCAGGGTCATTTCAGATAACAAACTTGGAAGAGAACTTAATTTCACCTCAGCAGACTGATGGGCTAAAACTAAGAAACCCGTTTGAGCGGATGGAGGAACCCATCACATAAAGTGATTTCAGGAGGTTCCCTCCTCCCCCAGACCAACCCTGACAGCTTGCCAATTTCTGAAATTCCACAGTTAGAGAATCTTTTCTTTGATGAGAAGCTCTAGGACTCCTAACACCTAGTGGGAACTTCTTAGGAGACCAGGCTCCTCTTGTATCTAGCACTTCGCCTCATCCCCGTTAGCTCGGCACTTCCCTTGCACAGAATTCCACCAGAGCTGGTTGTACGCATCTCTTGTGAACCACCTGGGGGCAGGAACTTGGACTTTTCAAATTCAAGTCTTCTGTACTGAGCACAGGTAGGCTCCTGCAAACTAAATGGAAGTCCCCCCACTACACCTCTGCTTGCGCTGTGCTCTTCTGAAGTGGTGCCCCATCCTTCCCCCATATCATCACCCCCAATTCTATTCATCCATCATTTGGGGCAGAAGACGGAACCCTGGCCTGGAATCCAGGAGGTCTCGTGTTCCCAGGCAGCATCACCTCCCCACATTGCAGACACCTCGGGGACGGGGCTCTGCTTCACAGTCTGTGACAGGATGATCTGTGCCTACATCTGTCTTCCCTGCTAAAGAGTCGGCCCCTCGAGGGAAGGGTTGGTGTTGTATCTACTGTAGAATCCAGCCCCTCAGCATTGTGCCTCAACAGTGGCCTTAAGTCAGGTTCATCAGAGCGGAGTACAAGACATGAGTTCACATGCAAGGGACTGAATAAGGGGGAGCTCCCGGGAAAGTTGGGGAGCAGGGAGGCCCAGCTTCGTAGTTGTGCAACCTGTGCCGTGGCTCCGACCCTGCAATCAGAAGGGTCTTAGGTTAGGTTTTAGGCTCTGCTGTCACTGTTGTTTTAAAATTCTTAATCATTTTTTAACAAGGGGCCTTGCATTTTCATTCAGCACTGAGTCCTGCAAATCATGTAGCCAGTCCTGAGAGCAAAGGGAGGTGGAGAGGCCCCAGCAAGGATGGAATTCAGGCCTTCATGCCAGGCTTAATTCTGATCCCATGGGGAGCTCTGGAACATAACTTTACTCCTCTGAATTTGTCCTGACTTAAGGGAGCCAGGCTGAGGGTCCCCCATGAAGAGGTAACTTCCCAGCCTCCTTCCCATCTCTGGGCATGGGAGAAGCAGCTCTTGTAGCTCAAAGGTGGCCTCGGAAAGCAAGTCGCAGGTGCAGGCAGCCATTAGAGGGAAAGCACATAGACGCTGGGGGATGAGAGGCCAGAAACCCTAAAACGGATGGTCTGGGCACAGCACCAACAGGGTCCGCTACCACCGTCAATAAAATGACTTGAGTTGAATTATCAGATGCAAACTATGAGGTCTGAGGAAGAGTGAATGACTTGCCCCGGGTGACCCCACTGAAAAGGATTTCAATAAAGCGAGTCCCTTCCAAAGAAAGAAGCTGCACCATTCCTCTCCCCCAACCAGCCAGTATTCATAAATACGCCACTGCGAACTTGCTCCATTGACTCACTGTGCTGCTTCTTCCCACATTTGGTTAACAGCATCCCAGACGGAGCAACAAATCGATTCTGAACACTCTCCTCTCCAGCAAAACGCACACTTCGTGGGGCAAATTCCCAGGCGGGCCTCCTCCTGACCACACGTCAGTGAGACCTAATAACCCTGTTCACGTTATTAGGGGTCTCACTAGTGTTAATGAGAGGCCCTTATTCTTAAACTGAACCAACTGAGATCCTGTTTCAGAAGAAAGCCTTCCCTTAAGGCAGACATAAACTTTGGGGTGCAGCTGCTGACACAAGTTGCCAGGATATCCAATTATGCTCATTTCTTCATATCTGAGAGATATCAATTGATTTAAATCCCTGATGTAAGGGATTTCAAAGCTTTCCAGAGAGATGAGGCCATGACTCCTTGCCTTGAGAAGAGATGTTTTCATGAAACGAACTAAAATAGGGGCACGTGCACCCACGTAGATCCAATTTGCTTTAGTAACTTGATACAGCTTTCCACCTGCTTTGCCCATTTTCGCCTGGTGGAGTAGAAGCTGTCAGTTTCCCTTTCGGGAAGGCCAATTTACCAAGTCATTGATATTCTCTGGTGTCTTCTTTCCCCGTCAGCCTGGCTTCTCGGATTTCATTTTCCAGCCAGTTGGTGGACTGCATTTCTAAGCTGGGAGCCCACTGGCTCGGCTGGAGATTATCCTCATCTTTATGGTTGTAACAGCTAACATTTATTGAGTACTCACCACCTGCCAGGAATTGTCTTAAGCACTTTCCATAAATCAACTTGTTTAACCTTTACAACAAATCCTATGAAGTGGGTATTACTCTACAGACAGCGGCACACAGAAGTTAAGCAACTTCCCCAAAGCCACACAGCTAGTGTGGTAGGCAGAATTCTAAGATGGTCCTGGTGATTCCTGCTCCTGGTATACATGTCCTGTACAATACCCTTTGAGTGTGGACAGGACCTGGGGATGTGAGGGGATATCACTTCACGGTTATGTTATATTACACAGCAAGGGCGAAGGGATTTGCAGATATAACTAAGATCCGTAAGTGAGTTACGTATTAATCAAAAGGAAAAATTATCCTGGATGCGGCTAACCTAACCAGGGAATAAGTAAGACAATCTCCAACTTAACAATGGGTTGGCTTTAAATCTGATTCAAAATTCTTCAAGATAACTTTATTATAAAATAAGCTTTGTGCTAGATAATGTTGCCCAACTGTAGGCTAATGTTGGTATTCTGAGCATGTTTAAGGTAGGCTGCACTAAGCTGTGATGTTTCATAGGTTAAGTGTATTAAATGCATTTTTAAAAAAAATTTTGAGATGGAGTCCCATTAACTCTTGCCCAGGCTGGAGTGCAGTGCCGCGACCTCAGCTCACTGCAACCTCCACCTCCTGGGTTCAAGCAATTCTTCTGCCTCAGCCTCCTGAGTAGCTGGGATTACAGGTGCGTGCCACCACACCCAGTTAAATTTTGTATTTTTAGTAGAGATGGGATTTCACCATGTTAGCCAAGTTGGCCTCAAACTCCTGGCCTCAAGTGATCTGCCTGCCTCGGCCTCCCAAAGTGTTGGGATTATAGGCATGAGCCACTGTGACTGGCCAAATGCATTTTTGACTTATGATATTTTCAACTTAGAATTATGAAGAAATAAGCCCATTGTAAGTCAAGGGGCATCTGTACTTTAAAGAGGGCTTAACCTTCTCTGAACTCAGAGAGACTGTCCTCTTGGCCTTGAAGAAGCAAGCCACTGTGAGTTCTATGGCTACAAGGAAACAATTTCTGCCAACAACCATGTGAGCTTCAAGGACCCTAAGCTTCACATGAGACTGTAGCCTGGTGAGATCCTAAGTAGAGGACCCAGTTAAAAGATACTCAGACTCCTGGCTCATCAAAACTGTGGGATTTAAAAAAAGTATGTTGTCGTAAACTGCTAAGTTTGTGTGATTTGTTACCCAGCAAGAGAAACAAATACAGCTAGTAAGAGGCAGGGCTGGAATACAAATGCAGGCAGCCTGATTCTAGAGCACTTGCTCTTAACCCCTGTGCAATTTGCAACTCTAGATCGTTTAGAATGAGGCATTGAGTAGACTAGCCAGAAGACTAAGCTCTTAGGAAGCTTGGGGTGCCGTTATCCTCACCCTGAGGCTCCCAGCTTGTCCATCCATCCAGCTCCCCCTTGTTTCATGTAGTACATTAGGCACAAAGCCAGCACAGAGGCAGCCAGCGTGGACCTTAGCATCCAATGAGGAAGACAGCAATAAATAAATAACCAGAAAGTCATAAAATAATTACAATAAGCAAAGGGCTCTCAAAGAGAGGCAAGGGTATTAGAGGAACATGTGACCAGCCCTAGAGACCCTAAAGGCTGAGAAGGAGTCAGCCAAGTAGAGGTGAAGCAGAAAGAACAGCAGGTGCAAAGGCCCGGTGGCAGGAAAAAGCAAGGACAGCAGAGGAACTAAACCAAGGCCTGGAGGGCTGGAAGGAATAGAGGGGCCCAAGATGAGGCTGAAGAGGGAGGGAGGGGCCAGCTCTATTGAAATGATGCTGCTCATTAGAGCCGATGCAGAGCCTCTTCTGTCAGCGGAATTCAACGCCACGTTACCCTGGACAACGGAAACACATTTCACTGAGCATCAGTGGCCCAAAGTCAAAATTTCTGCTTTCTGAGGAAGAAGCTGGAACTGCTTCCAAGCTCAACAAGTCTTGATAGGCTCATGTTGTGTCTGACAGCTTAAAATAGAAATCTTTTGCCCTTTTTCTTCTCTTGAATGTAAAAAATGGAACCTGAAGAGATGGTCTGGGCACGTGCAGTCAGCGAGCCCTGTGGGGTGAGGGGCCACCTGTCAGCATTTGTGAGGCTGGAGAGAAATCCCTTAAAAGAAACACAGGAAGAACGGGACCGTTGGGATTAAGCAGGACAACTGCAGTCTCCTGTCTCCTGACCTCGGGTTTAATGGCGAATGTCGGGGCCCTGAGATACATCACTCCGTGCATCAAATGACTTCTAAAAGCCTTGGCAGATAGAGACTTAGAGCACTGTGCCAGGCAGCGGGGAAGGGGATAAGGGCATTAGATGGCTGGGGATTACCTCCCGCTGCTATCACATGCCAGCTGTGTGACCTTAGGAAAGTGATTAACTTCTTTGGGCCTTGGCATTGTCATCTGTCAAACAGAGTGTCTGCCTTAAAGAGTTGTGATGATTGAAATAATGTGTGTAAAGCACAGAGCGAGTGTTCAAGAAATGTTAACAACAATAATTACCACCAGTCCTGCCACTGCTGCTGCTGCTAGTTATCACCACCACACCCACCACCTGCTAATTCTGTCATCCTCCACCACCACCATCATCATCATCATCATCTGACTTTATGCTGAGAAGACACTTTGAAAATAAGCCCTAATCTTCTACAATCCTGATTTGTGTTAAAGATGTATTAAATGCCCAAAAGGAGAGAATAAGAAGCCCGTCAAATACTTGGGAGTGCTCCATTCTTGTTGGCTGTGGCTGTGGCAGAGAATTCATGTCCCAAGGCTAAGGAACACTTAGTAATTCTGGCCATCTTGCTGGGGGCTCTGAACCTGCGCTTGTTGAATAACCTGTTGATTGCGGTTTGGTGCCCCAGTAGGTCTGACTCTGGGGAGAGTATGCGCTGATCTGCTGATGAGGACATTCCAGTCCATGCGGCAGCTACAGTTTGATTTAAATTAATAAATAGGCATCTCATTAAATTTTTTTAAACAGTCAACATACTCCTACCATAGGATCCAGCAATCACTCTCCTTGGTATTTACTCAGAGGAGTTGAAAACTTACATCCACACAAAAAACCTGCGCATGGATGTTTAGAGCAGCTTTATTCTTAATTGCCAAAACTTGGAAGCAACCAAGATGTCCTGCAGTAGGTGACTGGATAAACAAACTGTGTTCCATCCAGACAATGGAATATTCAGTACTAAAAAGAAACGAGCCATCAAGCCATGCAAAGACATGGAGAAAATGTAAATGCATATTACAAAGTGAAAGACGCCACTCTGAAAAGGCTACATATTGTATTCCAACTATATGACATTCTGGAAAAGACAAAACTATGGAGACAGTAAAAAGATCAGGGGTTGCCAGTGCTTGGGGGGAGGGAGGGATGGACAGGTAGACCCACAGGATTTTGGGGGCAGTGAAACTACTCTAAAATGTATAATGACACGTGGCTACATGTCCAAACCTGTAGAATATACAACACCAACAGTGAACCCTAATGTAAACTGTGAGCCTGGGTGACAAAGACATGTCAATACAGGTTCATCAGTTGTAACAAATGGACCACTTCAGTGGAGGATGCTGATGACGGGGGAGGCCGTGCATGTCTGGGGGCAGGGGTGTCTGGGAATTTTCTGTGCCTTCTGCTCGATTTTGCCATGAACCTAAAACTGCTCTAAAAAAAAAAATCAAGTCTATTAAAAAACAAATCACATGGAAAACAGGCCATTCCCTCAGGACTCTCCCAGGAAATACCACATTTACATGCACAAGTATATTTTGACCATGTTTTTTTTTTTTTTTTTTTGGGTGGGGAGGCTGCCCAAGTCAGAAATGGCAATTAAGAAAAACAAATGTACAGAACCCTCTCTCACACATGATTTCATGTGCTCTGCCCCAATCCTGTAAAGTATTATAGCTCTCCTTGTTTCTCAGGGGTTCGGTGAATGCTGCTTTTAAGGTTAACATGAATAGACAAAAGTTCTGGTCTTTTAAAAAGAAGTTGTTAATGACATAATTGTAAGAGGGAATGTTGGTCAGAATGAATTGTACAGAAGGTTTTATGAGGTTTTAAAAAAGCTTTTCTTATTAAATCACTATAAAACCTCACCAAAATAGCTCAAACTAACTTGGGAGAAGGCCAGTCATAATTAGTGGGAAACCTGAAATGCAGAATATTTCTTTAAAAATGCACTTTTAGTACTTGAGGTTCACATTGTAAAAGGAACCCACAGCTAATAAAGAGCCTGTGTCTTTCACAAACAAATAAGACTCCGTGTTTTAGGCTGGTGTCCTGAAGGAGGTTAAACAGTCCCCCTGTGTGAGTGTGGAAGAGCCACAGAACCTCACTGGGCCTCGATTTCCTCATTTGAAAAGAAACAAGCCACCAATGAAAAGGACTGGATCACCTCCAGGTACCTCCCAACACTACAAGACTCATCTTTTCTAATTATGTTCACACTATTAATTTGTTTCACAAATTCCTCCTTCATGGTGAGCTTGGAGGAAATGTTACATATTCTAAATTAGCAGGGTTCAAATTAATGAGCTTTTACTGTCTTCTGGGCAGATTTGGAAATGAAAAAGAAGACAGGGAAGAAAATGAGATTTAGTAGTGCTCACTCTGACACAAAATCACAGGTTCACATGGTCAATTTCAACTCCCAGGGCACCTGTTTTATGGAATCCTTAAGAAGACAGTTCAGAAATTTTGCTTTTTTCAGAAAAACAGCATGAGTGAGTTGCCTGTTTGTCTTAACAGTGGAAAGAAAAAGGATGGCCAGCTGGGCGTGGTGGCTCATGCCTGTAATCTCAGCACTTTGGGAGGCCAAGGCGGGCGGATCGCCTGAGGTCAGGAGTTCAAGACCAGCCTGGCCAACATGGTGAAACCCCATCTCTACTAAAAACACAAAAATGAGCCAGGCATGGTGGTGGGCACATGTAATCCCAGGTACTCAGGAGGCTGAGGCAGGAGAATCGCTTGAACCCGGGAGGCAGAGGTTGCAGTGACCTGACACCAAGCCATTGTACTCCAGCCTGGGCGACAAGAGCGAAACTCCGTCTCAGAAAAAGAAAAAGAAAAAGGATGGTCACTGGCATCTCTGAATAGCAGAGTCAGGCACTAACACAGAAGGACATAAGTTACTGGAAGTCTATTTGCTTTTCTAGAACACTGGGGCATCTCCAGTTTGGCATCTCAGGAAACAGTGATTCTAGTGGCTTTAAAAGGTTTTGCATAGCTGCTTAGTCACAAGATCAGGCCTAATAACCTCAATAGCAAAGTCTGATTCTTCACCTGGTGTTATGGAATGAGGTGGGTCCCCCAAAATTTGTATGTTGAAGCTCTATCCTCCAATGTGACTGTATTTGGAGATGAGGCCTTTGAAGAGGTAATTAGGGTTAAATGAGGTCATAAAGGCGGGACCCTAACCCAGAATGACCGTGTCCTTATAAGAAGAGAAACCAGGAGTGCACGGGCACCGTGGAAAGACCATGTGAGGACACAGCCAAAAAGGTGGCCGTCTGTGAGCCAAAAAGAGAGGCTCACCAGAAACCAACCTTACTGGCACCTGGATCTTGGGTTTCCAGCCTCCAAGACCCGAGTCAACAAATGTCTGTTGTTCAAGCCACCCAGTCCGTGGTATGTTGTTATGGCAGTCTGAGCTGACTAACACACCTGGGAAAATGTAATCCCAATACTAGCTAGAATTGAGAGCCTGCCACTGTCAGGCTCTGTGCTGACAGCTTTAAGTGCATTATACCACCTCATTCTCACAGTAGTCGTGTAAGGTATGTATGATTATTATCTTCATTTTACATGAATTCTTAACCTTTTTAACTTCTTCATTCATTTTTCCCTTCATTCATTTGATATGGCAAGCACAAATCATTCATTCATTCAACAAACATATCCCAAACACCATGCTTACAACTTTGTACAAAGCAAACCACTTTGATTCCAAGAAGTCCTATTAAGGGTACCAAATGCACTGCCCACATGGCCCGTATGCAATCCTGAGACCACACATTCAGTCTTAAGTACCCAGGGTGTCCACTCCTTCCATCCCTGTCTTCCTTGCTGTGACAATCATTTAATACCCATTGTTTCAAACCGTCTCCCTTCTTTTTCTTCTCCTGCCGATTATGCACCAACCCCTTTTCAGACCTCAAAATTGAGGTTTGCACATAATTGCTCTGACAATTCCCCTAGGATCAGAGGCCGGAATGGAGTGCATCTTAATGAGCTGCATAATTGCTCCTTGAAATGCTTTTCTTCAGCAGCCATTCTCTGAGATTCCGCTCAGCAATTCATTTTCCACATACCTTCCCTCCATCAAGGCTGCAGGCTTCACTCCCCCAGCCTGAGACACTGAGAACGAGTGCTGTGTTTCTCAGGAGCCCCCATTCATCATGGTCATTCTGTTCATTTGCCATTTTCAGAATGAAGATCAACTCAGACTACACAAGGCTTCGTGGCTAGAGAAACATCACATGACAGCAACGGGAAGCTTTCAGAGGCTGGTGTGTTTCTCATACCCCAAAACAAGTTGAAAGTGATTGAAATTAAATAACCCTTTCCTGATTTCATAATGCAACTGCAGACAGCAGAGACGGTGAGATAGAGCCCAGTATTTTACACCAAGGGCACATGAACTTTTTTTTTTTTTGAGATGGAGTCTCACTCTGTCACCCAGGCGATCTCGGCTGGGTGACAGTGGCGCGATCTCGGCTCACCGCAACCTCTGCCTCCCAGGTTCAAGCGATTCTCCTGCCTCAGCCTCCCGAGTAGCTGGGATTATAGGCATGTGCCACCATGCCTGGCTAATTTTGTATTTTTAGTAGAGACGGGGTTTCTCCATGTTGGTCAGGCTAGTCTCGAACTCCCAGCCTCAGGTGATCCACCTGCCTCGGCCTCCCAAAGTGCTGGGATTACAGGCGTGAGCCACTTCGTCCAGCCCACATGCACTTTTATCTACCACGGGTGGCCTGGACCTCGACCGTACATCAGCAATAAAACACTAATAACCAAATCAGGCACGGTACTTTACAGTTTACAAACAGCTTCCATTGTCTCACCAGCTCTTGAGGGAGGCATTATTATTCCCATTTTTAGAGGCTAAGGGCCTGACTCTGGGGAGCCTTCCTGACTTGCTCAAGAACACCCTTGCAGTGTGGTGAGGCTGGGACTTGAACTCAAGACCTCTGGCTCTCGGCACAGTCTAAAGCAGGGAACCCCTGTGGATGAAATCTGGCCACGCCCATTCATTTACATATTGTCTTGGCTGCTTTCATTCACAAGGGCAAAGCTGAGTAGTTGCAACAGAGACCTAAAATGTTTGCTGTCTGGCCCTTTACAGAAAACGTCTGCTGACCTCTGGTCTAGAGATTAATGCACCAACTTAGTTGAGCACTTTAGACTGCTTCAGCAGGGTGAGATGGCTTTGGGGGTGCTTTGGCTCTTAATGCATGGACAATCATGAACTGAACACTGGACTGGGAGTTAATTGACCCTTGGCTATTGCTCTGGCTGCTGCTGCTAATACGCAATTACACACTTTTACCATGTGCTTGGCATGGGTCTCAGCCGTTTATTGCATTATCTTCATTTAGTCTTCACAACAAACCTGTGAGGTAGGTACATTATCCTTACATTGGGAGATGAGGAAACTGAGGCACAGTGAGGTTAAGTAACTTGCCCAAAGTCACCCAGCTAGTGCCTGGCAGGGGTGTCTGCTCTGAACCGGCATGCTCTTTGCCCTCTCTAGGCTCGACGTTCAGGTTTAGCCTTACCTGACATTTATTAAGAGCTTACTTGGCTGGGGAGAGTTATTTAATACTCTGATCTTCCTTCTCTTTGCACTGTCTAAAATGGGAAGATAATATCTCCCCTGCCAACCTTGAGAGAATTGTGAGTTTCAATGAAGCTAGTCTCTATGCGGGTACTTTGAGAATACTGTAAGAATTATATAATCATTTCATGAAGGAAAATCTTGACAAATATAACACCATTAATTCCAAATATTTACTCCGTCCTTTTAAAAAAAATAAATGTACTGACTAAACAGTGGTAGTACCTCCTACCTATAGGAACCCATCCACAAAACTGTGATCTGATATAAATTTCACGTTGAATGTGTGGTTGTCAAAGAGTTCTTATGAATATGTACAAGGATTTTGGTTATCCACAAAACTGTGATCTGATATAAATTTCAGGTTGAATGTGTGGTTGTCAAAGAGTTCTTATGAATATGTACAAGGATTTTGGTTGTATCAACTCAGCCTATTCCCTGCCGGTATGTAAGCCATGATGTGCCTGTGGGGGTCACCGGGGTTGCCGGCTTATACCTAGATTTGCCAGGCATTTTCACAGTACCTCACTTGATCCTCAAAACAATTCTGAAAAAGGCAGTATCACCACAACCATCAGCATCCCATTTTCCAGACTCACCACGCTGCTGCCGGACTGCTTACCTGATGTCACAGACCTGGCCTCTCCCAGGCCTCCTTTGGACCCTGGTCTTGGGAGAGGGAAGCTTAGCTCCAACTAAAAAGGGGTGTGTGCATGTTAGTTTTCTATTGCCGCTGTAACAAATCACTACAAACAACTGCTTCCATTCTGAAGGTCACAAGTCCTAAAGTCAAGGGGTTAGCAGGCTTGCGTTCCTTCTGGAGGCTCCAAGGGAAAATCTGTTCTGTGCCTTTTCCATCTTTTACAGGTCACTTACATTCCTAGGCTTGTGGCCCCCTTCCTCACATCACTCCAAGCTCTGCTTCCATCCTCACAACATCTCTTTTCCTGGCTTTGACACTCCTGCCTCCCTTATCATCCTGATGATTATACTGGACCCATCCGGATAATCCAGGATAATCTCTCCATCTTAAAACCCTTAACTTAAACTGCCTTTGCAAAGTCCCTTTTGCCAAATAAGGTAACATATTCTTATTGCTTGGAAAAGGGGCAAGGCATTCTGCCTACCATAGCTTGGGAAGCCGTGACTGTAGGCCTTGGGTTTTGAATGGCCCTGGGCCAATGGCAAGGTCTAGGACAGCACCAGAGAAAGACAGGATGTCTGCAGCCCATCGCCTTGACTGGGTTTAACAGGCCGGGCCACACATGTTCATCTTTGAGGCTGGCTTGGCTTTTATTCTCCAAACAGATCCTTTGCCTAGGCCTTGATCAAGATGCCCCCACAAACTGGGGGCTGTGGTCTGTGAGACTCCCCAAGATCCCACTGTGTCAAGCTTGAGATCAGCAACAACGCTGCTTTTGAAAGTCTGCCAAGGCTTTGGACAATGATATTTAGCAAGTTAAATTTGAAATGAACTGATAGAGACAAGCAGGGTTTCTGAGGCTCAAGAAAGACTACACTCTGCGCTCAGTATTAGATAACAAATGGCAGCAATTTGCCATGGGTTGTTTTTGGCAAAGACTTATCTTAACAAGATACTTATCACTTCTTCCTCCCTGGTTTAGTTACACCATTAATATCCTGGGGAAGGAGACTCAATTATCAATTGCAATTGACTGTCATTCTCCTAGCTCCTGGTTTTTATTTCAAGATTATCTAGGCCTGAATCCCAATCATTTTTGTTTTGTTTTGTGTTAGTGAAAAGAAAGTCACAATGTTCTATGCTAGTCTCTGACACAACAAACAATGAACAAAACCAGCCAAGAAAATAAGCTCATTTTGCCACTTGCTCAAGAAAAATGACGCTTTACTCTGGGTAAGTAATAAAAACAAACAAACAAACAAATAAATAAATAAATAAATGGAGAATTTCCATTCCTTGCAATGCTTCTCATTAAGAGAAGGATTGGCAAATTAATTTTACTGTACTGATCTCTCAGGACCTCCATTTTGAAAACAGCGCTAAATCAGCCCATTTCTTGGTACTGTTAAAGGCATGTTGGAAGAGAAGGCTATGGATGAGCATAAGGTTTGGAGATTATCTGTGGATTTCTATTTCTCATTCAATCCCTTTCCCCCATGACCGTGAATAATTGGATGTCAGCTGCTTCTGAACTCCCCTAGTATCTGCCAGTTCCTTGAAGAAGTCACACTTCTTTTCAAACTCCAGCTCATTTATCCTGGAAAATGAAGGAAAACCTATGGAGAGCCGAGGCTGAGATTCTGAACTGAGATTAACTGTTCTATGGATGAGAGAAACTCAAATGAAGAGAGCAGAAGAAAGTTGGGGGGGCACCATTTGGGAGCCATTCTGTGTGGTGACAAAATACCTTTAGGGGACATGTCTCAAGGCAGCCTTCAAGCCTGCTAATTTCCAAATGTCTCTTTAGCATGCAATTTCCCTACAAAATTCAATGAGATCTTCAAGTGGCCCCATCAGACCTAGGATGAAGGCTCACCGGGAATGACAATTATAGAATGACAAAGCTTCCGGGCTGAGGAGTTGGCTGGGCTCACCTATTGGCTAAGGGAACCGTTTCTCCCATTCAAATTTGGTCCTTCGCAAAGATTACAAGTTCCTCCTTGTTAATGAACTTTTGAGTTGCTCTTGAAAAGTAGAAACCAGAATGTTCCATCTGCAAAAACCATGGGCTTAGCATGAGTTAATTTAATTCTTTACCCTTGGTGAATGGGTTTGCGAGATGAGTTAACCCTTTCTGAACCCGGAGCCAACCAAAACCCAGTAAGTCTATGGATCGGTGTAAACAGCCTTCTTCAAAATGGGCAGCCCCCAGATAAGCAGCCCCCACTCCAGCCTCTCCCAGTGCTTGTTTGGGGCTTGCTTTCACTCACTTAGGGCTTCTTGTTAATTAGGAAAGAGACCCCGAATCATTCTGATTCCTGTTTGAACACCAACTCTTGGTTGGGGCTTAGAAGAGAGCGCTCGAAACACGACCCAGTGGAGTGGCTAAAAATAGCCCTCCCCTGACGAGAAGAGTGAATTGATAAGAAAATTACACATGGTTACTGTGCCTAGGCAGGGAAGAGCTCAAAAAAGAAACATCTAAAAGCAGCCTCCTAACATTTTTGTGTGTGTCCGGAAAATTAAAAAAAAAGTTCCAAGCCCACAGAAGTCCTTCTCTGCAACTCCCGTTTCAAGCACAGCCTCTGGCCTGAGCAAACCCAGTCCTGGTTCAGGGATGCTCTGTCTGACTCAGGAGGGGTCTGAGTGAGTTTCTAGGAGAAGCTGACAATCCAGGAAACCGAGAGGTGTAGCCGGCACAGGCGCAGGTGGGCACACAGCCCACCATGCCTTGCTCCCATTTCACTGAATCCTGCCTGCTAGGATGGGGGCTTTCAGGACCCTCCACCCAGGTGTGCCTGGGACAGTCATGGATGGTCTTCACTGTGCATTTCATTCCAGCTGACCACCCATCTGCGGGCAGGCATTGACTCAGCCCATTTACAAGCTCTGTATACTCCTTCCACAAACCACTGGAGAGGGAGGGGGTTTCATCTTGACTTAAAGACCAGTAAATTAAGAATCAAAGGAATTCAGGTCACTCATTTAATCAATGAGTCGACCCCAGTTGAGCTGGTGGAGGTGGCCTCGCCTGGTCCCATGAGCAATAAACAAGCTCCAGAGCTGGACTGAATCATGGTTCTGCAACTCCCCGAATAGGCTGGATGATGCTGCACACCAACAACAAAACGCCTCTCTATGCCTCAGGTGCCTCATCTGTAAAATGGGGAATGATGTATTTGAAAAGCAGTGAAAGGCTGTCTGAATGTGAGGGAGTAAGAAAGTCACTGGGCAAAAGAAACTTCTCTTAAAACACACTTACTAGGACCCAAATCATGATTACAATTTTCCTTTTAAAGAAAGAACAGTGGAAAGTTTTAAAGATGAGAACATAGAAATAAAAAAGAAAAAAAATACTTGGCTAGGTGCAGTGGCTCATGTCAATAATCCCAGCACTTTGGGAGGCCAACGCAGGAGAACTACTTGACCCCAGGAGTTCAAGACCAACCTGGGCAACATAGTGAGACCCCATCTCTACCAAAAAAAGAAAACAACAACAACAATTAACTGGGTGTGGTGGCCCAGGCCTGTGGTCCCAGCTACTTGGGAGGCTGAAGTGGCAGGATCACTTGCGCCCAGGAAGCCAAACCTGCAGTGAGCCATGATCGCGCCACTGCACTCCAGCCTGGGCAACAGAGCAACACCCTGCTTTAAAAAAAAAAAAAAAAAGAAAAGAAAAGAAGAAGAAGCCAGGCACAGTGGCTCACACCTATAATCCCAGCACTTTGGGAGGCCGAGGCAGGCAGATCACAAGGTCAGGAGTTCGAGACCAGCCTGGCCAACGTGGTGAAAACCCGTCTCTACTAAAAATACAAAAATTAGCTGGGCGTGGTGGTGCACACCTGTAATCCCAGCTACTCGGGAGGCTGAGGCAGGAGAATCACTTGAACCCTAGAGGTGGAGGTTGCAGTGAGCCGAGATCGCACCATGGCTCACCAGCCTGGGCAATAGAGTGAGACTCTATCTCAAGGGAAAAAAAAAAAGGAAAAAGGAAAGAAAAAAATATGTATTTGACTGTGTACTGCTAGCCACTGTTCTAGGCACTTTACACAAATCAACTCATTTAATTTTCAAAATAATCCAAAGAGCTAGGTATTGTTTTTCTTGTTTTTACATAGAAAGAAACTGAGGCACAGAGGGATTAGAAAACTGACACCAAATTGCTCTGCCAGTAAGTATAAATTTGAACCGAGGCAACCTGACTCTGAGAACCCACAGTTTTAACTGTTACACTTTGTGGCCTTGTTAGCTGAACTTAAATAAGTGATTCCAGCTTTCCAGATGAGGAAACCTAGAAGTTGAAACCTAGAAGTTGAATTACTTGCTCAAAATCCCACTGCTAGTAAGTGGAAGAGGCAGGATTTGAACTCAGGACGTAGGGGTCTAAATTCCATGCTCTTCCCACAAAACTGCATTGTTTGAGATTTGCTGCACCAGGTATTTGGGGGCCATGCAGGGGGGATGGGAGAATGGTAAGATGACACCTAAAAATGTCTTTTGAAGGAAAATGCTGGAGTGAAGGTGAGAGGCGGGCATGGAGAGCCTAGGTTGCCTCCTCCTTGTTTCTTGTGAAAAGTGAAGGAACAACCCAATCTATGAAGAGAACTATTAATAACTCTGACTGTGGCTACCCAGGGGACCCTATCCTCTAGCCCCACAAATCCCCTTCACTCCAGGGACACCACCCAGGCTGGACAGGTTCTCCTTTTACAGGTACTGCGGTGACCTCTGTTTCTAAAGGCACCCGTTCAATGCCACATTTCTCTTCTCCCTGGGTTGAGTCATATGAAATTATGAGTATTTACTGCATCCAGAGAGACCGAGAGGCTGCACATCCATCTGGCCCACCTTGGGACTCCAGCTCCCTGCCACGGACTAGTACTCCACAGCTGCATAAACACGGCCTTTTATTTTCCAGGGTTTCTGGAAGCAGAAGCATGCTACCTTCCAAGAGAGGTCAGGGCCTCTTCTGGTGTCCCGTCTCAGCAATCTACACAAACTCTGGGACCACTCGTCCTTTGTGACCTAACCTACTTGAGGGTTGCTTCTTCTAGGGCCTCCCAGGCTCTAAGAAGGCTTGTCCAGTTAATGATTGTGCAGACCACCTGGGAGTCTGTTAAAAAGTTTCCTGGCCGGGCACAGTGGCTCATGCCTGTAATCCCAGCACTTTGGGAGGCCAAGGCAGGTGGATCATGAGGTCAGGAGATCAAGACCATCCTGGCCAATGTGGTGAAACCCTGCCTCTACTAAAAATACAAAAATTAGCCAGGCGTGGTGGTGTGCGCCTGTAGTCCCTGCTACTCAGCAGGCTGAGGCAGGAGAATCGCTTGAACCCGGGAGGCAGAGGTTGCAGTGAGCCAAGATTGCGCCACTGCACTCCAGACTAGGCGACAGAGTGAGACTCCGTCTCAAAAAAAAAAAAAAAATGTAGTTTCCCTTTGGCAGGCTGGGGTGGGGGCCAATTCTGTAATTCTAATAAGCTCCCAAGTGTGTCAGTGTTGCTGGTCCCTGGATCTGTCTTTGAGTAGGAAAAACCTAGAGAGGTGGTTCTCAAACTTGGTTGTTCATTGAGGGTTTATAGAAAATACTGATTGGGTGGACTGAGCATTGCAATTTTTTAAATTTCCTTTTTTGCTTCTAAAGTACAGCCAAAGCTGTGAACCCCTGCACTAAAAGATGGTGTTTCTTTTAGACATAGTGGATTTATAAGATGATGGCAGATTATCCGGCAGACGATGGAGTTCCATTGTCCAAGTGATCTTAGCCTCCACCTGCTCATTTGCTCCCAGGGACCATTTGCTCCTCTCTGCCTTTGTGCCTGAGTAACAATAACAACAGCAAATAGCAAACAGCCTTCACTTGGTGCCAGACACCTTTCTGAGCACTTCACATGTCCGGATTCATCAAATTCTCACAAAAGAGAATAAGGTAGGGGCTATTCTTTGATTTTTATTTTATTTTATTTTGAGACAGAGTCTTGCTCTGTCACCCAGGCTGCAGTGCAGTGGTGTGATCTTGGCTCACTGCAGCCTCCACTTCCCAGGTTCAAGCGATTCTCCTGCTTCAGCCTTTTGAGTAGCTGAGACTGCAGGTGCCCGCCACCACGCCTGGCTAATTTTTGTATTTTTGGCAGAGACGGGGTTTCCACCATGTTGGCCAGACTGGTCTTGAACTCCTGACTTCAAGTGATCTGCCCACCTCAGCCTCCCGAAGTGCTGGAATTACAAGCGTGAGCCACCGAGCCCGGCCAATTCTTATTCTCATTTTACAAGTGAGACAAGTGAGGCACAGAGCTGGTAAGAAGCTCTCCTACATCACACAGCCGGCAGGCGCTGGTGCTGGGATTTCAGCCCACGTGGGGCTAGTTCTAGAGCCTGTGCTCTTGACTACTTCTAGGCTGTGTGGCCTCAGACATTCATCTTTCTCTCAGAGCTTTTCTCCAAACACTGGATGGGACATGAGGCAGGAATCCAGGCAAGCACTGAGCTTGCCGAGTTCTCAAGAGCCAAGCTCTGCCTTGGCAGGATGTCTGTTATATCCATGGATATATCCGTGGATATTCCGTGAGAAACATGCTGGAGACAAAACAGATGGCCAGAGCGATTTCTCCAATACTCAAAACGACTGCCAGAACTGTGTATTTGCCATTTTGTGGCTTCAAGTCCCTGATTTAAGATGAAGAGAGGGGAATGTTGCAAGAGGCCATTTTAGGCAGCACTGGAGTTGGCCGGGGCGTCACACCCCTGTGGCACATTCCAAGGACGGTCAGCTTCGTTCTAGGGCTGCCCAATGTCTGCTATGGCCTGCGGCAGGCCCAATCTGTCAAGTGTCTCCCAGTGCGGTAATGCAGACATTGAACAACAGAGGATCAGCTAGAGATACAGGGGCTGTTGACTTTTCTAGAAGTCTGGAGCTACAGTGGAACTCAGGTTTCGTGCATCTTTGGCCTGCTTATCCTCTCTATCCAAGAAGAGGGGTGTGGATGGAGAACGCCTGCCCAGGAGGGACAAAGCTTCAGCCCCTCCAGTCAGTGCCTCTTCTCCTTTCTCCCCTCTCCCCTCTCCCATCTCCCCTCTCACCTTGGCCAGATTTTAACTGTGCAAGGGAGGGTGGAGTCACTTGTTCTTCCGTGTGCCACCCTCCTGTGTCTTTGCTCTGTCGGGATGACCAAGGCTCTACACACACACACACACACACACAAGCATGCATGCACACACACATGCATAAGCATGCATGCATACACACATGCACACACACACATACACATGCCTAGTCTAGGTCTATCTCTATGCTCCTCCAACGTCATGTATTAAACTCATATAGGACATCATTTTATAATTTTTTAAATTTTTTTAATCAAAAAAAAATCCAACCAGGCTGGAGAGCAGTGGCACAATCATAGCTCACTGTTGCCTTGAATTCCTGGGCTCAGGGGATCCTCCCGTCTCAGCCTCCCGAGTCAGCTGGAACAATTGGTGCACAACACCATGCCCAGCTAATTCTTAAATTTTTTGTAGAGACAGGATCTTGCCATCTGGCCCAGGCTGGTCTCAAACTCTTGTCATCCTCCCACCTCAGACTCCCAAAGTGTAGGGATTACAGGCATGAGCCACTGCGTCTGGCCAGGACCTCATTTTATAATGGTCAGTCAGTTTACTGGCTTGACACCCCAATTAGAGCACAAACTTCCCCAGACTTATTGAGGTTAATTTGGCAAATAAAAATTATATATATTCATGGTATACAACATGATGCTTAGATAGAGAGATAGATAGTGAAAGTGATGACCACAATCAAGCTAAGTAACACATCTATCACCTCACATAGTTATCATTTTTCGTGTAGTCAGAACATTTAAGATCTGCTTTCCTAGCAGATTTCAAGTCTACAATATATTATTATTAACCATAGTCATCAAGCTGTGCATTAGATCTCCAGAATTTATTCATTCTATCTAATGAAACTTTGTACCCCTTGACCAACATCTCCCTGTTTTCACCACCTCTGGTAACCATTCTGCTCTCTGCTTCTACCAGTTCAACCTTTTTAGATTCTACATATAAGTGAGATCATGCGGTATTTGTCTTTCTGTGCCTGGCTTATTTCACTTAGCATACTGTCCCTGTATTAGTCCATTCTTGCACTGCTATAAAGAACTACCTGAGACTGAGTAATTTACAAAGAAAAGAGGTTTCATTGGTTCCACAGGCTGTACAGGAAGCATGGCTGGGGAGGCCTCAGGAAAGTTACAATCATGGTAGAAGGCGAAGGGGAAGCAGGCACATCTTACATGGCCAGAGCAGGAGGAAGAGAGAGAAGGGGGAGGTGCTACACACTTTCAAACAACCAATTCCCATGAGAACTCACTCACTATCATGAGAACAGCAAGGGGGAAATCCACCCCATGATCCAATCACCTCCCACCAGGTCCCTCCTCCAACACTGGGGACTACAATTCGACATGAGATTTGGGGACGGGGGTGACACAAATCCAAACCATATCAGTCCCCCCAGGTTCACCCATGTTGTAACCAAGGGCTGAAAACTTCCCTCTTTTTTAAGGCTAAATAACATTCCTTTTATATGTATCTATATATCTATATCTATCTATCTATCTATCTCACTCACATTTTCTTTATCCATTCATCCATTGATGGACATGTAAGTTGATTCTGTATCTTTTTTTTTTCTTTTTGAGACAGGGTCTCCCCAAGCTGGGGAGCAGTGGCATGATCATGGCTTACTGCAGCCTCAACCTGACCTCCCTCAGTCTCTCGGGTACCTGGGGCTACAGGCACGTGCCACCATGCCTGGCTAATTTTATTATATTTTTTGTAGAGACAGGGTTTTGCCATGTTGCCCAGGCTGGTCTCAAACTCCTGGGCCTCAAGCAATCTGGCTGCCTCAGCCTCCCAAAGTGCTGGGATTACAGGCATGAGCCACCGCGCCCAGCCTGATTCCGTATCTTACTGTTGTGAACAATGCTGCAACTCTGCTACAGTGAGAGTGCTGGTGTCTGTTTCAGATGCTGCTTGCACTTCCTTTGGGCATACACCCAGAAGTGGGATTGCTGGATCATATGGTAGTTCTGTTTTTAATTTCTTGGAGAACCTCCATACTGTTTTCCATAATGGCTGTACCAATTTACATTCCCACCAACAGTGCACAGGAGTTCCCTCTTCTCCATGTCCCTGCCAACCCTGATCCTTTATCTTTGCTAACAGAAGGACTTTTATCTCAAAAGCCGTAGCATCTAGCAGAACACGACACACACAGTAAGCACTAGGGATTGAATTGTGTCCCCTCCAAAATCTGTAAGTTGAAGTTCTCACCCCAGCACCTTCAAATGTGACCTTATTTGGAAATAGGGTCATTACAGATGTAATTAGCTAAGATGAGGTCATACTGGAGTCAGTGGGCCCCTACTCCAATATGACAGGTGTCCTTATAACAAGGGGAAATGTGGACACAAAGCCAGGCACCCACACAGGGGGAGCACCATGTGAAGATGAAGGCAGCAATCAGAGCAAGGAAGCCAAAGATCACCCTCAAACCAGGAAGCTAACAGACAGGCCTGGAACAGGCCCTTCTTCACGGCCCTCAGAAGGAACCAATCCTGCTGGCTCCTTGATCTCTGACTTCCAGCCTCCAAAACTGTGAGATGATACATTTCTATTGTCTAAGCCACCCAGTCTGTGGTATGTTGTTACAGCAGCCCCAGCGAACTACTACAGTGAATATGCAATCAGTGAGGGAGGCAGGCTGGGGTGTGAGGGAATTCCAGTTCCATTTCACGCAGTGCGTATTTGCTGCGTGCCGCACACTACAGAAGAAGGAGGAAAGGAGGTAGGAGCGGAAGGAATTGAGAAACAGGGCTGAGTGTGGGCTAAGCGGCGAGAGAGGGTGGGGTCTGGGCTTAAGCAGCCCCCTAATCCCTTCCTAGTCCCGTGACTTGCTTTCCCCAGTTCCTTCAGGCAACCAATCCCCTGCTCCTATTCTCTCCAACTGCCTCACACCTGTCGCACACTAGTCACATAACGTCTTATGAAATCAAAGTTAAGATATAATGACTGATATGTTTCAAAGTGTTAGCCCTTCCACAATACTCACACTTACGCTTTCCGGAAGGAACTTCTGGGGGAAACATCGGGCATCAGCATGAATCGGAGACTTGGGACAAAAGCGCCATACTCTTCACTGGGTCCCAGGAAACCGTCCACCCTGATGGCCAGCCGCCTCTGCACCTCTAGGGGAGTGAAGCCCTGGTCACCTCCCCATGCTGAAGTCACATGAGGCACAGGAACAAATGGCTTCATTCACTGCCCAAACATCCACTGGGTACCTTTTCTGGGGCTGGCCCATAGTAGCTACTGGACACCCCAAGATGAATAAGAAAGACATAGCTCCTTCCCTCAAGGGGCGCAAAGCCTGGTGGAATCGTTTTAAATGAGTGAGATTAGTGTCATAACATGGGCAGGATGCAGGGACAACGGGGCATTTTACAGACCAGCACTGTCCAAGACAGCAGTCACAAGCCACATGCAGCTACTGAGCACTTGATGTACTGCCTGTCCCAATGGAGATGTGCTGTAGGTATCAAATACACATCAGATTTCAAAGACTTAGCATGAAAACACAAACATAAAATATACTAATACATTTTTTATTGACTAAATATGGAAATAATCATTTTTAGGTACACTGGGTTAAATTTTAAATATTATTAAACTTAATTTCACCTGTCTTCTTTTTCCTTTTCAAAATGTGGCTACCAAAAAATTTCAAATGACATATGTGACTTATATTATATTGCTAGTGGGCAGCACCATTCTAGAAGGACATTTCACCGGAGCTTGGAGGGGAAAGAAAAAAATCAGAGCTTCCTGGAGGAGGTTTCTTGCATGCAAATAAAAAAATCAGCATTGACTGGGCATCTTGCCATGTGCCTGGGATTCTGTATATTTTCTAATTTAATCCTTAATAACTGAACCACAAGCATTTTATTCCTGTTTTATAAACAAGGTCTCCAGTGCTCAAAAAGGTTCAGCCATGTGCCTCAGATCTCAGAGTAACTAGTGTGAAGATGGGGTGGAAACTCTCCCGAGATCTGCGTGGTCCATCAGACCCACAGACTCCACTGGGAAAGGAAGATGCATGCTGCCGCCACCCTCTCACCCCCGATGTCTCTCCTACGGTCAGTTTCAGAACAAGCCAGGGCTTTGTTTCAGTTCTATCCATTCTGACAAGGTTAAAATCCAATTGGCTGAGAAGCTACTTGAGTTGTGTCATTTACAGAAAAATCAAATTATGTGGAGGCCTCTTATAATTGAGGGTAATTCAGGAAATAACTTTCTGAAAATGGCAGATTGTACAGCTGTGTTACCATGTGGAAACTGCCGAGGTCATTTGGTCACTTGAATGCCCTTCTCCAGTTTAAATATGTCAGATTATATTCATACAGACTGACACAGAAAAACTCCATTAGAGCATTGAGCTTACTATCCAGATTTGAATATATTGGATCAAATTAGGCTTGATCCTGAAACCTCTGTTTCTGAAGCAGAACAACTGCCTATAAAGAAAGCTTGAGTTAAATGTGGACGAATCAATGAGATCAATGCTTTCACATGAACACAACCCAGAGATGAGGTCTTATTTAGCAACCATTACAGAGTACCTAACTAGGCATTGGGAGTATAACAGACATGCCCACAGAAGACTTTTAAAATATGAAAGCTGCATCTGCACATTTTATAGAATAAAGGTTGAGTGAACATATATGTAACACATACCACAGACACACACACACACACACACACACACACACACACACACACACACACACACACAGAGGCACTCATGGCTTTATAAATCAGTGCGTCAAGCTTGCTGATCAATACAGACTCTGCTAGAAACAAATAAATCAAAATTGTTAGGAAGTACTCACAATGAAGATAGCTAGTAGCTTCCAGGCAAGAGGAAATCATCCATCTTATTATTATTCAACAAAATTCCAAATGTGCATGTGCAAAATGTCTGAGCCTATATTACAGAGCACAGCAAGGGCCCAGACCCCTAAGAAAATGCCCAGGTTACCTAACTCCATCCAGAAAATGAATGGCTACTGATTAACACCAACTCTGACCTTGCCACTGTCCTAGGTGCTTTTCATACAGAATTCTGAATCTCACAAACCTGCAAGACTGGTATCAAGCTCTGATTTTACAGATAACCAAGGCTTGAACAGGGTAAGTGACTGCCCCAGGTCATACAGCTGGGCTGGGACTCCCCAGTTCCTTCAGGCATCCAATCCTTTCCTCTAAACCCAAATTGTGTTTGACTGTCATGTCCCCTGGCTTGACTGGAAATCCTTCCTGGCTTGACTGGAAATCTGACTGGGAAGCTTCCCTGGTTCAAGAATAATGAATCCACTAGCCACAGTGAAAGAGGTAGTTCACTGTCCGTGGTTTTTTGCAATGGGCCTCGCTAGTCTATTGTAATTTGCAATTAATAATGAAGCATTCTCCCAAGTACTGTGTGTAAGATCAGGTTAATGTAATATTTCATCTTTGCCAGCCAGCTGCCAGGCTGGCAGTAAGCATTATCTTTGCATAAGGAGTCGGTCTACAACCAAATCAATTAATCCCTCTTTGGCTGGTAGACAGATGCTGAGTCAAAGAAGATAATTAGACGAACTCGTCATTTACCAGGTGGTTGGTAAATAAGGGATTAATTGACCAGAGTTGGGGACAGTACAAAGTCTGCTCTTTCATGCCTTCCCCAGCATATGTGACCACTCAGCATCGTTCTTCCTGAATAGCATTCAAAAGGCAGAGGGCCCTTCTCATTCCATGCTCATTTCTATGATTGTAACTGATCCTTCAGAAATGTCCATCTGACGCCTGGCCTGGAGCAAGTCTGAGTTTTCCTTCTTACTGGCTCAAGACAGAAGTGGCTCAAGGGTCCCTTTCACAGGGCTCCTCCCAATACTTTGGCTGAAGACTTGGCATCTCGGATTGGCCCACATGCTACTGGCTGGATGTCTAGCACTATAGGCATCGAACCCACAAACCTCCAAATGGAGTAGATGAGGGACAATGATCTCTGTGTCCTAGTGGAAAACACAGACACAGAGCCTTCATATAGAAAGACAGTAGAAACTACGTAGAGTGAACAACCTCAGCATGTATGCTTTGAGTTGCTTTTCACATAATGGGTTATGTCCTGCATTGTGACTCTCTGGGGTTGGTGTCATGTGGGTGGTAAAAAGAGTTTACCAAGGGAATTGTAGGTAAAGAAAGGCAGATTTATTAGAAAAAGTATGAAAACACATTGCAAGGGAGCAATGGGCAGGTCAGCAAGAGAGGAACTGACTGCAAGTAGACAAAGGCTTGCTGGGGATTTTATAGGATGGTGCTTGTGCCGTGTGCTCAAGAGGGCTTTGTGCAGGACTGATAGTGCCAAGGTTTTAGTGAACTAACTTGCATTTTTCTATCAGCCGAGGGTCTGGTGATAGGTGGGTGCAGGAAGATGGGGAGTTATTTGCACAGGAGGACTATGTGTCCTGGAATGTGAAGAAAGGCAGATACATAGCTTATCTGCTTTCTCTTTTTGTTTTCCCTTGGTCCTGCCAGCCTGCTTCTCTCTCCCTAAATTCGCAAGTTATAGGTCATCTTAGAATCAAAGGCTTTTAGTACCAGGGAGTAGGGGGTGCTTAAAGACCCTTCAACTCAGGGCTTCTGAACCCTGGCTACCCATTAGAATCACTTAGGGAGCTTTGAAAAATATCAACACCCCAGCCCTAACCCAGACCAATAAAATCAGAATCGCCAGCAGTGAGGCCTGCGCACTGGTCATTTCCCAAAAGCTCCCAGAGTGGTCCTAATATGAAGACCACAGGCTTGATAAACACTGATCCAGTCTAACCCCTTCATTTTATAGATGACAATGCTGAGGCCTGGAAGGGGACATTACCTGCCCTGGAGAAGCCCCACAGTTAGCAAGCGGCCAAAGGAGAAGCTAGGTTATAAGATGCACGCCAGTTTTTGTGGGCTCCTCGTGACCTCCAACCCTGCCAATAGGTAAAAACCAGATGGATTGGAAATGACCAGAATGGCAGACATGACCTGATCCACATGCTACCAACCTGCCACTCCTGCCCCCTCTCCGATCCGCCCCTGGCATCACCTTCACTCCAGCCACAAACCCCTCACAGTTCTCTGAATGCGCCATGGACTGTCTCCCTGTGGCCTCGCTGATGTTCCCCGTTCTGTGATGCTGTCTCTCTTCTTTAACATGGGGAAGTGTGCTGTGTCTTCAGAGACCGGACTCAAATCCTGTATAAAGGCCCCCACTGCGCACCGCCCCTCAGAGGCTAACCACTCACTCCTGATTCTCTCATAACTTTGCAAAAAGCTTCTATTATATACCGCTTATCAGGTTACATGACCTAGGTGCCTCTCCTCCCCACGCCCTTTTCCTCTGTTTATTCTACAAGTGTCCATAGAAGGAACACATTTTGTCAAGCATTGCTGAAAAAGCTATTTAGGTTGGGGCTAAGAGAGTCCCCCGCAACTGCCCCAACAACCTTTGGACTATTACAAGCTTTTATCAATCTAAAACATTCAATGAAATCAATGAGCCCAGCTTCCAAATGTCACCAAGATGCGATGCTCTATCCCACGGCAGAATTCTCAGGGGTGACTCCTTCTCTGACAGCTCCAGCCAGGAGTCAAAGGCCTGTCCTTCACTGGGCTATCTATCAGGTTCACTAAGCAAAAAATAAATCTGCAATTTTTATTTATATATTTATTTATTTATTTATTTTTATTTTTTGAGACAGAGTCTCACTCTATCACCCAGGCTGGAGTGTAGGGGCATGATCTTGGCTCACTGCAACCTCCGCCTCCCAGGTTTTCCTGCCTCAGCCTCCCGAGTAGCTGAGATTACAGGCACGAGCCACCATGCCGGGCGAATTTTTGTATTTTTGGTAGAGACGACATTTCACTATGTTGCCCAGGCTGGTTTAGAACTCCTGATCTCAGGTGATCTGCCCACCTCAGCCTCCCAAAGTGTTGGATTACAGGCGTGAGCCACTGTGCCCAGCCTGTAATTGTTTACAGCTATTGTCCATTCCATGCCATTCCAGAAGTCCTGGCCCCTGCTTTTGTGAATTTTGCAACTGGTCCTGAGCATACCTCAGGTCTCGCTTGAGTCACTGGGAAAGAGAATCTCAAGGAAGCATGTTTTCACCCGGGAAAAATAAAGCACCAGCCTCTCCTCATCCTGCAACCTAGCCAGGCTTCATAGGCCTGGCTCTCCCATTTAGGAGCTGTGTGATTGGCACATTGCTCAACCCTCTGAGCCTCAGTTAACTTAACTAAAAAACGGGGTTACTGGAGACCTTCCTCTTCGGGTTGTTGTAAAGATTCCATGAGACGTGTGAAAAATATGTAGAATGGTCACTGGCATGTATTATACATTTAGTAAATAGTAATTTGTCTTCCTTTTTCTCTCTCATCCTTCTTTCCTTCCGACCTTCCTTCTCCCTCCTCATCCTCCTCCTCATCCTGCTTCCTGGAGTCTAACTGATGGAGAAGTAAGTTTACTTTAGCACCCTGAAGACTTGACCAATGAGGCGCCACCATGTAACAGAGATTTCAGTGGGGGCCTCCAAGATCTTGTCATTCTCAGTTTTCCTGGAGCCATTCCCCCCCCCGCCCCCCGCCCCAGAGAGTTCCCCAGAATTCCTCTAAATCCCTTGGACACTGTTTGGTCCTCAGAGACCCCTAGAACAATTGGATCTGCTGTGCCCTATGCAAACCTCCTAGACTCAGCGCTTATAAATTCACGGACAGCCCTGTGCTGTGAGTCTCTCCCCTTGCAACATAGTAATCACAGAGCAAGTGTAAATGCTAAAGAAAGAACCAAGCAGGGCAGGGCTGAACCACATGATGATGTTGTGAAGATTTCAGGGAACCCACGAGAGGACCAGGAGGTGGGCGGGGCAGAAGGACAAGCTGTCTCGCCCTAGCTGGCATTTAGGGGAAATTAGGCCCTATTAATGGCTGACAATGCAGCTCTGCCCTGTGCCTCTGAACTGAGCCAGAGCGGCCCGCAGATGTGCTCGGCCCACAAATATGCAGTTGACACCTCCTGAACTTTCGGTGACTTGATTCCAGCTGATCTGATCGGCAATTACATTTTATTTTGGGGCCAAGGAAACAGCAGAGAACCAGGAAAATTATAAGACATCAGAGTACAGTTTTTCTAAGAATATCAACTCCAAACTTTTTTTTTTATTTTTTATTTTTTTGAGACGGAGTCTGGCTCTTTCGCCCAGGCTGGACTGCAGTGGCGCAATCTCCGCCCACTGCAAGCTCCGCCTCCCGGGCTCACGCCATTCTCCTGCCTCAGCCTCCGGAGAAGCTGGGACTGTAGGCGCCCGCCACCACGCCCATAGAATTTTTTGTATTTTTAGTGGAGGCGGGGTTTCGCCGTGTTAGCCAGGATGGTCTCGATCTCCTGACCCCGTTGTTGTTTTATTGGTTAGGGGTTTGCAAGGCACTAAAATAAGAAATCTTGGACACTAAAATAAAAAACTCTGTACACTCAAATCAGATTATAGCCAATTTCCCCATATTATAGCCAGTTTTCCCAGATTATAGCCAAAATTTCCCAATTTTCCCAACCCTTTGTCCAGTGAAAATCTGGGTTTGATTTTTTTTTTTTTTTTTTTTTTGGAGAGGGGATGGGGTAACTCCCACCAAGAGAACTTTGCTAGTAACAGCAAGTACAGACAGCATAGAGGTAAAGAAATTTGGATTTGTAGTTTGTTTTTGGGTTGAATTTCACTCTGTTTATTACTAGTTTTGTGGCCTTGGATAAGTTATATGAAGTTATTGGCCTCAGTTCCCCCATCCATAAAATGGGGATATAAAACCTAGCTTGGGGCTTATTATTACAAGGATTAGATAAGATGTTTATAAGCATCTAGATAGTATCTGGCCTATGGTACTGGTAACAGAGTAACTAAGATGACATCTTCTTGTCATAATGTTGGTTTCTTATCACCTAAAATAAACAGTTCCTGTTTTCACCATTATATATCAAGCCCAAATAAGCAGTCAGTACAAAAAACGGAAACACCAGCTCGGGGAGCAGTTTGGTTTCTAGCAACTAGAGGGTTTGTCATCTGCCTCAGTGATAACATCATTCCGGGCTCAGCAGCTTCAACAGCTTGGCTGGTAGGGAAATACAAGAAACTGCAACTGAGCCCAATCAGGTGCAAAGTTTGTAAATGGCTCATGGACACAAAACCAACTAAACTCAGTAGAAGCTCTCACTCCCTTCTCTCCTCAACTCCCTGGCCCACAGCAGCCCAAATGATCACCAAGACAGTTTCTCTGAAAAGTGCCACTTACTGAACTTGCGTGGGATGGAACATAATTGCAGCTTGTAAAGGAAACCAGCCTAAGAAAAAACATCCCGAGGAAACGAGGTGATTTTCCTGCAGCTACATTTCCCTGGTTGCTGGCTAATGGGGCCAGACAACTTGCCCAAGACGTCCTTGAGGGAGGATGGTGACTCATCCACCTACGCCCTCCCCAATGCCTCCCAGAGCTGCTCTCCAGCCCTAGTTTCCCTCCCAAGTCCCAGGCTACTGCTCAATAGGCCTGTCATCCAGACAATGCTCAGAACACTACCGGAAGGAAGAGAGGGCCCCTACCCAGGACAGGCATCTCTTCTATGACTGGTTTACAATGGGACCAAGCAGAGTCTGCCTCGCCAGTCAAATCATTCCCCTCAACTCTGGGCCCAGAGTTACCAGCCACAAAAGGCTAAGCACACACCCTCTCCACCCTTTTGTGCCCAGCGCCTAGTGCTAAGCTGCTAAGCTACTAAGCTATATGTTCCTAGGTACATGTAACAGCACATGAAGAAATGAATGAAAAAAAGGAGTGAATGAACCCATGAAGGAGCAAACTCCACAGGAAGCTCCAAGCAAGACACATCACCACATGCAACACTGCAAGGCAGGTATTGCTCATGCCACATTATAAATCAAGGAAAGAAATCTCAGAGAGGTTAAGTAAACACCCCATAGTCACATAGCTAAGAAATGATGAAACTAGGCTTTGAACCCAGGTCTGACTCCTAAGTCAAGGCTTCTGATATGGAAGCCACCCTCCTGACCACAAAAATGACAAATCATACTGACAGAGCCCCTGACACATCAGAATTATTTCATCCTCCCAACATTCCAGGGAGAGTTTTAGGTAGGAAAACTGACCCCTAAAGATAACTCATCATATATTCAGGGTTGCACAACTAGTTAGAGATGAAGCCGGGATTTGAACCTGGACTTTCATGTTTTGAATCACAAGTATTTGAGAGCCCTGTGTTAGGTACTGAGGAGCCAACAGTGAACAGGACAGACGCAGTCCATGGACCTTCCATCCACAGGGGCGGTGACTTCAGATATAGCTTTTCCCATGACACCATATGTTACCCATAAAATTTGCAGCAGTGTTTCAGTAGTTTTGTTTTGAAGGAGAAAATCATCTGAGAACAGAGGATATCAACAAAAAGAAGGGAATGGTTTGCATCTGAGGAGCCTGTGTTGTTTTTGACACGGGTTACCAGAAATCCTATCCTTTGTTGAAGCACAGTTCTGCCTCTTCCTTAGGACAGGGTGTGTGTGGACAGGCTGGGAGACCTGCCTATAATATGGAGATTTTTTGGGCACCAAAGGGAACCCAACTATCAAATTCCCCACTGAGTCACCACCGAACCCAGTACAGGAAGCCTCAGGCAATACTGACTTGGCAATTAATGGGCTAATCTGGCCAAGTCACACCTCAAGACAGGGCATGAGTTAACCTAATTAGGCCACCCATGATGCATAAATTCAGGAGTCCATTTTTCCAGAAGGGAGTGCAGGTGAGAGATTGGGAAGGGGGGTAGGGGGCATCAGATAGTTCTCAAGTGCATCCCTTTACAAGAGTTCTAAAAATTCGACACCTTTGAGGCCCGTGCATTATCTTCCTCCACCAGGTACCTTGGTCCAAAGAAGTATTAAATTTAGTCAGAGACTGTAGCCAAAGCAGTACATTTTTCCCTCTTTCTCTACGGCTATCGAAGGTCCACTGATGCTGCTGCTAGTTGTTCACTTACCAGTTCTGGGCATCAAGTGCTAATTAATGTTCCTACAAAAGGATCAGCCCCAGAGTCTCCACATCAAGACCCACACACACCACTGAGGCTGTTGCCATGGCAACCAGGCCTCCTAACTTTGCACTAGCTTTCCACAGAAGACACTTTTCCTTGGTTGGAGCTTTTCTTTTGCTCAAAGAGGAGCTCTTTTCATAATTGATGGCACAGAGGCCACGTTTGCTGCCTCATTAAACTAACGAGTTAGATTTACTGAGGCAGTCACTTAGCAAAAGGTCCCCGCTCGCAAGGGAGTTTGCCAAACTGGCACAGTGAGGTGGGGCATCACTGGGCTTTAATATGTGGGATGTGGGAATGGGTGTCAAGTGTACCCATGTGCAACTCTTCCTTTGGGGATACCAAAGGGAAGACTGCACAGCTTCGGTGGACCTTTAATTCCCGAGTCCCATTGCTCGAACTTGAGACTGTTAATCTCAGGAGTTCAAACCCTGGGCAGGTCTGAATGCTTAGCACTAAACCTAGGCATTTCTCTAATTCTAAACATCCCCTGCTAGATTTTTCAGAGATGCTACATAGAAAAAGGGTGACGGAGAAAGCAACCACTGAAGGTAAAATGCCAGGCTGTGAAAGGAAGTTTTAAATCCCCCAAAGACCACAATTTTAGAGTTTTTAGTATCCATACCTACAAAAAAAAAAAATTCACATGCTGACAGAGTGCTTGAAGCTTACCTGGATTGGGTTGTAGAGTTCCTGCAGGGGGCTTCGGGACCCCTTCCGGCAGCAGATGTCCACACCAAAGGGATTCCTCCGCATGACTGAGGAAAGAAAGTGAAGGCTCATCAGAAATGAGCAACAAAGATTTGTTGTCTGTCAAAGAAAAAGGCACAGAGTAGGGAAGAAGAAACAGGCAGGAAAGAAAGAGAAAACCAGCTTCTAGCAAAGGAAGATTTCCACACTGTCCCTTCTCCAACAGCACAGCTGCTGTCTGTCTTCCCAACATTCAGGCATCTCCACACCCAGAAGGATCTAGATCATGCTAAAAAGTCTCCCCAGCAAGTGTTTTAAGAAAACAGGACAGGCATCTAAAGCTCATTGAAATGAAACCACTTACAAAAGATGGCGTAATGGCTGCTTCAAGACAGCAAGTTCTACCCAGCAGCAGGCTTGGTAACACATTTTAAGATTCCGCAGACTTCTCCAGCAACAGTCAATGACCTTTCATTCCTTGTCCCTGAAAGCTGGGCTTCTGAGAATGGGCAGGTCCTTCCCCAGGAGGCTCCTCCCACTGGACAGGTCAGAGGCCCAGCCTCCCCAAAACCTCTCCTAAATTATGTTACTTTTAGTGAAAATATCAGCATGAAGCAGAAAAGACAAGAGTTTATGATTCCAGACAGAGATGGTACTTACAATTAATAAAAGAGGGGGAATAAGTGAACTCCTCAAACCCCACCAACATTGAAGCCACCAAGAGCTCTTTTTAAATGGCAATGAATTCTTTCTTTTTCATTTTTCTTGTTCACTCTGTGCAGCCCCTCATGCATTATGTAACGCATAGTCATGGGCTTGATCATTATTTGTTGGAGGGAGGAGGAAGGAGGAAGGGAGGGATGAAATTGGGAGAGAGGGAAGGAAGGAAGGAAAAAAGGAAGGTAGGAGGGAAGGAAAGAGAGCAGTAGAGAGGGAGAGAAGGAAGGAGGGAAGGAGGAAAGGAGAAGGAAAGGGAGGGGAGCAAGCGAAGGAAGGAAGGGAAGGGAAGAAGGAGAGAGGAAAAGAGGGAGGAAAGGAAGGAGGAAAGGAAAAAAGGAAGCCGAGAAGGAGGAAGGAGGGAAGAAGGGAGGGAAGGAAGAAAGGAAAGAAGGAGAGAGGGAAAAAAGAGAGATGGGGGAAGAATAAATGGGGCTTTCTTCTCAAGTACGAGGCAGTTTTCTTATGGTTTGAGGTGCAACAGTGGCATGAGTGGAACAAGGAAAACTAGATCCTTTCATGAGCCTAAAGAATTCACCTGCTCCACAGAGGCAATGAATGGACAGCAGGACATTCCCTGGAACAGATAGCCTGGGTTTCAATACTGGCTCTACCACTACCAGCTGTGTGACCTTAAGGAAACTACCTAACCTCTCTGTGTCTCTGCTTCTTTGTCTGTAAAATGGGAATGACAGGGGCATCTAACTTCCTGGGTTGGATGTGAAGATTAAATGAGTAACTACTATGTGCAGAATGCTTAAAACTGTGCCTGGCCAAAAGCCACAGTTTAAAAGTGTTGGTGACAAATTTCAGAAGCTATTTTAGATCCCCCTGGGAGGAAGGCGGGAACTTCTCTATTTGTGGCTATCAAGGGGACTGATGAGGAGTGACCAGACCTCAAGCAGGGTGCAGCTCAAATGACTGGGAGGGCTGGCTGCAGGGGGTTAGCCCAGGGACCTCTGCTTAGAAGTCAATCTGAGGTCAGGAAAGGGAGGAGAGTCATCCAAAAGCAGCTGATGACATCTGGAAGGTCTCCGGAGGAAAAACTACTGCTCAGGTGAGCCTCCGTTGACTTGTCACTTTGAGCCACGTGGAAACTCTGAAAGTCAATCATCAATGCCCAGAAACAAGATGCCATGTTTTCTCTTTCCTTTTCCTTGACTTCCTAGGGCAGGGGTCAGCAAAATTTTCTGTAAGGGGCCAAACAGTATTTAGGCTTTGCACCCTGCAGTCTCTGTCATAACTCTTCCGCAGGGCCACTGTGGTGTGAAATCCTCCCCAAACGATACAGAAATGAATGGGTGTGGCTGGGTGCCAACAAAACTTCACTGATGAACAGGGAAATCTGGGAAAATGTCATCTAATTTTCATGTGTCAGAAAATATTATTCTTCTTTTGAGTTTTTTCCACCAATGAACAAAAATGGGCAGTGGGCCAGATTTGGCCCTTGGGCTAGAGTTTGCCAACCCTTGCCCTAGAGAACTGCCCCAGGTCTTCTCGGGGTCAGTAGTACAAGCTCCAAACATAGCTACATGCCCACAGTCTTCCCTGGGGAGGAGGGAATCGCAGGCAAATGTCAATACATTAAAGCCATTAGAATTTGATCAGGCTGTACAGAGAAACACTGGTTCTTTGTTCCTCCAGTTGCCCCAAGAAGACGGAAAAAAATTCTATGTTGTGTTTTTCTTTAATTTATGACTTCATTTTTCATTTCCACCAAAAAGGAGGTAAACTGTGAAATGCACGCAAGTTGCCCTTGGTGCACAATGACATAGCAACACTTCGGAGAAGTAAAAACAGCCATAAAACTCGTAAAATTATGCCCATGCCGGGCAAGATTAAATTCTCCCTATGGCGGCAGACGGGCTCATCGAGGCCCATGGCTCCGGGACCGCGCGGTGAAAAGCCTACCATGGAATCCATTAAAAGTCTGCTTTTATGGGGGGCAGTATTATTTAATTGGTTTATTTGTCTAATACAAGGCCTTTAAAATGCTTTGACCGTGTGGGGCCTGAACCTTGGGTTCTTTGCCCACAGCCATCAGCCCTGCCCGTGACTTCACTGGGTGCCATGGGAACCGGCCTTGGCTCCCCAGACCACAAAAGCTAAAGGGGCCTTGTGTGCCTTTTATGGGAATGATAACAACCCCACCGTTTCTGGAGTGCTCGCTATGCAACAGGCAGTCGGTGCAGTGTGATCCTTCCCACGGTAAAGGAAGTACCTGCATTTTACAGATAACCCCTCCGCGCCTCCCTTAGCTGCAGGCACTTGGCCATGGTCAAGGTCATGTGAGTGGAAAGGAGCCAAGCTGAGCCTCGAGACTGACAGGTGCTGCCCAACCTGTGAGGTGAGGGTCACCTCCCAACTCAGCTAGGCCAGCTGGCCACGAGGATACAGACCACTGAGTCAAGGCCCACCCCACCCACCAGGGTGGGAGGCTTGGGCCAGCACTTTATCTCTCCCCAAGAGGAAAGAAGGAGCCAGACGACTCAGGAGGGGCCCAGTGATCTGTGGAAGGATGAGAAGGAGAGTCAAGAAAAGATAAAGTTCCCCAAATCCTCCGTGTCATGTTCCAAAAACTAGAGTTTCTCAACGTGTGCCCTACTCACTTTCCCCATGATATTGCTTGTTAAAAAAGCAGATTTCTGGGCACATTCTTGGGCTTCATCCCAGAGTTGTTGAATCAGAAGGAGGGGGAGATGGAAGTTAAGGCCCAGGAATCTGCATTTTAATAAGACTTCCCCACCATGGGGAAGAGAGACACAAATTATACTCTTTATGCTTTCTGATTCTTGAGCATCCAATTACAGAATAAACAATTTCCACACAACCTGGCTCCATCTACCTCAGAAGACACTGTAGCATCTACAATAAGAGCTGTAGAACATCTCCTACTGCTGATGCTGTGCGAAGGTTCGGACCCTCCCTAGAAGCTGAGCTCCACTGTACCCTCTCAGGTTTAGACCACTGGGGGCTTTTGGTTTCCAGGGGCCACAAATGACTTCTGGGCTAGTCATATGTAAATGGTAACAATGAGGACCTACTCTGTTGCCTGGGATGCAAAGGAAGGACCAGCAATTATGCACATGAGTATATTCACCTCACATGTATCTTACAAGTGGCATTAGGGAAGTTTGAGTAACCAAGGCCCAGATGGTGGCAGCTAACTTTTAGAGGGCACCAATGCTTCGCCAAGCAGTTCACATATTTAATCCCCACAACAGTCCCATGGTGCGGGTACTACTACCATTCTCACTTTACTGATGAGAATACTGAGGCATGGCAGGGTTAGGTAACTTGCCCAGGTCTCATGACTAGAAAGAGGTGGAGACAGAATTCTGCCTTAGACAGCCCATGGTCTCAGCTGCCACACTGGGTCACCTCTTCACTGACAGGTAAGTCAAACATCTCCCTAGTCTCCTCCTGGCCTGAGACCTGGTTGGCTGGCCACTTCCAGGACAAGTCCAAAATACAACAGGATTCATCAAAATGCTGTGATGGCAAACTATTAATTAATGGTTTCATTACACTCATTCATTCGACAAGTTTTTATCAAGCACCTACGATGTGCAGGGCAACTCGCCAGGCACTGGGTTTGGGGATAGAGCCTCTCTCTAACCTATTCATTTGTTGCTGTGGTGCTTGGCACGTAGTAGGTACTCAAAAGGTTTATGAATGATAGAAGATTTAACACTTCCTTTAAGAGCATCAGAGAGGTTTGGTTCTTGCTATATAAGGAGAAAACTGCCAGTAGCATTAGGCTATGGTTATTTTTTTTTCCTTTGAAAAATGAAAGGTCTGATGATCAAAAGCCCCGCAAAAGAAATCCCTGAGGCCCTGAGGACATTTAACGGCAGGCTTCTGCTGTCCACCCCGCCCACTGGGAGTTTTATTTAGCCACAACACTTGTTTTCTCCTCTCTAAACTCAAATCAATGGGATTAAAGATTTTTTTTTAAAGAATCTAATTAGCTCAATTTACAGTATGATTTCTTGGACCCAGGAACAGTTCTATATCTCCCACGATACATAAATGAAGCTAAAATTAAACTCAAGCCGCTCGTGTTTGTTTCATTGTAATGAAGAGCACGTTGTTTTCAAGTGGACACTCCATTCCCAGTCTGCTAACTGAGAGCAGCCCACGGAGAGCTGGCTCAGGACAAAGGAATGAAGCCCACCTGGTTCTCTGGGCGACTCCCTGTGACCCCTCTCAGTGCTGCTGGAATGCAGGGGAGATGCTGGATTGTTAATTCAGGTCTGAAGACATAGAACTGAAATACTGTGGGACCCTGAGTAGGAACTTGCCTCTCACGCATGTCCTAAAACCAAAGACATTCAGAATTCCAAGGGATTCGAGTATAGGCCAATCCCCTCGATTTACAGAAGAAACTCGGAGACCTTACATGCTTGCCTGAACTGCCCAGTGTAGCTAGCAGCAGAACCAGGGACGGAAGTCATATCTCACAAAATAAACTACCACGTAGCGAGAATGTACCATGTATCTGATGCCTGACACAATGCTCAGCCTTTTTCTCACATTGTTTCATTGAATCCTCATAAAAAAACACTTTAAGTTAGATGTAATAATGATATCATCTAGTCCCACTTTGCACTTGAGAAAACTGAAGCCCAGAGAGGTTAAGTAACTTGTCCAAGATCACACAGTCAGCAAGGGCAAGTAGCAAATTGACAACCCACGTCTGTTTATTTCCAGCACTGGTGCTCTTCACCGTGCTGTCTCGAAAGGCAGTAAAAGACGCTTTTACCCTTACAACTCCTACCATTTTTGGACTGTCACTTCCCTCAACATTTCGAAATGAAGCACTGCTGTACTAAATCACCCAAGTCCAGATGGGTCTCTGCTCCTTCCGCTGGCAAAACAACTCTAATACTCGGTTGACTTCGGACACTTTCCAAATCTCCGGACTTGCTAACAGGCTGGGCATGATTCATCTGCTCCACACTCTGAGAGTGCAGAGCAGCAATGCAGTTGCAGAAACGTTTTTTCCAAATGCACAAATTCATGCTGGAACCCTAGCAGTGTGGCCCAGCCCATCTGTCAAGACAGAACAGTGTCTGATTCAACCTCATCAAGTTAGAGGAGTGAGCAATACCCAGCTCCTTCAGAAGGAGCTGCTCCTGCAAAGACAGGCAATTCTGTTTTGTACCTGGGGGACCCAAAGTCAGCCCTCAAAGGACATTAAATCTCCCAGCTCTTCCTCATCCTCTTCTGAGGTCACTGTGATGAAACTAGAGTGACCAACCAGTCTAGTTTGCCTGGTCCAAGGAGATCCCCAGGATTCAGGACTTTGAGTGCTAAAACCAAGTAAGTTCCAGGCAAACCAAGATGAGTTGCTCACCCAGCAACACCATTTGGAAGGAGAAGCTTCAACCAGAATTGGATTCAAGTCCTAGTTTTACCCATTAACTAGGCTTGGGACCTTGGGTCAACTTCCTAATCTCTGAAACTCAACTATGCAATGCAGTTAATAATGCCTGTATTATAAGGTGGTAGTGGGAATGAAATGGCACCTGGTCCATGGCACTCAACTAGCCTGGTCCATGGCACTCAAAAACTGTCCATGTGGAAAGCCACAGAGCTGGATCCCAGCCCTGGCTCTGCCACCAAACTAAGATCTTCACTTTGAACAAGGTCTCCCTGGGCCTCGTTTTCTCCTTCGTCAGGTGAAGAGGTTCAACCAGGTGATCGCTAAGTCCCTTCCAACTCTAAATTCCTAACTTCCAAACACAGGGCGGTGGGGCATCTCCCTGTAGAACCATGGGTTAAACAAGCCCTAGAATTGCTCAGGTTTGGGGAGTCAAGGTGGAAGGTGTGGTGGGTGGGGAGCAGTGAAACAGTAATTGGTGTAGGAGGAAAGAATCTGAGGCCAGGAGAGGCAGGGAATGGAAAAGCAACACCTAGCTGTGAGAACAATCTCTACCTGGTTACAATCCACCAGGGTTTTAAAACCCCTGGTGGTGAGGTTTTTATCATTTTCTAATAATAACACAAAAATAGTGACATCCCCTCCAAAAAAAACCTTATATAGAAGCAGAGCTGGTAGTCTGTAGCTCAGTGGGGCATGGGCCACAGGGGTAGCTTTTAGGACAAACTCCTTGTCTCGGTAACCCAGCTGCAACCTGAAGCTCTCCCAGGAGGGAATCAGAGTTAGGGGATCTCAGAGTGGGAAGAATCTGACCTCTAACAGAGGCACCTTGAAGCTCTCCTTAGCAATGACTAACATTATGTTGAGTTCAGCACTGCCAACACTCTCCTTTTATTTTTACTTTATTTTATTTTTTATGTTTTTGAGACAGTGTCTCGCTCTGTCATCCAGGCTGGAGGGCAGTGGCCCAATCTCAACCTCTACCTCCCAGGCTCAACCGATCCTCCCACCTCAGCCTCCCCAGTGCCTGGGACTACAGACATATGCCACCATGCCCAGATAATTTTTGCAATTTTTTTGTAGAAACAGTTTTGCCATGTTGCCCAGGCTGGTCTTGAACTCCTGCATTCAAGCAATCCTCCCACCTTGGTCTCCCAGAGTGCTGGGATTACAGGCGTGAGCCACCACGTCAAGCCCTACTCTCCTTTTAAATGCAAAAGAAGAAACTTAGAACCCAAGTGCATTGTTTAAGTTGATTTCTGGAAGGAATACCAGAACTGGAGGAAAGAGAAGAAAAAGCAAAATAAAAGCGGGGATGGGGGAGAAGAGGAGGGAGAGTACAGAAGCCCGAAGCCTTCTACATCACAGTTTGGCTTAGACATGGTTCAATCCTAAACCGTTCTCATAAATATGAGAGGTAAACAGAAGCCAATAAGTCCTCCCGAAAACTACATCTGAAGCTAATCCACTCCGAGATTTAAAAATACCCAGGAACCACTATCTCTGTGAGATTTCATTTTATTTCAAGGATCCTGTAGCTCTTTGAATCCAAACTCATGTTTGGAGTCTGAGGGTTTCTTAGCCCTCGTCTGGTCACCCTGCTCATTTGCAGAGGAAAATACTGGGCCCAGTGTGGGGACAGAATGGCCAGAGGTCCCAAAGCAGGGCTGGAGATCACACCTGGGCCTGGCCAAGCCCCTCACCTGCCAGGTTTGCCCCTCTCTACCTGTCCACTGCCTAAGTGCTCCGTGCATAGCAGGTACTCGGTATGTTTGTGTCAAATGAATAAAAACAACAGATCAAGTGATCTGAGGACTTAACCAAAGATATTCTACTAAAGGGTATCAGACCAAATGACTTACTAATAGCAAATGAACAAAGAAGAGGAGTTAGCATGTTCTCTCCTGAAAAATTCTTCTCAAAGTGCCAATGCTTCCTCAAAGTGGTTTAATTACCTTAGCCAAAGTAGTTAAATCAAAAAGAAAAATTAATATGATATGCTGTCGTGGTGCTGTGATGTGCCTTAAATGAACTCTCCAAGACCCAGTAAACATGAGCCTTCATTACTGTCTCTCTCTATTACTTACCACCAGCCAGGAGGTAGGTCGTATCACACCCATTTTACAGACAAGGAAGCTGAGGCTCAAAGAAGTTAAGGACTGACCCAGCGACATAGCTAGTGAATGTCAGAGTTGGGATTCAAACCCACAAACCAGCATGCTTTCCCCCACTCCTGGGAAATGGGACATGTCACAGCTTACAGATGTTTGGGACTGATAGAGACCAAGCAAATAGGCAGTCCCAAATGTTGACCCGATATCCTCCCACCAATCAGGCCTTCAGGAGCTTTACAAAACATTCAGCACGCTTGTATTCACAACTGACTTTTCAGGAGCCTCGAAACAGTGAGGTGAAAATAGGGTTCAGCCTAACCTGTCATTCATGCCATTATCAAACTTAAGTTTTCCAACTTCCCATTCCTTCCCTCACCCAGTCCCTCCCACAGGGACAATTCAGAGCCATTAAAACCATTCCCAAATCTCTCTCTCCTTACTGGAGACCCTATAAGCAAATTCACTGAAGAATACTGAGGGATTTGGGGTTGATTTGATTTGAGAATAATCTGAACCTATATCATAGCCATTCCCGTGTTGGCCTCTCCTACTCCAGCTCCTCAAAGCAAGAGCCCCTCCCGACGCCCAGCCTGTAGAAGGTGGTTGTAGAACTAAAGTGAATTAAACTTGGCATATGAAGGTCAAGGGAGTAAATCTAAGAATTACGTGAATGTGCTTGGTATAGCTTGGGAAAAGATGCAGCTTCATCCAAGAGCCGTGAGATTTACTGACATGGAAGCCTTCCAGTGGGGACTCTAATACTCAGCTTTGAAGAATATAGTGTATACATTAAAATATTTACCGGCCAGGAGAAGAACTGGGTCACCAAATGGAGTCCCCCAAACCAATGGCCCCAGCAGCCAACCCATTCCCTCTTTTAGAGAATTCTGGCCCATCTGCAGAAACATGCCCAGACAGCATGCCTACTTCCGAAAGTATAAGATCCCTGTCCAAGTACAAATCAGTTGTCAACCTGACAGGTTAGTGCACCATCAGGCACATCTAAGACAAAAAGGGCCCTTTAGAGACCACCTAGTCCAATGACTTTCACAGAAGGAAAGAGAATGAATCTACGTGGTTAGGGAAAGTATCCTCAAAACTGATTCTGACTGAGCAAGAGAAATGGCAGGACGCAAAGTGCTATAATCTGGATGTTTGTGTCCCCACTAAAATTCATGTTAAAATATTAACCCCCAAGATAATCATTTTAGAGGGTGGGGACTTTGGAAGGTGATTTGGTCATGGGGGTAGAGCCCTCTTAAATGGAATTAGTGCCCTTATAAAAGACGTCCCAAAAAAGACCACTTACCCCCTCCACCATGTGAGGACATAGCAAGAAGGGACTGTCTATGAACCAGAAAGCAGGGCCTCACCAGACACCAAATCTGCCAATGCTTTGGTCTTGGACTTCCCAGCCTCCAGAACTGTGAGGAATAAATTTCTGTTGTGTATAAGCCACCCAGTTTATGGTATTTTGTTGTAGCACCCTGAACAGATTAAGACACAAACCTCAAACATAATCCTCCTGGCCAGTGGGGTATGCTGCCCACCCACTGAGAGCATGAGAGACGGGAAGGGAGAAGAGAGAAAGGGAGAGTAAGGGAGAGAAGGGGAAGGGAGGAGAGGAGATGGGAGGGGAGAGGAGGGGAGAAGAGGGGAGGGGAGGGGAGGAGGTGCCAGGTATTAAAAGATTAAACCACCTCATCCCTAACCCCATTTTGCAGGTAAAGAAATGGACGTGCAGGATAGAAGGTGATCTGTCCAAGGACACACTGCTGGCTATAGGCCGAGTTGCAGCTAAAATGAAGATCTCCTGATTCCTGGCCTCATCCCTTTCTCTTTTTGCATGTGATTTACATACAAATATATATAGAAAACCGAGACAAGTTTTATTTTAAAAGTACTATCCTTACTATGTGTGACAAACTAACATTTTCTATTGTTCTTTTATGAACTACTAGTCACAACTCATTAAATCCATTTTACAACACACCCGTGGGTCATGGTGCATGCTTTGAAAACGTCTGACTCAGATATCTGGAAAGAGTCAAGTCAAGGCCAGAAGTCCCACAGGTGTGCTTTCCAGCCCTGCTGTGGGACCTCTGGCCTTGACTTGACTCTTCCTTTAAGTTCAATTTGAGGGTGCTTATGAATGGAATATGTTAAACATTGATAAAGAGAACTCATGGCTTCCACAGCTAAAATTTCCCTCCCACAATGTTCACCATCACAGTGGATGCCACCATCATGCCCCTAGCTGTGACCAAACAGTGAGGAATTTTCTTAAATTCCCTTTTCTGTCTGCTATGCCCCACCCATCAGCATGTCTCTGTCCTCACCGCCCTGGTACAAGCCATCATCGCCTTCCCCTTGGGCTATGACAAAAACCTCTTAACTGGTATCCCTGCTGCCACCCTGGCCTCCCTACTCTATTCTCTACCAGCGGCCAGAATAATCTTCTAGAAACGTAAATCAGATCATAACAGCCTTCCTGCTCCAAAGACCTGCCACCATCTTAGAACAAAATCCAAAGTCTTTCCACGGCCCAGAGGCCCCCCATGATATAGCCCCGCCTGCCTCTGCCCCTCCTCCACCATACTGGTCATCTTGCTCTTTCTCCAAAAAACCAAGCATGAGCCTCAGGGCCTTTGCACTCACTGCTCTGTCAGCCTGGAGTCCCTCTCCCAACACCAACAACTGTTCTCTTCTTTACTCTGCCCTCTGACCGCATCATCAGGTCCCCAGAGAGAGCTTCCCTGGACACACTGTCTCCCATGGCCTCACTTCCTCTCTCTCCTGTTCCTCCCATTCTTTGCTATATTCTTTTTTTTTTTTAAGACAGGGTCTCGTTCTCTCACCCAGGCTGGAGTAAAGTGGTGCGATATTGGCTCACTGCAACCCCCACCTCCCATGTTCGAGCAATTCTTGTGCCTCAGCCTCCCAAGTAGCTGGGATTACAGGCGTGTGCCACCATGTCCAGCTAATTTTTGGCATTTTTAAGTACACAGGGTTTCACCATGTTGGCCAGGCTGGTCTTGAACTCCTGGCTTCAAGTGATCTGCCCGCCTCAGTCTCCCAAAGTGCTGGGATTACAGGCATGAGCCACTGCGCCCCGCCTGCCATATGCTTCTTCAAGGCATTGATTCTCTCCTGTCTTTTTATCTTAAATGCTTTATTGGCTGTTGTCTGTTGCCACCACGAGACCCTAAGTTTCATGAGCAAAAGGACTTGGACTGTCTTGTCTATCACAATATCCTCGGTTCCTAAAAGGGGCCTAAATTCAGGGCTGAATGAATAAATGAATGAATGGAAGTGCCTTTCCCAAAAGACAGGAAACTAAACCGTTTTGAAATACAGTCACCCCAGTCCAAGGTCTTCTAAACTTTCCTGATAAGAGTCATCCGAGGTACTTATTTAAAAAACATATATTCCCAGCCCTTCTGAATCAGATTCTCCTACAAAGGGGCCTGGGAAGCTTCAAGCTTGATGAGCACCCCAGGGGATTTGTATCTTGGAAGAGTCTGGGGATGCTGGATCAGCTAGACATGAGGAACAGGTGCGCACATAGACAGCGCACGTGCAGGCCATCTGGAGAAGAGGAGGGGGAGAAACTGTGCCAGATGGGGCCAACGAGGCCAGGGGCCTGGGTGTAGGTACTTACAAGGGTCATGCGGCACCTAATAGCCAAGGGACGGGCCAGCTAGGGTGAGGCATCTTCATTTATTTATTTATTTATTTATTTAATTTTGAGACAGAGTCTCGCTTTGTTGCCCAGGCTGGAGTGCAGTGGCGCCATCTTGGCTCACTGCAGCCTCCTCCTCCCGGATTCAAGCAATTCTCCTGCCTCAGCCTCCCGAGTAGCTGGGATTACAGGCATGTGCCACCACGCCCAGCTAATTTTTGTATTTTCGTAGAGACGGGGTTTCACCATGTTGACCACGCTGGTCTTGAACTCCTGACCTCAGGTGATCCGCCTGCCTCAGCCTCCCAAAGTGCTGGGAACTTTAAGTCATCCCAGAAAAGGATTTGAGGCCAAACCGAAAAAGCATTCATTTGATTCTGTAGTCAAACCAGAACCCTTGAATAAGTTCTTCAAGGCAAGAAATAATACAACTGCAGTTTTGCTTTTTTGTTATTGTGATAAAATACACATAACATAAAATTTACCATTTTGACCACTTTCAGGTGTCCAGGTCAGTGGCATTAAGTACATTCACATTCTTGTGCAACTATCACCAACTATACATCACTTTGTACTTATTAAATAACAACTCCCCATTCCCGTCTCTCTTGTCCCTGGTAACCCCCATTCTATTTCCTGTCTCTATGAATTTGAATTTTTTTTTTTTTTTTTTTGAGACAAGATCTTGCTGTGTCACTCAGGCTGGAGTGCAGTGGTACAATCTTGGCTCACTGCAACCTCTGCCTTCCAGTCTCAAGCAATCCTCCCACCTCAACCTTCAGAGTAGCTGGGACTACAGACACAGGCCACCATCATTGACTAATTTTTGAATTTTTTTTATAGAGATGGGTTTCGCCATGTTGCCCAGGCTTGCCTTGAATTCCTGGACTCAAGCAATCCACCCACCTCGGCCTCCCAAAGTGCTGGAATTACAGATGTGAGCCACCAAACCCAGCTGAATTAGAATATTCTAAGTACTTCATACAAGTAGGATCATACAGTGTCTGTCCTTTTGTGTCTGGCTTTTTTCACTTAGCGTAATGTTTTCTAAGTCCATCCATGCTGTAGGATGTATGAGAATTTCGTTATTCTGACATATTATTATTCTGAATAATATCCCATCATACATACCACTATTCATTCATCCACTGATGGGCATTAGGGTTGCTTCCACCTTCTGGCCACCGTGACTCATGCTGCTATGAACACGGGTGTTCAGGTATCTATGCAACTCCTGGCTGCGGTTTTGCTTTTTAAGCTGTTTTGCTGGGACGTGGAGCAACACCCTGAGGCGGAGCCCAGAGGCTGCTGGTGAGCAGGTTGGCTGGTGGCCTCCAAGTTGGTGCTGTAAGGATGGCAGGTGGGCAATGGAGCATGGCTGTCATGTACAGAACTTTAGAACAGTGACCTTAGGTCAAACATCACCGGGATGGACTTCAGTCAGCTCTCACTTAACTAAGTCTTAAAGCTGTTTGTGAGCCCGAGGCAGGCAAGGAAGGAATCAAGACATAAGGAAGCCACCTGGGTGGGTCTGGTCTTTGGCGGCAAGACATTGGAATGAGCCAGTCTGTGACTCAAGTCTGGGTCATAGGCTGCAGGAACCCACTCAGAGCAGAGCTCAGTTCTGAAGAAAGCAGCTTCAGCCTTCTGAGGCTGTAACCCGAAAAGTGGCTTGAGAAGGTGACCCCAATATTGTTTGAGATGCCAAAATTGTTTTCTTAAAAACCTAGGATGATTGCAAATGAAGTGCAAAAAATGTCCAGAACTGGTAAGTACATAGACACAGAAAGTAGACCAGCAATTGCCTAAGGCCAGGGGTGGGGATGGCAAGTGACAATAAATAGACACAGAGTTTCTTTCTAGGGTGATGGAAATGTTCTAAAATTAGACTGCGGGGATGCTGTACGGCTCTATAAATATGCTAAAATTCATTGAATTCTACACTTAAAGTGGGTGAATTTTACATGTAAATAGTATTTCAATAAAACTGTTTTTAAAATAAGTATAGAGATGTTTAAGAATCAACCCATAATATTAATATTTTCAAGATTTTGGCCTCTTTGAATAGATCTACATTGCAATACAATATGAAAGACTTAATTGAACAATTTATTTGATTTGAAATTTTAAGCTGAAATCTAAGTTTATATATAATACTAGAGCATTTTAAAAAACCTAATCTCCTCCAGCCCGGGTGACAGAGTGAGACTCCATCTCAAAAAAAAAAAACAAAAAACAAAAAACAAACTTAATCTCTAACGAATTGAAGAGTCTGAAACAATAAATAAATAAATAAATAAATAAATAAATAAATAAATCTTAAGATTCACCATATTTCTAAGTTTGAGGCATTAGATTTCTATTATGTAAATACTTGAGCCGGGCAGGATGGTGAACACATGTAATCCCAGCACTTTGGAAGGCTAAGGCGGGTGGATTGCTTGAGCCCAGGTGTTCGAGACCTGCCTGGGCAACAGGACAAAACCCCATCTCTACAAAAAATACAAACACCACCAAGGTGTGGTGGTGCACGCCTGTAGTCCCAGCCACTGGGGAGGCTGAAGTGGGAGGACAGCTTGAGCCCAGGAGGTTGAGGCTGCAGTGAGCCATGATCCTGCCACTGCACTCTAGTCTGGGCAACCGCTTGAGACCCTATCTCAAAATAAATAAACAAATGAATAAATAAATGCTTGTTCATTAATTGGGCAAATGAAGTATTCAAAAATAACTGTAAATAGATGACATTTTAGATGCAATTTAAATTGTTATCAGAAGATTAAGTGTGTTAAAGGACCAAATATTAATTAAAGGCCACCCTAAATGTATCTGTTGAAGGCTTATGAATAGAAGAGTAAGATTCGAAATTTAAAGGTAGCTTCCTAGATTTGTGAGTTTAATTTTATTAGAAGCCTTTTCTGTATACCACTGTCATCACAGTGACATGAAAAAGACCTCACATTAACAGAGAAGATAACTGATAGGAATTGGCATCTTCAGGCTGGCCTAAGGGGCGGAGGGTGTGAGTGTCTGGGGTAAAGGAGAACCAGCCCCTACCCCAAACCTCAGCATAAATTGTCCCTGAAAACCCCCACAGTAGTAGAAGAACTTTATTGCTGAGAAACTTAAGACGCTGTGGAAAAAACGCAGTTCAAGGAATTGATATTGGCAGTTAACCTGGGGAAGTCCTCATAAATTACATTTTATGTTCACTTAAATAAAACAAGAGAGACAGCACTGCAACACAGATCATATTAATTACATTTTACACACTTCAAATGAGTAATTATAAGCCTTATACGTTTACTTTGCATTTATCCTTCCTTGCCTGCTGAAGAATGTTCCCCTCTCCCTGCAGTTTCCCTGGAATGCTTATACATTTATTTTGCAGTGAGGCAGAAAACATGCCGAAGTGCTTTCTTCCCTGCCTGGCGCTCCAAGTCTGATTTTACAACCTGGACACGCTGATGTCTGCCTCTGGGGTTCCCCCATGGCTTCAGAGACAGAGTAACGTAGCTGCTGGAGAAAGGAAATAGTCCAGGTAACCTTTATTTAAGCTACTCAAGCATGGCGGGGCATTAACTCCAAACCTGCCTCCTCCCCTTGAGTCCAGAAAGCTGTTTAGTTCTGCCCAGGATAATCTCACACTCACACAGTCTTCACACAGTCTGACTGTGCCCAGCAACCCCACCTCACTCAGGCAGGCATCTCGCCCAGGGCTCCAGTCCCTCCCGGCCACACAACCTTTTAAAAGCCCAAGGGATTTTCGCCCATTCTTTGTCCATCTCAAGAGCACCTGGGCAAACCCTGAGCCTACCCAGGCTTCTGCTTTCTTTCCCTTTTCTCCACTCTTGTCCTAGAAGGCAGGAACAGGTCCTGGCTATGACCATGGTACAGTGGACTGCACAGTGTCCCTCCAAAATTCATATCCACTAGGGACCTGCAACCATGGATTGCAGTGTACAATCCACTGTGACGTGCTATGACCGTGATATAGTGGATTGCACAGTGTCCCTTCCAAATACATATCCACTGGGAACCTCAGAAGGTGACCTCCGGAAATAGAGTCTTTGCAGATATAATGAGTTAAATTAAGTGAGGTCAGACTAGTGTCCTTATGAGAAGAGGAGGGGACCCACAGAGACACACACAGGGAAGAGGGCCATGGAAGACAGAGGCAGAGATTCAAGTGATGCAGCTACAGGCCAGGACATGCCTAGGATTGCTGGGAGCCACCAGAAGCCAGGAAGAGGCAAGGAGGGATTCTTCCCTAGGGCCTTCAGAGGGAACACGGCCCTGCTGACACCTTGATTTTGGACCTCTGGTCTCCCTTTAGAACCATGGGAGAACAAATTTCTGTGGTTTAAAGCCACCCAGTGTGTGGGAATTTGTCATGGCAGCCCTAGCAAACTGATACACATGGGTTCCCATCTTGTGTGTCCTTGACAATATACTCAATCTCTTGGCCTCAGTTATCTCACCTATAAAATGGGGAGAACAATTTGCCTACCTAGTAGAGTTGTTGTGGGGACTGAATAAGTTCATCCATGTCACGTGTTTCGAGCAGGGCCTGGCCCAAGGTAAGTGCTCAATAAGCCATAATTAGTTCCCATTTCTAATTGTCCACTCCCTTGTCTTTCTAATTATTTGAGAGTATCTCAAAACCCTCTTCTATTCCAACCCAAATCTCACTGTTTTAAAACATACACATTAATCAGTGGACACACAATTATTTCACAAATCAGAGAGGAGCTGTTGCACAGTTAACAGACAGAAGGCGTTGATGATGTATGCTGGAGGCCTAAGCGCTTTGGCATTGCTGAAGGTGAGTACGAGGCAAGTGCAGGAGGCTGAAGTGCGGCTGTTGAACAAGTACTGTGAGCATCTTTTCTCCAGAAGCAAAGATAGCTGGAAAGACGATCTCTCCCCCAAGGAAAGGCATGCCTGCAGTAACAGAGCTGGGGCTTCCCAGGCAGCATCCATGGACCAAAACCCCTATTTCATTTCCATATTTTTAAGAGTTAAAGAGGGGATTAGCTTTTTAATTGTTCATTCGCATTATTTTCTTCTGACATTTTTCTGGCACAAGATGCCAACAGAGAGAACACTGATTTTAAAAATCTCCCCACGTGCACTGCATTACTGGAGCCATGATGATGTTTACACCCTTCAAATCCAGCAATTTCCCTCTTGGGAAATTACACCGAGGGATTAATTCAACAGAAACTAAAAGATGGACGCGCAAAGATGTTTGCTATAGAATTTCCCTTCTAGTGGCCAAAAATTGGAAACACTCTAGGATATGAACTATCATTTATGAAATTATTCCTATAATCTTGGACCAATCAAAAAATGCTACTGTTATTAAAATAACATGAAGACATGAAAATGGAGTTTAAATTAACCACTTAAACCGCTGCTTTAAGTTAAAGCAACAGAATTCAAAATATTATGTGGGTCGGGACCTTGGTTGTGTAAACACACATACACATATAAAAGACAGCATATGAAAGTGAAAACAGGCAGGGCATGGTGGCTCACGCCTGTAATCCCAGCACTTTGGGAGGCTGAGGAAGGGGGATCAGCTGAGGTCAGGAGTTCAAGACCAGTCTGGCTAACGTGGTAAAACCCCATCTCTACTAAAAATACAAAAATTAGCCAGGCATGGTGGCATATACCCGTAGTCCCAGCTACTGGGGAGGCTGAGGCATAAGAAGCGCTTGAACCCGGGAGGCAGAGGTTGCAGTGAGCGTAGATTCTACCACTGCACTCCACCCTGGGTGACAGAGTAAGACGCTGTGAAAAAAAAAAAAAAAGAAGAAAGAGAAAGAAAACAACTTTGTTAAAATAGAGTACTTTTTACACTTTCTTTCACATTGTATAGTATTCTTCCCACTAAAAATGATGACTCAACATAATGCCAGATCCAAATCAACTCTAAGTGTTAGAGATGCTACTGAAAATCAGGCAAGTTCTAAACAAAGAGTTGGAATTTCCCCAACAAAAACCAAACAATTATCTATCTGCAGCCACTGATGTGAATATTTTTACTCAAGGGATCTTTGGACGGGGTGCGGTGGCTCACGCCTGTAATCCCAGCACTTTGGGAGGCCGAGGAGGGCGGATCACTTGAGGTCGGGAGTTTGGGACCAGCCCGGTTAACATGGTGAAACCCCATCTCTACTAAAAATACAAAAATTAGCTGGGTGTGGTGGCAGGTGCCTGTAATCCCAGCTACTCAGAAGGCTGAGGCAGGAGACTTGCTTGAACCCAGGAGGCAGAGGTTGCAGTGAGCTGAGATCTCGCCACTACACTCCAGCCTGGGCGACAGAGTGAGACTCCATCCTCAAAAAAAAGAGAGAGATCTTTGAAAACTGAGAGCACAAGGCATTTGTTTAATTTCTGCATATTTTAGGAATATAGGATGCTTAAGTATAACTTAAGTTGCTGCCATCAAGAAGTGCTGAAGGGGTAAGGGAGATAAAAGCAGGTGTCAGAATCGATCTGAAAATGAATAGGGGAGGCCCCAGACAGGGGCAGAGGGTGCACACGTGAGCTTTGGGGGAGGCTAGGCTGTGTGTCAAGTGTGGTTGTTGAAATATGGTCAGAGGGAAAAGGCCATTGGAGCTGCATCTGATGAAACACGCCCACGGTCCCCCAATCTCCCTCACTCCCTGCTTCCCTTCTTGTGAATCCAAGATGCAAAGCTGAGCCCCATTCCATAGACCCTCCAAAGATATGGAATGGGATCAGAATGATCCCAAGGAGGGGAAAAAGAATCAAAGCCACTGTAGTGGTTTCTCCCCAGGGAAATCCAGGGAAACACTCACAATTTTAAGGAGGGTTTCATCTTAAAGTAAAGATAAAAAAGTGTTATGACAAAATGGAGAGACAAGGTCCCATCTTTATCCAGAAAGTAAGAAAACCATGTACAAGATTTCTGTTGCCTTGATAAGCAGGAAGGCATGGCCCCAGTATACAACACATATGTATGTGGCCGCACTTAGATATTAAAATTCCCTCCAAGTTGGCCAGGCAGGTCTATTTGTGCAGGCAAATTAAAAAGCTGTAAGACAATAAGGTGTCTGCAAATGGTTACAGCTACAAGAGGATATGAAGCTATTTGCATGTCTGTCTCTAGGGGAAGCAGCCAGATGTGTTAGAAACAGTTCCAGTTCAGAGCTTGCGGCCACCTGTGAGCTGGGTGACTTGGGGAGAAGGAAAACAGGTACAAGCAGAAGACATTTGGAGTTCCGGCTCTATACAATGCTGAATGCCAGGCAGGCACTTCAGTGGAAGTCATTTTATATAACCCTCCCTTCCTCACTACCATCCCGAGATGTATTATTTCTATCATACAGATGAGGAAACAAGTGCAGAGAGGTTCTTGCCAACGGTACACAGTTAATAAATGACAGATCCTCTAGGATGATACAGCAGGGAAATGTTTATTATCTCTGAGTGTTCCCAACAGTGATTGGCCCCATGAGAAGGGCGTGCAGAGGGGACGTGAAATGCACAGAAAGAACTTAAACTCCAGTTGCATCCCTTAGTAAAGATAATAACATGAAAACAGGGGCCTGGGGTTTAAGTAACTCAGTAAAGGTGATGGGGCAGGGGCAACATATCTGTCTGACACATCTGGTCAAAATGCTGACATCAAAGTCTTCAAGCACAAACACACGCACACACACATGACTACCCCAACGCTGATTTCATTGCTCAGGAGCAGAGCACTGTAGCCAAGGGTAGGCTCTAAGGGTGTTAGAATTCCTGCCTCAAATCCTGGCCCCTCCACTGGCCAGCAGAGTGATCTTCTGCAAGCTTCTTAACCCCCTGCATCTCAGTTTGCTCACCAATAAGATGGAAATAATGAGAGAACCTGCCTGATAAAGTTATTAAGAGGAGGACATGAGCGGAAAGCACTGAGTGCATTGGCTGCCACAACTCTCAGGCGCACATTTCCATATTTCAATTTCTCGCAAATAAGGATGCATCCTACAACCATAGTCTTCTTAGACTGGATGAAATAAGGATAGAATGATGATGCTGACGATAATGACGTAGTGCATCCCTTACTTCCTTTCCACCTCCCTCCGTCCCATCCCCATCCCCATCTCAAAGCCCAAACTCCTGGATGGAGTGTTTGTTCTCAACTTCTCTTCCTTTTTCTTTTAGTTTGCTACAAGTTGAATGCTTTGTTTTCCAAGCCAAGACAAATCTCCTCAAATTCAAATGGCAAAGTGCCACAGCATCAAAATGCCCTGTGCCTTCTGAGGCTTGCTAAGATGCAGGGAGGCAGCTCCAGGGTAACAGGCCCTTTGAGACCACCTGTGCCCGAGCCACTCCTCACACAGCCAAGGTCACTGCCCTGGATGTCATGAACAGCTGGGGAAGTCTCTGTCAGGTTAGACAGAGGTAGTGGGTCTTCAGCAGTACCCAGAAAGACCCTCCCCACCCTCCTGCCCACCAAATAACTGCCTCAGCCCTCACTGAGGCCAGAAATCCCAGGCAGTGTTCCTTTAAATCAACGGTTTCCAGTCACTCGACAATGTTTGGCCACTACATCAAATCATAACCAGCTTTCTCAAAGTCTGAAAAACTACAAGAAGTTGTGGTTCAAATAAATAAATAGGGATAAATTTTCCTCAATTATCAAGCTTTCTCCCATAAAACTTTGTTAAACAGTTGACACAGCTGTGCTTGAATCATAAACACAGATATACATATATAAACATAGATAGTACTAATATCTCAACAAATATTAGTATGTCATGAAGACTTCCAGATATCTGCCACCTGGCCAAGCTTGAGGTTGTTCCCCCAGCAGAAGCTAATGCAAGTCAACACCCTGAAGCTAATGAAGGCCAACACCCTTGGGATCAGAGTCCAAAGTCCTCAAGGATAAGGATGCAAGAAGCATCCATTTATCAGAGGTTCTACTCAGAAAAGGCTGATGGGAGAAGTAGCTCCTGCATGTCCAAGGTCAGGAGTTCAGGGACAGAAATCAGGACAGAACAGGAGGGCCAGAAAAACACCAGAAAAGGCAGAAAAGGCACTCAGATTTTTGCCTTTCACTTTGTCCTGATCTCAATAAACATCAATATTCAAGGCTTCACTTGCTTTTCACGATGAGTGTATTGGAACTGAAAGTTCTGAGACAATTATAAGAAATATGAAAACCCAGGCTAGGTGCAGTGGCTCATGCTTTTAATCCCAGCACTTTGGGAAGCCAAGGCAGGAGGATTGCTTGAGGCCAGGAGTTCAAGACCAGCCTGGACTTGAAACCCCGTCTCTACAAAAAAAGAAAACAAGAAATATGAAAATTCCCCTTCCTTCCAACTGAAGTATGGAGCCTCAGAAGACTGAGCACCCATTTCTTGACAAAATCCTCCTGGCCCAGCTATATCCTAGAAGTAAATTACAACAAGTAGAGAGAAAAAATTGGGCTCCCAAACTTCCAGGAAGCTTTGCATGGGGCACAATCCTAGCTGTTATAGAGGTTGAAAGTTAAGTTACATATTTTTCTACCATTCTCTGATTGTGTCTGACATACTGAATATTCATTTATTTTGCCTTTAATTTATCCATAATCGACATGTCTACCATGCATGAGGGCTTAAAGCTCCACTGAAATAAATTACATCCCATGGTATTTAGAAACAGGCAGCCTAACATCTAATCTAATTGACCTAATTAACCCTTTTCTTAAATGCCCATGCTTTACTATATCAGCCAGAGCATACAGTGAACGCTTTTGGCTTTATTGTGGCTGAACAATATTAGAAACTTTAGTCAAATCCAGAACCCAATCTTTAGTTTCAATTTCCTTTCGTACTCCAGCTCAAGCCTGAAATCTTCCTTCTTGTAAACAAAAACCACAAAAGATATTCTATCCCCCATTCCCCAAATGTAGGGGGAAAGTCACAAATGATGTCTGGCTTCAATCCCCTAATGAACTAGCTGAAGGGCCTTGAAAGCAAAAAGACGACGCTTTTATTGAAAGTTCAGGCCTTTTTCTTCAAATGTCCATTAGAATAAAAGGGACTGGTAACTTAGGGATGATCTTATGTGATCATTGTCCACAGTCTTCAATTATAAGCAATGATTCTGTGTGCTCCTTGATGACCAAAGCTGGTGGAGAGTACGGTAATTAACCCAGATGATTCAGAAGCAGCAGAGGATCCAATGCATCACTTCTGGTCATCTTGATACTGCTAGACCTTAGACATTTAGCTTTTATCTCCAATTACATTTTGGCTTAAACAGTTATTCAAATTACCTTCCATCTGTGGGATACAAGCTGGTTGGGTGTAGTGGGTCTACACAATTAGAGCGGGCAACAGATTTAAAGCAGGCAATGTGTGGATGTGCCCTCCCCTGCCGGGCTGCTGAGGAATACACCCCGGGGAGAGGGGCGGCGCATCCACACATTGACAAATGAAAGTTACCCACGTTACCATGTATCATTCTCTTGAAATTACATTTGAGATAAAACAGTAAGATAGTAGCCCATTTCTGACATGGGAATGATAATAACGAATGCCTGTTTCATTGTCTGTTCCGACATGTGCTCCACACTCATCTTCAGTGTCCCTCATTTTAAAGATGAGAAATCCAAGGTCAGGGAGGTTAAGTGATGCCCCCAAGGTCACAAGATCAATCGCTGGCATCTCCACTCTATTGATGCAACAAAAATGGAGGCTGGGCAACATCAAGTGACTTGTCCAGGGACAAGAGCAAAGTGGTGGGGCAAAGACTTCAACCCAGGTAAATTGGACCCAAGTCTAGTCTTATTCCCTCTACACAACAACTGCCTCCCACATGAAGGCTAAAAAGAAAGAGCAGATATTCACTGAGCAACCACATGGTACTAGGAGCCCAGGAATGGAGGAGGGGAAACAGACCCAACCCTCGCCAAGCTTAAAGAGCAAGCAGAGCTTCTGCTCTTCTTCAAGCATCTCTCTCTCATTGCTTAAGGGTAACAAGGAAACAGGGGCATGTAACCAAGCCCTTTGATAAGTACCTGGGCACCTTCTCATGGCTTCTTCTGGTCAAAGACAGCATCAAGTTGCTTTTTGTTGCTACTTTGAGTAGGACCAGGCCCAAAATAGGCCCTCAACAAACATTTTGCATTACGTGAGTTAATTAATCCAGCTTTGAAGCTGAGACAACTGCATGTCACAAGAGCCTAACATTTTCCTAGCTTTTACCTGAGAACATGAGGGGTTTGGCTCTCACATGGCAGTCTATCTCCAATTAACACTGTTGGCTTTTCACAGCCTCCTCAAGAATTCCTATCTCTCTATCTCCAATTAACACTGTTGGCTTTTGCCTCCTCAAGAATTCCTGTCTCAGAGAGCTTGCTGAGCGCTTTCCATGGCTTACATGTGAATCACTTTTCACACTGCAAGGACAGTGACTAAATAGTATCAGACAGGACTTAGGGATTCTGGGACAGAATAAACCACGCCAGAAAGCCGATGACTCAATTCTCCACTTTTCAACTCGTGCTGTCATCCCAGAGAGACAGCCAACGGACCCAGCGCTCTCATCACAATAGAGGCAGGGGGTTCTGAAAATGCAACCAGAAAGATAAAGATCTTAGGAAAGACACTCAAACAGAAAGATCTGCTCAGAGCCAAAGATTGATTCTACCCAAATGCAGGAAAAGAAAAATGGAGAAGTCACCAAATCTATAAATGATTTTCGGAAGAATATTCAATTCAGGAAAACTTATCGTTAGGTGTATTATATTACAAGGCATCTAGTTCAACGGAACTCGGGGTTCAACGACTGGGAAGATCCGAGCAGTGGCAAGTCAATGGGTCTGGAGACCAGGAAGTCAGTGATGGGCTGAGATCCTAACCAGCGATGTGACCTCAGGTCAGAACCACCCCCTGTTGCTGGGTCTTGATATCCTCATCTATAAATAAGGGGGGATTTAGTCTATATAAGATTCCTTCCGGCTGCAAAATTCACTACTTCTGCACCTCCCAGTCCACTCCCTTCTACCGCTGTGAAGTTCACCAAAATTCCACTGGCACCGTGCTCCAGCCCTGAACAGGCTGGCTTTTGTGGACTTCCCTCAGTGCATGGTAACCACAGAAATAAACCCAAATACACCAAAAAATGTAAAGGGGTCGTGAGTGCTGTTGTACTTATGAAGTCAGCAGTGTGAAATGTATAACAAGATTGTCTACAGATCTTTTGTTGACACGTGGTAAGAAAAATCTCCTCTTCAGTATAAAAAGGCCCATTTGTTTGGTTCTCAACCAGATCGGTCTTGAGTCAGCGGCATTTGAAACTGGAGCCCCAGTCATAACTGTGGGCTGCCCTTACCCGACACACACATAGGAGGAAAATTTGGATTTTTCACAGATATCCTCTATTCTGCCATGGGAGCCTAGGAAAGCAGGGGAAGTTGCCCTTGGCATTGACCAGACAATGAACTCATCATCCTGCTTCACCCAGAAATAGAAATGAAGTGTTAAACGTAGCTCACTAGTGTCTGCCTCAGCATTACAGACTGAAGTTAAGTTGCCTAAGAAAGTACAGAGTGGGAATGCTTACTTAATCCATGATAATGTAGCCTACCACCCCGATAATCCCACCACCCCACTGTCATCTGAAAGCACTTATTAAGCACCTAGTGTGTACACAGCCCTTCTTTCCTGGAGTGTTCCAAAAAGAGCTCTCAAGTTTGGGCTGCATGAACACAACGTGAATGTACTTCATGCCACTGAACTGTACACTAAAAATGGTTAAAATGGTAAATTTTATGTTATGTGTATTTTACCATTTTCTTAAATACCAAAAAAAAAAAAAAAAAAAAAAAAAAAATGAAGGGCTGCAGCCCTCAGATACACGAATCATACCGGTGCAAAACAGAAACACTCTGTCAGGCAGATATTTCCAGCACGTCCCCAAAGTGTCTGGGGCTGCTGATAATAACCTTTGCCCTGGCCCTGAGTGACCATGGTCTTTTGTTGAAGCACCCCACCTGGAGCCTTAGACTGAACCCACAGTCATTTCCACCCCTCTGGAGTCTTAGTACCGAGGTCCAGGGATTCTCCAATATGAATGTTCCTGGCACCCTCACCCCTGCAATGCCACCACCCTGAATGTCTTCCTCAGAGCACTGTCCCCACCCGACATGGCCTCATCCCTGTCCCCAGTTCCTCCTCCATCCCTTAATGGCAACATGAATGTTGGAGGAACGTGAATGTCCCTCAGCGCAGCCTGGAGTGGTGTCAATGCAGATTCCTAGGCCCCCAAAATCCAGATCCGGATTCAATAGGCCTATCTCGAGGCCCAGAAATCTGCCCTTTTAAACACATTCCAGGTGATTTTTAAGGATTTGGGAATGATTTAAAGGCCCTGGCTAAATGGAAGTGGGTGGTTGACCAAATGCAGCCTTCTCCTGGGCTTTGGAAATGACCAGAGACTGCAGCCATGGGAGGTGCTCCCAGCTCTTGCTCTCCAGTTCAGAGCTCTTCTCTGAAGAACTTCTCTGAAGAGTCCGTTGCTCTTTTCCAAGTTCTGTGAGGCCCCTGACCAAGTCCTTGAACAAGTAACAGGCTCATATATATGGTTCTGCCACCTTTCCCTTTCTAGTGGACGGTCACCCGGAACCAGAACTCCCAGATTCCAGGCCCAGCCCTCCACCACACATTTTGCATCACTGCACCTCAGTCTTCCCCTCTGCAAAATGGGCCTGCTAATACCTGCCCTGGCTTCCGCTAGGCCCACTGTGTCAGGGATTCCAGCCCCTGTTCTTCCAAGCGTGTGACCTTGGGCTCCTTAGGTTTCACCTCTCTGGGTCTCAGCTTCCACATCTTGAAAGCAGGAATAAACACAGTACTTAGTTCATAGAGTTCCTGGGAGGACACAGTAGGCTAAGGCAAGAAAAGCTCTCCTGCCACTGAGAAGCACAGTGAATACTTAACGTGAACCACCATCACGCCTGTGAGTAAGTTGACATGGATATACTGTACTTGGGAGGGAACAGGCATAAGAGAGAACAGTTCTCACACTTCTATTTTAGAGACCAAAGCTCATGCACACATGCCACCCACCCACCCGAGGGCCATGGTTTGTAATCACAGGGTGGGTGGCATTCGTGCATGAGCTTTGGTTTCTAACAATAGAAGACAAGAATGAATTTTGAAGAAGCTAACCCTTTTATTTACAATGTTGAGTTCCTCTACTCCCCAGGCAGAGACCAAGGAATACCCCGATAAGCAATTTCTGAGCACTGCCGAAGTAGGAAAGGGCAGGACGGGCCCTTCTGACGAAGCAGTGGCCTCCAAACCTGTTGCCTGCAGAACAGCCTCCTTCAGAAGAGGACCACTCTGTGGCTCGGCATCCTTTACCCTGACAGCTGGCTCATGCAGGCCAGGCTGCAACCTGCACTCCACCCAACCCCACAGAACAGCACCTGCTGGCCACTCAGCAGCTCACTCAGAACACACCCAGGAAACTTCCTTCAAACGGACAGATGTTCCTGCTCCCAGGCCTTTCTTTGCCTATCAGTTGTCTAAGTTAAGACCCCCTTCACCCGGATTATCACAGAGGACTCGCAGAGGCCTTCCTGGCACCCTCATCCCTGCAATGCCACTACCTTTCATGTCTTCCTCAGAGCACTGTCCCCACCTGACATGGCCTCATCCCTGTCCCCAGTTCCTCCTGCATCCCTTAATGGCAAGCTCCTGGGGCCTTTTCTGTTCATAGCAAGAACACTGTCTGGCACACAGCAGACACTCAGAAAATACTTGTTTACTGGATTGTGTATCCTGTTTAGGGCAAACACAAAGCCCCGTCACCCTGGGATCATCCCAGTTTATGCCTGTGGGCCTGTGGTCCTACACTCTTTTTTTTTTTTTGAGACAGGATCTCACTCTGTAACTCAGGCTGGGGTGCAGTGGCACAGTCTCGGCTCACTGCAACCTCTGCCTCCTGGGTTCAAGTAATTCTTGTGCCTCAGCCTCCTGAGTAGCTGGAATTGCAGGTGCATGCCACCACGCCGGCTCATTTCTTTGTATTTTCAGTAAAGATGGGGTTTCATCATGTTGGCCAGGCTGGTCTTGAACTAGTGAACTCAAATGATTCACCTGCCTTGGCCTCCCAAAGACCTGGGATTACAGGCATGAGTCACCACGCCCGGCCTCTACAGTCATTTTTAATAGTTCCTTTTTCTTTCTTTTTTTCTTTTTTTTTAATTATACTTTAAGTTTTAGGGTACATGTGCACAATGTACAGGTTTGTTACATAGGCATACATGTGCCATGTTGGTGTGCTGCACCCATTAACTCGTCATTTACATTAGGTATATCTCCTAATGCTATCCCTCCCCCAACCCCCACCCCACAACAGACCCCAGTGTGTGATGTTCCCCTTCCTGTGTTCAAGTGTTCTCATTGTTCAATTCCCACCTATGAGTGAGAACATGCGGTGTTTGGTTTTTTGTCCTTGCGATAGTTTGCTGAGAATGATGGTTTCCAGCTTCATCCATGTCCCTACAAAGGACATGAACTCATCATTTTTTATGGCTGCATAGTATTCCATGGTGTATATGTGCCACATTTTCTTAATCCAGTCTATCATTGTTGGACATTTGGGTTGGCTCCAAGTCTTTCCTATTGCGAATAGTGCCACAATTAACATGTGTGCATGTGTCTTTATAGCAGCATGATTTATAATCCTTTGGGTATATACCCAGTAATGGGATGGCTGGGTCAAATGGTATTTCTAGTTCTAGATCCCTGAGGAATCGCCACACTGACTTCCACAATGGTTGAACTAGTTTACACTCCCACCAACAGTGTAAAAGTGTTCCTATTTCTCCACATCCTCTCCAGCACCTGTTGTTTCCGGACTTTTTAATGATTGCCATTCTAACTGGTGTGAGATGGTATCTCACTGTGGTTTTGATTTGCATTTCTCTGATGGCCAGTGATGATGAGCATTTTTTCATGTGTCTTTTGGCTGCATAAATGTCTTCTTTTGAGAAGTGTCTGTTCATATCCTTCGCCCACTTGTTGACGGGGTTGTTTGTTTTTTTCTTGTAAATTCGTTTGAGTTCATTGTAGATTCTGGATATTAGCCCTCTGTCAGATGAGTAGATTGCAAAAATTTTCTCCCATTCTGTAGGTTGCCTGTTCACTCTGATAGTAGTTTCTTTTGCTGTGCAGAAGGTCTTTAGTTTCATTAGATTCCATTTGTCAATTTTGGCTTCTGTTCCCATTGCTTTTGGTGTTTTAGACATGAAGTCTTTGCCTGTGCCTATGTCCTAAATGGTATTGCCTAGGTTTTCTTCTAGGGTTTTTATGGTTTTAGGTCTAACATTTAAGTCTTTAATCCATCTTGAATTAATTTTTGTATAAGGTGTAAGGAAGGGATCCAGTTTTAGCTTTCTACATGTGGCTAGCCAGTTTTCCCAGCACCATTTATTAAATAGGGAATCATTTCCTCATTTCTTGCTTTTGTCAGGTTTGTCAAAGATCAGATAGTTGTAGATGTATGGCATTATTTCTGAGGGCTCTGTTCTGTTCCATTGGTCTATATCTCTGTTTTGGTACCAGCACCATGCTGTTTTGGTTACTGTAGCCTTGTAGTATAGTTTGAAGTCAGGTAGCGTGATGCCTCCAGCTTTGTTCTTTTGGCTTAGGATTGACTTGGCAATGCGGGCTCTTTTTTGGTTCCATATGAACTTTAAAGTAGTTTTTTCCAATTCTGTGAAGAAAGTCATTGGTAGCTTGATGGGGATGGCACTGAATCTATAACTTACCTTGGGCAGTATGGCCATTTTCACGATATTGATTCTTCCTATCCATGAGCATGGAATGTTCTTCCATTTGTTTGTATCCTCTTTTATTTCATTGAGCAGCGGTTTGTAGTTCTCCTTGAAGAGGTCCTTCACATCCTTGTAAGTTGGATTCCTAGGTATTTTATTCTCTTTGAAGCAATTGTGAATGGGAGTTCACTCATGATTTGGCTCTCTGTCTGTTATTGGTGTATAAGAATGCTTGTGATTTTTGCACATTGATTTTGTATCCTGAGACTTTGCTGAAGTTGCCTATCAGCTTAAGGAGATTTTGGGCTGAGACGATGGGGTTTTCTAGATATACAATCATGTCATCTGCAAACAGGGACAATTTGACTTCCTCTTTTCCTAATTGAATACCCTTTATTTCCTTCTCCTGCCTGATTGCCCTGGCCAGAACTTCCAACACTATGTTGAATAGCAATAAAGATCTAAAACTGACACCCTAACATCACAATTAAAAAGTAGAGAAGCAAGAGCAAACACATTCAAAAGCTAGCAGAAGGCAAGAAATACCTAAGATCAGAGCAGAACTGAAGGAGACAGAGACACAAAAAAACCTTCAAAAGATCAATGAATCCAGGAGCTAGTTTTTTTAAAAAGATCAACAAAATTGATAGACTGCTACCAAGACTAATAAAGAAGAAAAGAGAGAAGAATCAAATAGATGCAATAAAAAATGATAAAGGGGATATCACCACCGATCCCACAGAAATACACACTATCATCAGAGAATACTATAAACACCTCTATGCAAGTAAACTAGAAATTCTAGAAGAAATGGATAAATTCCTTGACACATACACCTTCCCAAGACTAAACCAGGAAGAAGTTGAATCTCTGAATAGACCAATAACAGGCTCTGAAATTGAGGCAATACTTAATAGCTTACCAACCAAAAAAAGTCCAGGACCAGACGGATTCACAGCCGAATTCTACCAGAGGTACAAGGAGGAGCTGGTACCATTCCTTCTGAAACTATTCCAATCAATAGAAAAAGAGGGAATCCTCCCTAACTCATTTTATGAGGCCAGCATCATCCTGATACCAAAGCCTGGCAGAGACACAACAAAAAAAGAGAATTTTAGACCAATATCCCTGATGAACATCGATGCAAAAATCCTCAATAAAATACTGGCAAACCGAATCCAGCAGCACATCAAAAAGCTTATCCACCATGATCAAGTGGGCTTCATCCCTGGGATGCAAGGCTGGTTCAACATATGCAAATCAATAAACATAATCCAGCATATAAACAGAACCAACGACAAAAACCACATGATTATCTGAATAGATGCAGAAAAGGCCTTTGACAAAATTCAACAACCCTTCATGCTAAAAACTCTCAATAAACTAGGTATTGATGGGACGTATCTCAAAATAATAAGAGCTATCTATGACAAACCCACAGCCAATATCATACTGAATGATCAAAAACTGGAAGCAGTCCCTTTGAAAACCGGCACAAGACAGGGATGCCCTCTGTCACCACTCCTAATAGCTCCTTTTTCTAGTCTAACCAGTGGCTGGATTTGATAATACATCTTGCACTGTTTTGATGAGAGGTGATACGGTCCAGGGGTTAGGAGCCAGAAAGGTCTGGAGTCAGACAAACTTCATCATCAGACCTGAGCTGCCACTTCCTCTTGTGTGGTGATCCTCACAAGCCATGACCCTCTCTGATCAAAGTGTCCACAGCACTTCAGGAGACTGAAAGCCTGTGTCTACAAGCACTGACAAGTGGGACGCTGGAGGCGTTCAGTCAACATTGTTCTTAATAATATTGTCTGTCGCCGGGTGCAGGACTCAGACCTGTAATCCCAGCACTTTGGGAGGCCGAAGCGGGCGGATCACCTGAGGTCAGGAGATCAAGACCAGCCTGACCAACAGGGGGAAACCCCATCTCTACTAAAAATACAAAATTAGCCAGGCATGGTGGCACATGCCAGTAATCCCGGCTACTTGGGAGGCTGAAGTGGGAGAATCGCTTGAACCCAGGAGGCAGAGGTTGCAGTAAGCTGAGATCGGGCCATTGCACTCCAGCCTGGGCAATAAGAGCAAAACTCCATCTCAAAAAAAAAAAAAAAATTGTCTGTCCTCCAAAGACAAACTACTGAGTCCACCACCTGCTAGCTATGTGACCTCAGCTGATTAACTTATCCTCTCTGCCATTTTCTCATCTCCAAGATGAAAACAAGAATTCCTACGTTCCAGGCTGGTTTTGAGAATTATTAGATGATATCATTCAGGAAAAGCACAGTGCGCTGGGTGAGGTGGCTCACGCCTGTAATTCCAGCACTTTGGGAGGCCAAGGTGGGTGGATCACCAGCAGTCAGGAGTTCGAGACCAGCCTGGTCAACATGGCGAAACTCCGTCTCTACTAAAAATACAAAAAATAGCCGGGTGTGGTGACAGGCGCCTGTAATCCCAGCTACTCAGGAGGCTGAGGCAGGAGATTCACTTGCACTTGGGAGGGAGAGACTGCAGTGAGCAGAGATCACGCCACTGCACTCTAGCCTGGGTGACAGAGCGAGACTCAGTCTCAAAAAAAAAAAAAAAGTGCAGTGGCTTACATATACTGAAACTGAATAAATGGTAGCAATTGTTAATACTGTTGCTATTCCTTCTAAATTCCCGAGTTGCTTGAAGGCAAGAATCTTGTGTATCCACTTCTGTATCCCTAATACTAAATGCCTGGCACATTTTCTTGCAGGAAGGAAAGGAGTAGGCTTCTTCCTGAGGTCCTGCCATGCTCATCCCCAGTGAGCTTGGTTCCTGATTTCAGAGAGAGGCATAGATGGGACACCAAGAAGGCACGTGGCTTGGGTGGGCTGCACAGTGCTGAAAGGTGGAAAGAGGATCTGCTGGAGTGTGGAAGGTTTACAGACGGTAAAATCTGCAGCTGCTCACACACCTACTAGTGGGAGGGGGAGGCTTGCGAAATGTTAAAAATGAGTCGATTTTCTCATATACAACAAGAACAACAACGAAGACAGTGAGGAAAAGAGGAATAAACAAGGTGTGGGTGGAGAAAAACAGGTACCTGAGCCTGGCTCTTGTGAAACAGAACCCTTTAGGAGTAGAGGTGGGGTGGGGAGGGCAGTCACTGGTTTAATACAGATCCTCCCAAATAGGCTGGATCACAGCCGAGCTTACAGATGCTCACTTTGGACTCCTCTGACACCACCAGAGAGATCAAACCCCAGGATATGTTGGTTTTGTAGGTTGTCAGACACGTCAAGACCACTAACTGTTTCTATCAGAATGTAGAAATGTTGCAGACCGTGGAGGGGGCTGTTCAGATGGCCCAGCACTCTGACCGCATGCAAAGGAAGTTCCTTTCGCAACCCGTCCTCTTCCTCCAACTGTAAAGTAAGATTATGAAGCAGAATCAAGAGCCTACACTGAACCTCAAAAGGGAAAGCCCAGGGTTGGGGACTCCCAGTGCAGCATGGTCAATGGTGCCACCCCAATACCACCTGCACCAACATCACCTTCAATAGCAGGACTTATTCCCCTGTGGCTCCATAAACTGGGCAGATCAATGGAGAAGGTGCAGCCTGAAAACCCTGGAGGCATCCCCTAGAATCTGGGCCCCAAATTCCTAGCTTGGAATCTCCCCCACTTCATTATGTTCTTACCCCAGGCATAACAGTTCTGCTGCTGATCAATCCAATAGGTCTGCTGTACCTAAGAGCTATGATGCACTCAGCCACAGAGCTCTGTGTGATGAAGATGCAAAATGGACTCAGACATCCTCTGAGCTCTTCCCCTAAGTTTTGAAGGTAACTGCTCAGGACAGAAAACTGAGATTGTAAGAGACACTGGTCTCGAAGTGAACTGTCCACAAATCCTGAGGATCGTTCCTTTGAACAAATGTATCTGGTTGTTTTTGTTGTGTGCATTTTTTTATTCAGAATATAAAATATTCTGAAAAGCTATGGAGTCTCACAAACTGAGCTCTAGTAACTAAGACGGTAACTCCAGGAGGGTTCTCTATTCCTAGAATTTCTTCCGTCAGAATAACCAAGTTGAGAGGTTTGTCAAATTTTGTTTCATAAGCTAGTAGTTTCACTTTTATTTAGAATCTAGAGCCAGACAATTGGGTTCCAGTCCTGTCACATCCTGGCTCTGTGACCGTGGATACTAACCCTCTCCATGCCTCAGTTTTCTCCTCTGCAAAATGGGGATGAAAATAATAATACTTACCTCTCAGGAGTGTTGTGGGGATTAATGAGCTAATACATGAGAGCAACTAGAAGAGTACCTGGCATACTCTTAGGTACTTTATTCAGTCAGTATTTAATAAATGTCGCTACATACATAGACTGTCTTAAAGAGCTAATGACCTACTTTTATTTTTAAAGATCTCCAATGGTAGGTTTCAACTTTTAGTTTAGAAATACAGAGGCAGTATAAAATAGTGGTTAAGAACATGAACTATAAAGCCATATTGCCTGGGATTGGATCCCAGCTCTGCCCCTTTTTCACTGTGTTAATTTGGTCAAGTTACTTAACCTCTCTGAGCTTTAGTTTCCTTATCTGTAAAATGGAGATAATACTGCCTGCAGGTTTAAGTGAGTTGATAAATACAAGCCACATTATAGATAATAGTAGAGATGACAGGTGCCGCTGTCATTGTATCTCTAGGGGAGGTCCCATCAGCAGCTCCCATGATCACATTTGTAAAATGCCAAGATGCCATTCAAAGTCCCAGGAAGCAACTAGGCAGCCAGCCATTCTCTTCCCATCTCAGCTCTGTTGGAAGTTGCTGACCTACAGCTCATCAGTAAATGTGTACCAAGCAGAAATCAATTAAAATCAGCCACACTTGCTGCTGCAGTCTCCTCTGTTCCCATCCCATGGCAGGGCTGAGGGCTAAGGAGGCAGACAGAGGAGCTGTTGCAAGGACAGTGGGAGGGGGGCCACTGGCACAGTACCTCTTGCTGCTCCATGGCAACGGTAGCTGCTAGACAGCAGAGCAGCAACAACACACTGCAGCAAGAGAGGAAAGTCTGACTCCTCTCGCCAGGCAAAGCACCAGGCCATTCACAAGGCCAGAAGACAGGAAGACCCCGGCCCTAAACAGCAGCCCTGATCATGGGACCCAGCCCAACCTCTGACTCCTGGCATAGAAAAACAACACACATACGAGTCCTTCCTCCAGGCTCACCTGCCCTGGGAAGCCACAAATCCACAGACAAACTTGGTATCTCTGTCTTAGTCTACTCCTGCTGCTATAACAAAATATCCTAGACTAAGGAATTTATCAATGTATTGCTCACAGTTCTGGAGGCTGGGAAGTCCAAGATCAAAGCAATAGCAGATTCGGTGTCTGGCAAGGCACCAAACAGTGATGCCTTCTGTGTCTTCACATGGCAGAGGGGTGAAGAGGCTCCCTCAGGCCTCTTTTATAAGGGCACTAATTCCATTCATGAAGGCAGAGCCCTCAAGACCTAATCACCTCCCAATACTATTGCATTAGGGATTAGGTTTCAACACTTGAATTTGTGGGGGGTACACAAACATTCAGACCATGGCAACCTCTAAACTTTGCACACAGCTCATGGGCTGTGTGACCCTGGATCCTTGCTCAACATTGTCAGGTACACAGGAAAAAATTCACAGGAGAGCTCATGCTAGGTGGAGCTGTGAGGCTCTCACTGGGGACAGAATTAAGTGTTTCAACAGGAATGGAACTAGAGGTACTTTGGGCAGGCAGCAGAGGGGAAGATTCCTGGAGAAGGGAGCTGGATCTTAAAGGACAAAAGGAAATAAAGGAAGAGGCAGGGAGAGAGGGACAGACATAAGCCTCATAAAACATCCACCCAGGGAACACCTTTCTACCCAAAAAGAAACTAATCATTTCAAACAAATGTTTCTCTACCCTCTAGGAAAGGATTGCATTTTCTGCCAGATCTGATTGAAGCAGGCAGATATTTTGTAACTGCACCTCCTTGCCTAGCAAAAAATGTTCCAACTTGTCAGTCATCCTCCATCTCAGGTGCATTCTGCCTGCTCCAGGTGATGTGGCCCATCTGACACATGCAGCTCATTTTCCCAAATATTCCTGCAGCTCAAACTGGCAAGCGTAAGGGATACACTACTTTGTCAGTGTGATAGTGTACTCCATTCTTTAGAGACAGCAACAAGTTTTGCAAATTGGTCCTGATAAAGAACCTCAGATTTAAATGTATTGGGCGGGAGGTGTTCCATCAGGAACAATTTGCAAAACTTGCCAACATAAAATTTACATATACATGTGTGTGTATATATATTTATATTCATTCACCTTACAAGAAGACTGCCTTACACTAGATACTTAAGTCTCTGGGTCTCAATTTCTATAACTATAAAAGTATATATTTTCTCAGGCTCAGGCACTATGGGGAAAAGATTCTAAGGTTCCATTCAGGTTCAGCACAGAGAAAGGTGCTGGGATCCATTAGTGATGTCTGCCGTACTCACACTAGGGGAACATGGGAGGTGTATGTACCTGTAGGTGTTTGTAATTTCCCGAACAGAGGGTAATTTCGACTTTCTAAAGACCTATTCTTTCAAACATTCTGAGCATTGAGTTATAAAGGCCACACTCATGGGTTCAAAGGAGTCCCTCTGCTGCAAAGAGAGGAAAAAGGCTGTCTGTGTTGAGAAGATCCCTCCAGAACCCACCCTCACAATCCCTGAGAGCACACCCCACAGGTCCTCAGGTGAAAGTCACAAAGTTGCTCCTCTGCCAGGACCTGTGGGGATGGAGGACTATCTCCCAGCATGAGAAACCAAGCGTTTTTGTTCAGCTGTTGAGTCACAGTAACTCCTGTGTGAGTCTAAAATTATTTCCATTATGAGTGGCTTTCATTTTGTAGGCAGACCGCCCCCCCACCCCAACCGCTAGATGCAATTTAGAAGAAAGAGCAGAGAAAGGAGAATTTCACACAAGTGACAATAAGGACTGGAATAGACTTTGAGATAGGGCTTAGGGGAAAGAACAGAGAAAGAAGTAATTTATGGGGGACCATAAAGCCTCAAAACCTCTCAGTGAAGAATATTCTAGATTCCCATTAGAGCAGTGACACTGAGGCACAGAGTCATCAGGTTAACTCTCATGAACATCACACGGCCAGAGAATGGCTTCCAAGCCCTTGTTTTTTGCATGCCACAGTCATGCTGCCTGGACATACTCCAGAAGGCTGAGTGTGTCCAGAGAATCTAGAACATTCACAGGCCTAGGAATGGAGGCAAAAGGGGAAGCACAAAGGAGTGAGAATGTGGCTGCCACACAGACCATCCCTGCTCTCCCAAGAAACGTGGTAAGCACACGCCTGCAGGTTCTGTCCCAACTTCTCAGCAACCATAGCCATTTCCCTGTGGCAAACACAGGGAGAAAGTGGTACACAGTGTTCCTTTCTCTCTAAGAGGTGAGCCAGAAGTCTGCCCAATTTCAAGGGCCTGCTGAGAAGAACAACAGAGCACCCTAATTAGCCCAGGTTTCCTAACAACTATGCTGGCGATGCCGGAGCCGCACAAATCCCCTGGGTCTCCTCATCCTGGAGCATTTGTTCTGTCTCTTACTCCCTGCCCCGCTGCCTGAAGACTCCTCAAATACTGGTGATAGAGCGTCTTAGTGCTGGGGGCCTCCTGAGCCATGGGTTAATACTCAGGTAGACAATTTACAAAAGTCCTAGAGGCCAGGCACAGTGGTTTATGCCTGTAATCCCAGCACTTTGGGAGGCCGAGGCAGGTGGATCACTTGAGGTCAGGAGTTCGAGACCAGCCTGGCCAACATGGTGAAACCCCGCCTCTACTAAAAATACAGAAATTAGCCCAGCATGGTGGCACGTACCTGTAGTCCCAGCTACTCGGGAGGCTGAGGCAGGAGAATCGCTTGAACCTGGGAGGTGGAGGTTACAGTGAGCCAAGATCATGCCACTGCACTCCAGCCTGAGCAACAGAATGAGACACTGTCTCCAAAAAAAAAAAAAAAAAAAAAAAAATCCTAGAAAACATGGAGGCTGCCCAGGTGGTCCCAAGAGTCCCTTCCAGGATAGGAATTCAGAGGTAGATACAGCTGGTTTCTCCACCTACCACCATTCGCCACCAGGGAGCCCTTGAGTCCCCACCACTGGAGTCACCCTAGATGTGAATGGCAAATTATCTTATTGGGGGGAAAATAATACTGATGTGGTTTGGCTGTGTCCCCACCCAAATCTCATCTTGAATTGTAGCTCCCATAATCCCCACATGTCACAAGAAGGACCTGGTGGGATGTAATTGAATCAAGGGGGTGGGTTTTTCCTGTGCTGTTCTCATGATAGTGAGTAAATCTCAAGAGATCTCATGGTTTCATAAAGGGCAGTTCCCCTGCACACACTCTCTTGCCTGCCACCATGTAAGATGTGCCTTTGCTCCTCCTTCACCTTCCACCATCATTGTGAGGCCTCCCCAGCCATGTGGAACTGTGAGTCCATTAAATCTCATTTTCTTTATCAATTACCCAGTCTCGGGTATTTCTTGATAGCAGTATGAAAATGTACGAATACAAATACATTGGCAAAGGATCACCGATGTGCATCTTGGACAATTCTATCCTTAGGCAGACTTGGGGAAAAAAGAGGCAAGATTTAACAAGGCTTAATATTGGGAGGGAACTAGGCTCCAAGAGCCTTGCAGTGAGGGGCCACAGGAATAATATCATAACACCAACAGTTACATTGTTTGCAGACCCGCTAAACCCTGAGCACTGTGGTTCCAGCTTCAGAGGCACTATCTCATTTAATTCTCTCAAGAGCACCATGAGGTGGACACTATGATCTCTACTTTAGAGATAAGAAGCTGAGGGATTGAGAGATGAGATGACTTGCCCAAGGCAACACACTAATTGTCATTCGTCCAACACAGATTTATTCCACATGTGCCTCCCGCACTGTCCCAGACTGGGAGCCACAGAGTGGCAAAGTGGGATCTACACCCAAGTGTTTGGACTCTGGAGTGTGTCTGGGCTTCTGTAATGCCCCAGTGGGCTGGTCCCCACAGGGAAACATCAGGTGTTTGCTGAACTATGAAGACACACCGAGGAGACCCACCTGGGAAGCTCAGGTCTCAGCCCACTCTGGGGGGTGCTCATCCTTGGAGCTGCAGAAAAGGGGAAGACTAGGGGGAAACAGGGTTTTGTTAGAGCTCCTAGGGGCAGAGACTGAGTCTACCTGATCCTCGATGCTCCTGGGTGTCTCCACGTAGATCTCAAATAACTGTCCCAGGAACATATTCCAGCCACACCTTAGTAGTGCCAGACCCCAGAACCACTTACACAGAGGGTAACTAAGAGCAGGCTGTGGAGTCAAATGACAACTGAGCACCTATAAGAAACTGAGAAACGCTCCCCACCTGACCCATTCCAGGGCCAAGCAGAGCCTACTCCAAACCCCTCCCGAACCATACAACCCCAGAAAGCCCCTTACATGTGCGCTGAAAACCACCAAGAGCAAACATCCACAACCACTCCCACCAGATCCAGAACAAGAACACCAACCCCCACCATCTCAACAGTCTACCCCATGGAAGAAGGATGGGTTTATTTCCTGCCAATTTATCATGGAAAAGGTCATGTTCTGCGAGGCTATTAAACAAGCTAAAATTACATTTATGGATGAAAAGGCTATTATGACTGTTGAAGAATTCATGCATGGCACACTGGAGATAGTCAAGGTAAACAAAAAAGTTTTTAAGCTGATGGATGATGTGACCTAGGAAATACAAAGATGAATGAGACAAAGATCCCCAAGCTTTCTTAGGAGCATACAGCCCCTTGAGCGAGAGTGAAAAAGGCTACTATGGAAGTGATCACAACGACTGCTTTGAGTGTTTCCCTCATGCTGGACACGGTCTAAGCACAGCAGACACCATCAGCTCAACAATGGCCGAGCACAGTGGCTCACACCTGTAATCCCAGCACTTAGGGAGGCCGAGGCAGGCGGATCACTTGAGGTCAGGAGTTCGAGACCAGCCTGGCCAACAGGCAAAACCATCTCTACTGAAAATACAAAAATTAGTCAGGCTTGGTAGTGAGCGCCTGTAATCCCAGCTACTCGGGAGGCTGAGACACGAGAATCACTTGAACCCGGGGGGACGGAGGTTGAGTGAGCCAAGATCATGCCACTGCACTCCAGCCTTGGCAACAGAGCAAGACTACATCTAAAACAAACAAACAAACAAACAACAACAACAAAAAAAACCACTTCACAACAACCCTCTATGAGGTGAGTTCTGTTACTACCATACCCATTTCACAGATGGGGAAACTGAGGCACCAAAATGGTAAGCCAACACAGTGGAGAATCAAGAATGCCCCTTTAACCCATTATGTGCTTTGAGAAGGTGCCAAGAGGCAGACAAATGTCCAGTCGTCATGAATTGCCACCTCTGTTGCCTATATGAGAATTCACAAAGTCCTGTCCCTCATGCTCAGGTAGGGCCCCCAAAGACTCAGCCCTAACTCAACGTAGCTACCGGACCCTGGGCAGGCCCGGCAGGCAGGCTTTCTGGTCCTCTGTGAGATAAGGATTGGATTAATAATGCCTAAGCCCCCTTGAGCTCTAAAATCTTGCAACTAAACCAGGATACGATCACCTTTCGTTGGATAATGATTTTGATATCATTGAGAAATGGGTGCTGAATTCTAAACACACTAAACCAACCAATTTGCCAACAGGACAAAGTGCAGTCACTTTAGCCTGAGGAGACTTTTGAGTTTTGCTCTGGGCCAGGGAAGGTTCTGGAAGGCTCAAGCAAAGGCTCTGACCACTATTACGGGCTCTGCGCTTTTTCCTACCAGAGTAACTCAGGTGCAGGGGGAAGATGGCCTCATCTTCTCTGTGTTTACAGAGCTGCAGGTGACCCTCAAAGGCAGTAGGAAGTCTAAATCCCTTCGAAATGGTAATTCCCAAATCATATCTGTCCACCTAGAGCTGGTTTTCCTAACCCTGCCCACTTGACCTCTGTGGGACCTAAGCCCTCTCCTACCAGCATGAGCAGGCTCCTCCGTGGTGACCCGTATTTCTGCGAATCAATTCCATTTCGGGTGGATGACAGTGCTGCTAGGAACAACACCAACCAGAGCACTAGTGTCCCCTCCATGTCAGTGGCATTTCTGGAAACGAGGCCCAGCCAGGAAGGTGGGGGCAGAAAAACTAGATATATCCAGAGCAGAAACACCAGATTGGAACCAGGAGACTGGGCAGTAGGAGCTATTGAGGGTATGAGCTCTGGAGTCCAGCATTCCCAAGTTCCAATCCCTCCTCTGACTTCCCTAAGCCTCAGTCTCCCTAATCCCAGCTACTCCGGAGGCTGAGGCAGGAGAATCGCTTGAATCCGGGAGGCAGAGGTTGCAGTGAGCCGAGATCACACCACTGCACTCCAGCCTGGCGACTGAGTGAGACTCTGTCTCAAAAAAAAAAAAAAAATGGACCTAATAATGGGACCTACGCAGTAAGACCGTTGTGAGGATTAACCAGAAATAGCACCTATGAAACCCTTAGCGCAGTGGCTGGCACCAAGCAAGCATTCAATGACAATAATAATACAGAAGATACAGGGCGTTGTTTTCCATTAGACTCCAGCAGAATCAAATCATTTCCAATTCAAGCTGTGGGTGAGCCCTGAATCATTCCACTTCAAAATTCAGAATTATCTTTTATTTTGCTGTGGCAGAGACTTCACTTGTTCCCCAAAACCTGGTCTTGCCTTCTTTCATAGTGTTAGAAACTGAGTCAGGCACGCTGGTACCTAGAATAAAGACCAGCTAAAAACCCCTTTGAACAAGAAGTACACCACATGGCCCAGTTCTGGCCAATGGGATTATGAAGACACCCTTTGTCACTGTTCCCCCTTTCCCTGCAAGGGATAAGAATGTAGTGGAGAGCCATCCTGGGCTACATGGATAAGGTCAACCCTCAGTGTGGGGGCAGAACAACAAGATGGGAGGGGTCTGGGCTTCTGATGCCATGGCGTCGCCACATCAGGCCATGTCAGGACTGTTTAGTGAGAGATGAACTCCCATCTTCTGAAAGCCATTGCTATCTGGTTGCCATGGAATAGCAGCCAGTCCTATAACCTAATACACTCATGTTTCTTCATCTGACACTCACAAATAGCACATGAGTTTGGTAAAATTATCTTACTCATCTCGCAGATGGGAAAAAGTACCATAAGGAAGTTAAGTGACTAGTCTAAGCCAAGCCCCTCTAAGTCACTGAGCTAGAATTTCAGCTCCAATTTGAGCACTCTTCTCCCAGGTTATGTGACACTTCTGTTGCAGACTCTGTCCCCGGAAGACATGGCTGACCACAGCAATGTCACAGCAGAATTCGATTCACAGCAAATCCAGTGAGCACCTTGGCATTCTGCTAATTCCAAGAGACCCAGAATGCGTGAAATGCAGCCCCCATACTCAAGGAGCTCACAGTCTAATAGAAGGGTTTATAATGGAGGATGTAGCAGCAACAGTTTGCAAAGGGTTTTCAGATTCACTATGGAAAAGCAGAACAAGGACATCACCTGCAGAAACTAAGCTTGTAGAGGTTAAATGACAAATCCAAGACCACTCCATAAGTGGAGGAACTGGAACTAGAAACCTTATCTTTCAAATTCAAGTCTTGTGCCTTTTCTGCTGCCCAATTATAAAGTACCATAAAGTACTAATGCTGCCTGCTGAGGTATGACCGTCTCTTCCCACCCCTATCTCAAGATGCTTCCCGGTGCTGATCCATGTTTTTGAGTTTGAATAGCACACATCAAATTCACCCCATCAAAGACTGAATTCCTAGAAGGTACCATGAACCCCCCCATGGCTCAACCAAACCTTCCCACTCCTCTGCCATGTTGAATTCTTAGATTAACTACAAAGCAGTGCCTCTCTATCTATGAGCAGAAGGTAAACTGCAAACAGGGTTGAACAGAACCATATTCATACAACTGCCTTATCTTTTTTCAATACTAATTTGGTTTCCTGCAGGCCTTTCATGTGCATCTGGTCAATACTAACCTGGATTATAATCAATCAAACACCCAACCTTGACTATTAAGACCCTATGTAATCTAACCCTTGCCTGCCTCTCCCACCCAATCCAGCCTCATCATTCCTCTAACATGCCTAGCTCATCCCCAACTCTGAGCCTTTGTCCTTGGTATTCCCTCTGCCACAAACACTCTTCCCTTAGAAATTCCCATGGCTCACCCTTCCCATCCCTTCAGTCTCTGCTCAAAAGCCACCCTTCAGGGAAGACTTCCTCAACGGTACCTTCCAAAATATTAGGTTGGTGCAAAAGTAATTACTGTTTTCTCCACTACTTTTAAAATGGCAAAAACCACAATTACTTTTGCACCAACCTATAGCTTTCCCACTTCATCACTCCATTTCCTAGCCCTGCTTAAATGGCATTCTTCATTACCCCAAATTATGTTATTTACCATGCATGTGTTTATTTTATTTTATTTTATTTATTTTATTTTTTTGAGATGGAGTTCCACTCTTGTTGCCCAGGCTGGAGTGCAATGATATGATCTTGGCTCACTGCAACCTCTGCCTCCCAGGTTCAAGCGATTCTCCCACTTCAGCCTCCAGAGTAGCTGGGATTACAGGCGCCCACCACCATGCCCGGCTAATTTTTGTATTTTTAGTAGAGAGGGGGTTTTACCATGTTGGTCAGGCTGGTCTCGAACTCCTGACCTTAGGTGATTCACCTGCCTTGGCCTCCCAAAGTGCTGGGATTACAGGCATGGGCCACCGCGCCCAGCCGTGTTCACTTGTTGACAGTCTGTCTTCCCCACCAGAATGGAGGCTCCATGAAGGGAGGGACTTTGTTTACTTTAATGCCATCTCCTTAGTCCTGGAATGAAGGCTGGCACATAGTAGGTGCTCAGTAAGTACTTGAGAAGTGAATGGATGAATTAATTTGTTGAACATTTACTACATGCCAAGTACTGTGCTAGGCTCTGGGGATACAGCAACTGAAAAACAAAAACAAAATACTATCCCTGTCCTTGAGTTTACAGCTTAGAGAGGCGATACCTAGAGAGGTAGCCAAGCCCAGAAGTGCTAGGAGAGTCCCATGGTGTTCTGGAAGCACAGAAAAGACAACACCGTCCCTGTTCCCACCCCACTGATTGATACTGGGGAACCACAGCTCCTCCCTCTCGGTGGGAACACAACCTTGTAAGACACACTCCTGCCTCAGAAGCCTACCGTCCAGAAGCAGATTGCACCCACCTCCAATGGAGAATGCAGCTGTGCTATTAAGATGGGTTTGTTACTCACCTGCTTAGGAAGCAGTCACCCACATAGAAACCTAAAATCATTTTTGAAAAGTCTCTATTAGAGATGCTCCTGGTGCCCGAGGACTTAGAATTAAAAATTTCTAGGCCAGGTGCGGTGACTCAAGCCTGTAATCCCAGCACCTTGGGAGGCCAACGTGGGCAGATCACTTGAGGTCAGGAGTTCAAGACCAGCCTTGGCAACATGTTGAAACCCTGTCTCTACCAAAAAATACAAAATTAGCTGGGCGTGGTGGCACACACCTGAAGTCCCAGTTACTTGGGAGGCTAAGGCAGGAGAATTGCTTGAACCCAGGAGGTGGAGGTTGCAGTGGCCCAAGATCGCGCCACTGCACTGCAGCCTGGGGGACAAGAGTGAGAACCTGTCTCGGGGGGGCGGGGGGGGGAATTTCTGCTGAACAGAGAGAATGACAATAGTCAACAGAATTAATTCTGTACACTTTGGGAGGGGAGGGGCGGAGAGGGTACAGAAATGGGGGCCTCCAATTTGCAGGAATTGGTACAATTCAGATGAACATCATTCAGAGAATAAGGAGACTTCGAGCTCCCTCCCCAGCTTTTCCTTAAAACAAATCATAAAGACAGGTACAGAGAAGGGGCCTAGGAGACAGCCAGGCAGAGGGCTAGGGGCTCGGTTTCAAGAAGTCTCATCTACCTCAAGTCACAGACAGGTGCGAAGGCTTCGACAGGTCCCGCTCTGGCCCTGGCATGCCCACCAGCAGGGACAGCGTCAGCTCTTCCCTTTATTCACCCAGGCTGCTGGGGGAGGCAAAGAGGCAGAGGGGGTGCTTTGTGAAAGTCAAGGCTGAAATATTGATGAGGGGGAGTAACTGCACATCTCCACGGCTGGAGGACAGAAGCTGCTGCTGCGGCTGGAAAAGGTCCTCTCCGCACAGCAGAGCTGGTCCTCTCTGGCCCTGGGTGGAACTGCACTCAGCTTCAGCCCTGGGCCTCTGTACAGGTTGTCCCCACCCCTGAAATGCATCCCCTGCTTTCCTGCCTCTATACTTCCTTCCCCCAAGTCAGACCTACACCCCCACGAAGGCTTCTCTGATTGCTCCAGCCCACACTGGTTGAGAATCACAGAAACCTGGGGAAGCTTCAGGATTAATTTCGTTCCCACATTTCCCTGGGAGAAGAATCCGCGGTCAGTGAGATGGAGTGAGCTGGTTTCCTCGCCTCTCTTCCCACTTCCTTCCCTCCCACCATGCTCTTGCTCCTCCTAGGGACAATCCACCCTCCTTCGCTACAGACTCCTTCAATTCACTCAACAAATGTTCCCTCCTCTCCCGCCCTCTCCCTTTGAGAGCAAGGCCTGCCCACCTGACCACCTGGATTCCTGTCCAGCCGCCCTCCTCTCCCCTCTGGGCTTCAGGCCCTGCTCCTCTCCCCTGGGCCGTCATTATCTGAGACCCAGGCCGGTGCCCCCCTTCTCCTGTCCCCGCCCGGTGCATCCCCCTCCCAATGCTCACCATGCACTCTGACCATACACACCTCCACTTCAGCTCCTTCAATGGCTCTGCCTAGTCCAGGATCAGGTCCAAAGCCTTTACCAAGGCCTATAAGCCCCTCATGACCTGGCCTCTCCAGCAACCAGGTTCCCAGCTGGTGATGAGCGGTGAAGGAGCCCTGTTCCCAGGTGCACAGCCCAGAGAACCAGAAAGAGGCAGAAGTGAGTTCACTTCCCTTCAGCCCAACTCCGCCCCTGCACATTCCCGCCTTACAGACATCCCCACTGTTGTGGGTTGAATTTTGTCCCCGAAAAAGAAATGTCCAGGTCCTAACCAACCAGTACCTATGAATGTGACCTTATTTGGAAACAGGGTCTCTGCAAATGTCATCAAGTTAAGATAAGGTCATACTGGAGTAGTGTGAGCCCTAATCCAATATCCAATGACTGGTGTCCTTACAAGAAGAGGGAAATCTTTTTTTTTTTTTTTTTTTGAGACAGAGTCTTGCTCTGTTGCCCAGGCTGGAGCGCAATGGTGCAATCTTAGCTCACTGTAGCCTCCACCTCCTGGGTTCAAGCGATTCTCCTGCTTCAGCCTCCTGAGTAGCTGGGACTACAGGTGCATGACACCACACCTGGCTAATTTTTGTATTTTTGGTAGAGACAGGGTTTCACCATGTTGGCCAGGCTGGTCTCGAACTCCTGACCTCAGGTGATCCGCCCACCTTGGCCTCCCAAAGTGCTGGGATTACAGGCGTGAGCCACCGCACCCAGCCCAAGAAGAGGGAAATCTGAATACAGAGACACACATGGAAGGAAGACAGTGTGAAGACAGAACACACAGGGCAGAATGTCAGGTGAGGATAGAGGCAGAGCCTGGAGAGACGTGTCTACGGGCCAGGGAACACCAAGGATTGCCAACGACCACAGAAGCCAGGAGAGAGACATGGGAAAGATTCTTCTTCAGAGCCTCCAGAAGGAACCAAGCCTTCATCTCAGACTTCGAGCCTCCAGAACCATGAGAGGATAAATGTCTGTTTCAAGCAACCCACTTTATGATAATGAGAATTTGTATGGCAGCCCTGGGAACCTAATATACCCACCCTGCCAAACTCCAGGATCACAGGGATCCTCTTCCTGTAGCCCTCATATAATCTCTTAGCTGGGAAAAGGGGGGCTTTGGAGCCAGCTGAACCACCTAGAATAAGTCTCCTGAGGTCTCAGAGCCTCAGTTTCTCCTCTGTAAAATGGGGTCCCACAGGGCCCCACACCATCTTAGATGTTAGAGATAATACATGTAACTAACTTATACAGAATAAAAAAATAAACAAGCATCAGCTGCTGCTATTCCTGTGCCTTGTCTTTCCAGCGGAGGGGGGTCTTTCTGGTCCCTCCAAAGCTCATCCCTGCATGTGCTCCACACCTGTACCACTGAGACCCCAAAATGTGGAGCTGCCTCGGTCAAGTGTTCCAGGGTCTGATTCAGGAGAGCTGCCCCTCCCACCACCTGATGGTAATCCCTCTCCCTTCCTTCCCGGAGGACAGACACCTTCCTTTCTCATCCACCTGGACTCCCTGCCCGGAGAGCAGCAGGGGCTGGACGCCCCCAGGGCTGCCTTTGTGCGGCTGCCAACACACAACCTGTTGCTTTTAAGAACAGGCCCCTTGCCAGCTCCAGCTGCCTCAGGGACAAGCTGTTTAATGGAGCCTAGAGTTGGCTCCAGGGAAGACAATGAATTTTAATGCTTCCGGACACAGCAGTCTGGCAGAACCCAGCCTCCCAGGCATGGCCATGAGGAGCTTAGAAATTGTGGGGCCCAACCCCCATCCTGGACCCCTGAGTTCAGGGTGGTTGGGCCACTTGTCCAAGATCCCACAGCTAGGGAGTGGCAATTAGTTCCCAAACCAGAGAGAACCAGCTGTTTCTCTGAGTCCTACACAGAACAGTGTCTTCTATAAAATTAAAAATATGCAGAGAAGACAGGAAATGATGGGGAAAGAGGCAAAAGGAAAGGTGTGTGCCTCCTGTCTAGAAGACGAATGAAGTATCTTCTCAGGTCACTCCAGATTACAGAAATTTAACCCACAAATCTAAAAAGTAAAAACCCTATTACAAAAATATATTTCCCCTTCTATGGGTCAACTCTTCCTTACCCTACTCATCTCCACTCCCCATTCTGCCCACCATTCCTACAGATACTCTTTTCCATGGGTTCCACCAGAGAATAGAGACATGGCCTCTGACATGGTGCCCTTTCTCTAGAGAGCAAGCCACAAGGTGTGCACAACCTCGACTGCTACCTGCCTCCCTGATGTGGCTAGAATCAGAGTTTCTTATTTCACAAGCTTGGCATTGACAAAACATTTTGGAGGTGGACTTAATAAAGCCCCACGTTAACACTGACTGCCATTTGCCAACACAGCATTGAGTGAGTAAAAGAACAAATGAACAACTGAGTGAGTGAATGAATGAAATAGTTGAGATCACAAGCTCGGAAACTGGATTTTCCAGTAACTCAGTAACATACCTCCCCACCAACCCCGGTACAGCCTCAAGTCCCCCTTTTTCCTCATTCTGGATGGGGAAAGCAATATCACTGGTTGGCTGGCTCAGGGTCTTAGGTTTTGGTCCTGGCTCAAGCCCATAGGAACCATAAGAGAACCACATGCGGTCAGCATAAGATGGCTCTCTGAGGGCAGCTAGTGCTGGCATTTTCACCTGTTTTTAAGTCATGGAAGCCTCTGTTGAAAGAAAGAAAATCATATACAGAAATCTCAGTATTGCACAGATCGAAGCAGAGCTGCTCTGGCAAAGAGGCAGGGGATGCTCACTCCTCCTCCATCCTCCCCAGCAGTCCCTGAGATTTCTCTGTGGGGCCCCAGCTTCCCTGGTACCCAGGGTGAAAATGCCTGATCCAGGACATGCCTCTTGCTTTACGCAGCTGGGGAAATGGAAGCCCAGAGCAAGGAACATACCCTGAATCATCACCAGGAGCAGTAATACCAGCACCAGAGCCCATGCATCCTTGCTCCCTGTCTTACCCTCATTTCAAACACTTTGCCAGTCACTGGTCAGCCAGGCCCATCAAGATGGGCATTTCCTCACTAGGACATGGTGCCCCCTGTCTCTTGGCCCTTGCACATGCTGTTCCCTCTGCCTGGATTGCCCCTCCTGTCAAACCCTCGGTCCCCTCTTGTTATCTATGGTGGAAAGATTCTAAGACAACCCCAGTAACCCCCAAATCCTGGTATTCACAGCCTGTGTAATGCCCCTTCCCCCTTGAGCATAAGCTAGCCTAACTTGCTTCTAAATAATAGAATACAGCAAAGGTGAGGACATATTGCTTCCATGATTACATTATATAAGATTATAACGTCCCTTGTGCCATCACTCTCTCGATGGCTTTGATGAAGTAAGCTGCCTTGTTGTGAGCTGACCAGAGACACCAACATGGCAAGAATCAAATCCTGCCAGCAATCATGTGAGCTTGGAAGTGGATCCTTCCCCAGTCAAGCCTTCTGATGAGACCCCAGCCCTGGCTGATACCTTCACTGAGGCCAGAGAGAGACCCTAAGGCAAAGGGCCCATCTAAGTTGTGCTCATGTTCCTGACCCAAAAAAACTGTGATATAATAAACGTGTGTTGTTTTAAGCTGCCAGATTTGTGACAATTTGTTATGCAGCTGATATGGTTTGGCTCTGTGTCCCATCCAAATCTCATGCTGAATTGTAATTCGCAATGCTGGGGGACGAACCTAACATTGGAAGGTGATTGGATCATGGGGGCAGATTTCCCCCCATGCTGTTCTCATGATAGTGAGTTCTCTCAAGATCTGATGGTTTAAGGGTGTGGCACTTCCCTCCTAGTTCTCACTCTCTCTCTCTCTCTCTCTCTCTCTCTCTCTCGCTGACACCATGTGAAGATTTGCTTGCTTCCCCTTCGCCTTCTGCCATGATTGTAAGTTCCCTGAGGCCTCCCAGCCATGCTTCCTATACAGCTTGTGGAACTGTAGGTCAATTAAACCTCTTTGTTTCATAAATTACCCAGTCTCAGGTAGTTCTTTATAGCAGTGTAAGATCAGACTAATAAAACAGCAATGGTAACTAAGACACTGCCCTAAGGCATTACTACTTGCCTTTGGAAATTCAGCTCAAAGTGCACTTCGTATGTGAAGCCCTCCCTGAAAAGTTAGGCTCTCCCCCTGCAACTATCACCATAACCATCCCCACCACCACCATTTCATCATCTTCATCATCCTCTTCATCACAACTAACATTTCCTGATGGTCCACTCTATACCAGGTACTTTGCTCAGGCTTTACATTTATTAGATTTAATCCTCACAACAGATGTATAAGAAAGGTACTGTTACTTCACCTCATTTTAATGAGAAAACTGAGGCACAAGCGATTTTAGAGTTACATGGATTAGAACCCAGACAGCCTGGGGTCTACTCCTTCTCACACTGCTTTTCAACACCACAGTTATAACTAGTTACTGACTTTTCCATCTCTCATTCTAGTCAGTGGGACCCTTGGAGATAGGAATTGCGACCTTCTTCTCAACACAATTTGAGTACCTACTATGTGCTAGGCATCCTGCTAGGCTCGGCCAAGGGTGGGAGGAAGAAACAGCACTGGACAGAGACAGACAAGTGCAAGGGCTTTGTTCTCGCAGAACTCCTCTTCTCATAGAGACAGAGAGAAATACAAAACAAGATCATCTCAGAGGCTGTCTTCTAAGAGCTAAAACAGGCAGTGGGAGCTACTTTAGATTTGGGCCATGGGAGAAAACAAAGTTTCTCTAGGTGGTGACGTTTTTGCTGAGATAGGAATGAAAGGAAGACAGCCGAGTAAAGATCTAGAGGAAGTCTGGGCGCGGTGGCTCACACCTGTAATCCTAGCACTGTGGTAGGCCAAGGTAGGAGGATCACTTGAGCCCAGGAGTTTGAGACCAGCCTGGGCAATATAGTGAGACCTCATCTCTACAAAAAAATGAAAAATTAGCCAGGTGTGGTGGTGTGCGCCTGTAGTCCCAGCTACTCAGGAGGCTGAGGTGGGAGGATGGCTTGAGCCCAGGAGGTCAAGGCTACAGTGAGCTGTGATCATGCCACTGCACTGCAGCCTGGGTGACAGAGTAAGACCTGTCTCAAAGAAAAATAAAAAACAAAAAATACAAAAAACAGAAAAGATCCAGAGGAAGAACATCTGGGCAAATGGGAAAGGAAGATCCTGAGGAAGCTCAAAGTGTTTCATCTTGTCACACCAAAGTGGCATACAGTGTTAGGCCTTCTGAGTAGAGGTATGGTCCCTGGACCAGCAGCATCGACATCACCCAAAAGCCTGTTAGAAAGGCAGACTCTCAACCCATCCCAGATCTACTAACAGGATCCGCATGTTAACAAGACAGCCTGGTGATCCTGTATGTACAAGAAAGTTTCAGAAACTCTAATTTACTCAAAAAATGCTTGTTGAATGAATAAACAAATGAATGCTCTGCAGATCAAGTTTCCAGTTCCAACTGTACCCCTTCCAGCACCCAGACAGCAGAGAAGGTGTCAATTTCACACCCCATAAAGCAGGCTGACTGACAGCTGTCACAGCAGGCAAAGAGACCACCAGCCCGCACCAGGATCAAATCACCCCACAGCTGCCCCACACCTACGTCGCCCAACCTCGGTCTCCTTCCACCTCGCACCACTTCCGTACGGCCTCACATGAAGCTTTAGATTCAATTACTAGTCCCCAAATGGCTATCAAACCCACACAACTTGGCTAAAAATACTCTTCACACTTGTTAGGCCTCCCCACCCTTAAATCACTTCGAGGAATCTGACAGCTGTAATTAGCAAAATATGTAAATCCAGTCTTTTCACAGAGAGGATGCCCTTCTAAGTTACACTGGCACAGCGCAAGTCGGAAAGGAGGAGGGCGATTATCTCATTTCTTCTTGCAAGACCTCAAAGGGACTGAAACTGGGTGATTCTAGCAACTTGAGCCAGGGCTTTTGTCACTTGAAGCTGACCTTTCTAACCATCTATAGCCAACACATGCTTACAAAAGCAAGCAGTCACGGGACATACGTTGAAAACCAGCCAACTTCCCTGCACACTACCTGGTGGAATGATGCTGTCAGCGTTTGGAGGCCCTCACCCTGGTGTGCCGATCTAAGAGGTGTCAGCTTGACCCCACACCTCCTTCTGGGTCTTAATGTGAAAATAGATTGAGGCAACATGCAGTTGCCTATTAATTTTTCCTGTCGAAAGTCTGCTGGGGAAATCGTCACATTTGTAAAATTGGAAACTGCTTTCCTTTCTTAATAGAGCCATCCCCAGTCTGGGAGGATATGCAAGTGAATCCCAACCCACACTTCAACATGACAGAGTAGGTCGCCTTTGAAATAGCCCAAAGCCTGAAAAGTGCTAAGAAATAAGCTGTAGTGTGTCTCAAGTACGGACCATCAGCACTCACCTTATTTTCCTCTTTATCCAGGCTATTAGAAAGAGGAAAAAAAAAATTACAGACGTGAGGATTTAGTGAAGTCCTAGGGGAAAGTTAAACTTTAGCCAGCCGGCTAACACAAAAGACGTGGACATCACTGAGTGAGAAGTTCAAAGCCTGCACCACCCTAGTATATATACTTACATAAAGTGGCCCAACGACATCTTCTTCCTCTTTTACCCCTTGAGCACCAGTGGAATAAGAAGGAGTTCGCTGTCCCTTTTTGCTCTTCACTGTGATTTCAGGTGAGGAAGTGTCTCTTAGCCAAACAGCACACTGACTTTTAAAATGCATTAGGACCCATATGGGCAAGACAGAGGTTTCCATTCCATCCAAGACCCCTTAGAATCATGGTTGGCAAACAAAGGCATGTGGGCCAAATCCTTCCCACTGCTTGTTTTTGTAAACAGTGTTATTGGGTGACAGCCACACTCATTTGTGTACTTATTGCCTATGGATGCTTTCACTCTACAACTGCACAACTGAAAAGTTGTGACAGACTGTATGGTCTGCAAAACCCAAAGTTTACTGCTTGGCTCTTTAAAAACAAAGTTTGCCAACCCCTGCCTTCGAGGAACAAGGCAAGGTTTTCAAAGCAGGACATTTTCCATTCTGCTCAGAGAAAGATCAAAATATTTGGCTGATGACTGAATATCCAGATGCTGATCTCTAACTTAAAGTAGTTTTGCCTTTATAACACAGGAGGTCAGACCACATGGGGGAAATGCCAGCTGACCCAGGAAACACTATCAGACAACAAAGAACCAAGCTACTCCTGCACTGGGGGTCGTAAGCTCTAGACTGGAAAGCCTAAAAAGAACGGTCGCCTCCAACCAGTGTTCTTCTGGACATCAACTCGGCACAGCCACAAGGGGTGCCTCTAGTTTTACCAACAGCCCAAAGAGGTCAGGTAGGTATCGATTCTGACTCCCGGTGCAATTTACAGCCAGCTGAGAAATAATGAGTGGCCTCTTTTCACCTGGGTGCCACCAGGCTTCTCCTCTAGCTGAAGTGAGTCATCGTTTCAAAACAGGGTCCATGTCTTCCAAATTAGTCATCTTTTTTTTGGAGATGAGGTCTCACTCTGTCGCCCAGGCTGGAATGCAATAGTGAGATCACAGCTCACTGCAGCCTCCACCTCCCAGGCTCAAGAGATTCTCCCACCTCAGCCTCCCGAGTAGCTGGGACTACAGGCACGCACCACCACACCTGACTAATTTTTGTTATTTTTTGAGTGGCGGGGCTCTCTCTATGTTGCTCAGAGCAGTCTCAAACTCCTGGGCTCAAGCAATCCTCCTGCCTCGGCCTTCCAACCAGCTTCAATAGGAAGTTTAGGCCTGTGCATCACGTGGTGCCTCCTACCAGAATTATTAATCTCCTTACATCGATTTCTTCCCTTCCTTTGTTTTCCCACACTGGACCTCTTAGGAGGTGGAACCCATAAATCACTTGTAATCTCTTTTGTTTGTTTGTTTTTTAAAGAAACTGACAACAGGACATAAAATCTGCAAAAATTAAGAAGAGGATGCTAAGACTACAGAAATATCCCTTAGAACAGTTCTTGCCCTCTTTCTCCCAACAATGGTCCCAATTAAGGCATTTTCTTTTATTCTATATATTTTGCCTGCCACAGAATTGCAATAACTCCAGACTCTCCACTGTGAGCAACTAGCCCAGCAGGATATGTAAAGGAGCATGTCGATCCATAATGAAGGAACTTTGCAGTTGACATGCCCACCACCTCACTCTGTCCACCTCATTTCTGCCACAGCTGTCCCCACTCCAGCCCATGCAGGACTGCACAGCCCCACTAAACATGGTGAATCTGCACACAGGAGGCTCCAGTTTTCACTTCTGGACGCTTTACCGCAATCATATTTTGACAAGCTGCATAGATTTCCCATCTCCCCACCTCATTTATCACCGTGGTTGGGATCTGTTTGGTTTAGAAAACCAACCATTCTATATGAAGGACCAGGTCAATTTATGATATTTGGAGTGGTATCCACAGAAATGAAAGAAGGCAGTGAGAAATTTTAGAATTTTGATGATAAGGAGCCTAGTTCACTTTGCTGAAAAGGCAACTTTGGTGTCTGAAAAATAATCCATTCTACTTGAAAGGTCTTGTCTTTTCAGATAGTCTTGGTTGCTTATCCCACAGTCCTCCTCCTTGGCTGACAGTTGCCTGCCTGCGTTCAGGGAGGCAAGGGGCCCTGCCCTAAGGAATGACACCTGAATGGCCCAAGCAAGACATAACACTTCCACTTTCCTTTGCCAAACTTTTCTTGCCTCTCCTGCAACTAGGAAAGGGCATGCAACCCAGCTATGGTCAATGAGATGCAAAGGGAAGATCATTAGGAGGGACCGGAAGAACCTGGAACAGAGTAAGCTCTCAATAAAGTTTAAACATTGTTAGTGTCGTTACCATGATTACTATTAATTTTAATAATAAATTTTCTTCCCTTTTCTCTCTCCCTTTCTTTTTCCCTGTCCTTCTAGTGGTGAGCTACGGCTGGATTGTACCAACTCACAAGAACTGACTGTGACCATCTCTTCCCAACACTGAGCTCACTCACATCACACTGGTAGCGTGAAATCAGCCATGATAGGAATATTTACACCCTGGAAATTGGCAAATGCTACAAATCAGAATTTTTCCCCAGAGATCTAATTGTTAACTGTTTACCAGCACATCACTTCTCCCTGCCTCCTTGCCTCCTTCCCTGCTTTCTAACCACACATCTTCCTATCATAAACCACTAAGCACCACCTACTGTGTGCCACCGTGCATTAGGTTAGGCTGTCCTTGACAGCCCAAAGGTGAATAAGACATGGCTCTGCCCTCAATGAGTTTACAGTCTGGCAACAAGCCTGCATCAATTAAGATACGTTTGGTTACAAGTAACAGAAGGCCCAGCCATCAGTGGTTGATTTCAGAAAGTCTGAAGGTGGGAGGTCAGCTTTGGCCACCCCACAGTCATCAAGGATCCCAACAGCTTCACCCCCTCATCCACCATTGTTTGCATATCAACTTTTCCCCTTCACACTCTTCATCATGTGTACAAGAGAGCTGCCACACTTCTGGGGATCAAGACTGTATTCAAAAACAAGAATCAGGGGCAAAAGTCCTTTTTTTTAATCCACAGAGAAAATAATTTAATTCTCATAATAAATTCACGAGATAGATACTACAACTATTCTCATTTTATAGCTATGGAAATTGAAACCCAAAAAAGATTAAAGAATTTGCCCAGGACCACACAGTTTGAGTAGCCAGAATATAAACCCAAGATTCTGACACCAGAGTGTGCTGGTGTCAGATACACTACTCGGAGATGCTGGCACTTGGAAGCAAAACCATGCAATGTATTACTCAGCTATGCCGTCTTGTGCTATTCTCTCATTTTTGCAGGTACTCACCACTTAGCCTAAGACTTCTTGTTCCTCAGGCATGGAAACCCCATTTGCTCATCTGCCTACACTCTGCTCCCTGCACCCACAGTCATGGGCACGGTACTGGATGCTCGCATTTGTTAACTGGCCGGGGAAGTACTCGCATGCACCCATCTTAGCTCTGAGACGACACAACCTGAACGGAAAATCTTGCGGCTCCTGGCGCCAGCAGGCCTGTGTTTGGCTCCTTCCTGTTCTAATTACCCACTTGAAAACCTGAAGACTTGGGCTCCAATCCACTTGGCAATCAGACCATCTCCTTGGCCCATCTGCCTGCAACTGCACACCTCCCTTTCTGGGGCTGCATTTCTTTCTCCTGTATCCAGTCCTCGGGAAGATCTTACGATTTGTACCTGTCTCAATTACTCCCCTATCACAGAAAATTCCAACCTTACTGGCACTGCACTATAAACTCGTATTCCTTCCTAGACTCAGCTAGAGAAAAACAACAGTATTTGCAAGAGTGGTCGAAGACCTGAGTGCTTTATTACTGATAATTTTTTAAATAGAAAAAGTGAGTTCTCCCCTTGGTTTCTGTCAGAATCAGAAATCCTGCACTGCAAAGACAGTCTTTGGAAATCTCAGTACCACTTCACTAGTACTTTGGAGGACACTGTTCTAAAAGGCACAGCCTGGGACCATACTTGTCACAGCAAGTTTGGGCTCATGCCCTGAGCATGTACCAACCGCCCAAGGGTACACACGTGGCTGGTCCTATCCCCACTTCTCTTTTGTTTCTGGACTTGTTTTGCTTTGTTTTGGTTTTGTCCAGTGGGGAAAAGAGGAAGTTAGATCAAAGCAGCTGCAGGAACCTATCAGGAAGTAGCCTGACAAGAAAACTTTTCTCCATCCTGGAAAAAAAAATCGCCAGGTGCTGCAATGGCCCTTTCTGAGACTGCATGCCCTTCTGTGTCAACTTTTTCAATTCCCTTTTCCATCCATATTGAAGCAAAACCCAGAGCTTTCTAAATAGGCAGTCTGAGTTGCTCAGACTATCCCTTATTATGCTAGCTAAGAAAAACTTAAAAGGGAAATTTAAATCTTTTTTTTTTTTTTTTTTGAGACAGGGTCTGTCACCCAAGGTGGGATGCAATGGCAAGATCATAGCTCACTGCAACCTTGAGCTCCTGGGCTCAAGCGATTCTCCTGCCTCAGCCTCCCATGTAGCTGGGACTACAGGCATGCACCACCATGCTTGGCTAATTTTTTTTTTTTGTAGAGATGGGGTCTTGTTATGTTGACCAGGCTGGTCTCAAACTCCTGACCTCAGGTGATCCTCCTACCTAAGCCTCCCAAAGTGCTGGGATTATAGGTATGAGCCACTCTACCCAACCCAGGAAAGTTAAATCTTTTGCAAGCCTTGATCAATCAGAAATAAAAAGAAAAAAAAATGGATCACTTATGATTCAACAATGTTGGCTCCTCATCTGTTATGGACTGAATGCGTGTGTCGAAATCCCCAATGTGCTGGTATTAGAAGGTGGAGCCTGTGGGAGGTAATTAGGTAATGAGGGTAGAGCCCTCATAAGTGGGATTGATGCCTTTATAAAACAGACCCTAGAGGATGGGCACGGAGACTGAGATGGGAGGATCACCTGAGCCCGGAAGGTGGAGGTTGCAGTGAGCTGAGATCATACCATTGCATTCTAGCCTGGGTGACAAAGTGAGATGCTGCTTTTAAAAAAAGAGAGACAGAGAGCAAGAGAGAGAGAGACCCTAGAGAGTTCTCCAGCCATCCTCAACCATGTGAGGCTATGGTGAGAAGTTAGCCATCTGCAAACCCAGAAGAGAGCCTCACTAACAACCAACTAGCTGCCACCTGGATCCCAGAGTTTCAGCTTCCAGACTGTGAAAAACAAGTTTCTATTGTTTATAAGAAACGTGCCTTTGTTTGTTACAGCAGCCTGAGCTGACCAAGGCATCATCTTTATGGAACCTGGTACAGTGATAGTAAGATTAAGTAGCTCAATATCATTTGTTCTATATTTAAGCCAAGGCTTCTAGATATTCCATCAATCAGCCAAGCATGTGCCCACCTGAGAGACAAGGACTGTTATTTTCAAAAACCTGACCAAGAACAATTTATTTTCCTCCATCAGAACACAGTCCACATCCATTCTCCTGGACAGGCTCCACAAGGGAAGGCCGAAATGATTGATCAAGTCCATGGGTCACAACACCTGATGTCAATAAAGCCCAACATGTGGCCAGCTCTGCAGAAGCCCTGAGGCAGCTCATGGGGCTGGGCCCTGCCCTCCCCACCCTCAAACGGGCCATTCCCTGATGGTCCTTAAACCTCTGAGTGTGGAGGAACATGACAGAGAATTTAAGAAGGCAATGAATGGATTGATTTTTTTGCTTTTCAATTTGTAACGAAATTCACCTTGGGTCTTTGTCTCCCTTTTACTCTGCAGGGTAATAATAGGGCTGCTCAGACAGGATTTGTGCCTGGCTCCAGGGGATTCTTGCCATCCACAGGGACAAGCCCAACAAAAAGGAATGCTGGCCATTCCTGCATGCCTCCCTCTTCTCAGAACAAGGACGCTGCCCTGTGGACCTAATAAACCCACCCATTTTTCAGCTGCAGGACAAAACAATGGCATACTTCGAAACGACATAATTGCTGTGGCAAGGCCAACATCCACCCTATATAAATTTACTGCAGTAATTCAGAGGGAAGCGAAAATGACTTTAGTATTATTTTGAAAAATCAAAAAGAAAGCACCAAATCCATTATCTCCGGGGTGGGGGGACTGTGACCCCCAGGGCACATCATTGACTGCTCAAATTTCTGATTTCTTTTTTTTTTTTTTTTTAGACCAAGTCTCCCTCTGTCACCCAGGCTGGAGTGCAGTGGCACGATCTCAGCTCACTGCAACCTCCGCCTCCCAGGTTCAACTGATTCTCCTGCATCAGCCTCCTGAGTAGCTGGAATGACAGGTGTCTGCCATGACACCCAGCTAATTTTTGTATTTTTAGTAGAGACACAGTTTCACCATGTTGGCCAGGCTGGTCTCGAACTCCTGGCCTCAGGTGATCCCCCCGCCAAAGTGCTGGGATTACAGGTGTAAGCCACCGTGCCCGGCCCAAATTTCTGATTTCTACAATGGCAAAATACATTTTCTCCCTTATCCTCCTCTCTCCCTATCAATCCACCAATTTTTTAATTTTGACATGGGATACAGTCTCCATAGTTTACATTTTCTCAGTTATCCTTAACTATGCTCATTATTTTCTAAGAAATTAGCCTAGACAGTATAGTTGACCAATACTTTCTTTAGAGCCAGAAGGTTCTCATCAAAAATTCTATGTATGAGCGTTAATTAGTTCTTTTCAGGTCTTTCTTTCTTTCTTTCTTTCTTTCTTTCTTTCTTTCTTTCTTTTTTTTTTTTTTTTAACAGACAGGGTCTCTCTCTGTTGCCCAGGCTGGAGTGCAGTGATTCAACCATAGCTCACTGCAGCCTCAAACTCCTGGGCTCCAGCCATCCTCCCGCCTCAGCCTCCCGAGTAGCCAGGACTACAGGTGTATGCCACCAGGCTCGGCTAATTTTTTAAAATTTTTTGCATAGATGGGGATCTTGCTATGTTGCCCAGGCTAGTCTTGAATTCCTAGGATCCTCCCGCCTTGGCCTCCCGAGTAGCTGGGACTATAGGTGCATACCTCCATGCCCTGCTTCAGATACATCTTTAGCAGTGCCCCAAAAAAGTAAAGGGAAAAATATAATAATCAGCTCCTTGACTGGAAGGAATCTGTTAGTTACCGGGGCAGGGGAGATGGGTAAGGGAAGAGGCAGGAAGAGGTGAAAAAAAGTATACAGTGACTTCAGTGACTGTCGTCAGGTCTCATGATGCCACTGATAGATAAAGTACATCAGGCAGGATCCAACCAAATGCATTAATTTCCCTCAACTTATACTCCTGGACTCCTGTAAGACTCTGAGCCGAGTCCAGGGACGAGAAGGATGGGAAGGGGTTGGGGGAAAACACCACATTTCTCTGCAAAACAGTTTAAAAGCATAAAAAGCTAGAAGAGACCACTAGTCTCCTCCCCTATCAGGAGCAAATGGAAACACAAAATATGACATGTTGCCAAAAATGCCTGTCCTGCTAATGTAAAAACTAAGCCTGGAAAAATACTGCATGACACAGTTTGGATGGTTTGTCCCCTCCAAATCTCATGTTGAAATGTGACGTCTAATGTTGGGCGTGGGCCTAGGGGGAGGTGTTTGCGTCATGGAGGCTGATACCTCAAGAATGGCTTGGTGCTATCCTCTTGGTAATGAGTGAGTTCTCACACTGTGAGTTTACATGGGATCTGGTTGTTTAAAAGACCCTGGCACCTCCTCCCCCTCTCTCTTGCTCACTCTCTCACCATGTGACACCCCGGCTCCCCTTCACCTTCTGCCATGACTGGAAGCTTCCTGAGGCCTCACCTGAAGCTCAGCAGATGCTGGTGCCATGCTTGTACAGCCTGCAGAACTGTAAGCCAATCAAACTTCTTTCCTCTATAAATTGCCCAGCCTCAGGTATCCCTTTATAGCAACACAAATGGACTAACACACTGGTTGCCACTGTCCCCTGTCAACACCCCTTCGGCATGAGGATGGTTCAGAGATTTAATTTAATCATCAACTACTCTTTAGGGTAACAACCCTTGGGGGTCCTAAAATGTCCTAAATGGGAACTTACATCTCCCTTTACCACCTTCACTGCCACTGGATCTAAAGGGTTAATGTTTTGAAGAGGTAACGAAGCCACATGGTATGAAAACCAAAAGGCACTAAAAGGTTTATACAGTGAAAAATAGGTCTTCCCCACTATCCCCACTCTACCCAGGCAACAACTGTCTACTCATTAGTATTTCTAAAACACACACTATGTGCTGGACACTGGGGCTCCAGGTCCTAGACTATTTTGCATAATCACTGATACCAGTTTCATGTGTGTCTCTCCCAAAATACCCTGTGCTTTTTACATTGTTATGAAATTGGATCACACAGTATTTGTCCTTCTGTGTCTGGCTGATTTCACTTAGTATCATGTCTTCAAGGTTCACCCATGTTGTAGCATGTGTCAAAATTTTCTTTCATTTTAAGCCTGAATGAATAGCTGTCCATTGTATGTTTATATTACATTTGGTTTATCCATTCATCCCTCGATGGACACGTGAGTTGTTTTCACCTTTTGGCTATTGTGAATAATGCCGCTATGAACATAGCTGTACAAATATCCATTCAAGTCCCTGCTTTCAGTTCTTTTGGGTATATATCCAAGAAGTAGAATTCTGGACCACATGATAATTCTACGTTTAATTTTTGGGGGAACTGCCATACCATTTCCCACAGTGGCTAAATTGGATTATTTCTAAAATGTTAGCATATCCTCCACAATGTTCAACACTACATTTAGAAGCATGCCTCACTCTTCTCAATTGAGGAAAGATGAAGTTAGTTGCTTATCATAACTTGGTCCTACACATCCAAGATGTTAAAAATGAAATAGTGGACATGAAAGTTGCTAGAAAGTAAAATGCAGGGGTATTATCATTCAGTTATTACCTCTGGTATAGCAACTGGTAGCTGACAGTCTTTCTGAGACGGAGTCTCGCTCTGTCTCTCAGGCTGGAGTGCAGTGGCGCAATCTCAGCTCACTGCAACCTCCGCCTCCTGGGTTCAAGCAATTTTCCCTGTCTCAGCCTCCCGAGTATCTGGGATTACAGGCACCTGCCTCCGTGCCTAACTAATAACCATCTTTACTCCTAAGACACTTCTTTCCCCTCCAGATTAGCTGACCTGAAGTTATTTGCACTGCCCTTTTTCTCATTTGTTTTCCCAATTTCCCCATGAGATGGAGCAAAGCAAGAGAGTCTCTAAAATTCAGACAAATTCATTCAAAGTAAATATCCTATGCCCAACAGGGGGATTTGAAAGAAAGAGGTGATGCCAAAACTCTATTTCAGAATATCCACTAGCCCACCACAGACATTTAAAAAATGTTAAGAGTACTTGCTTCCTAAATACTCAGGCAAGGAAGCTAAAGGAATTAAAAAGAAAACACCATCGTTATTTTGTTATAGTGAAAAGAAAAAGCTGCACCGAGATGACTATACAAACCGAACACAGACCACGTTTCATGAAAAGGGTCTTGCAGGCTCTGAGAAGAAATACCCCCAAAAGGGATGTCAAGCCAGACTGTCATTTAAGATGTCAACTTCACTGACACGAGATGAATCACTTTGTAGGTTTACATCACTCTGTGGAGGTCACCTCAAGGATTTTTGCATCTCCAGAGCAAAGCCAAAGACTCTCAATTAATCACAAAAGAAGCACAGCGTGATCAGGGCACATGAAAGCTTTTAAAATGTGTGTGTGTGTGTGTGTGTGTGTGTGTGAGAGAGAGAGAGAGAGGGAGAGATTCTGCAGAATACAAACATACGAGTCATGTTCTGATCCTTATTCTTACAAGCTAGTGTGTTGGATACCTCAGGGACGCTGGGTCATCTCCTCTAAGAGTCATTTGAAAAGTTCTGCCACTGGCTCTTTGCTTTTGCTATCAAAACACTAGCGATGAAAAAGCATTTTCTGACCTGACCCCAACCTTAACTCAAGAAGCAAAATCTTAGAGGGGAAGCTCCATTTCTACCTCACCCCTTCACTTCAATCCACACACGATCAGGTAAGACCACGAAATAAACATGAGCTGTTTTAGGGCATCAAAATGCTCCCTGGCTCACCCTGGGCCGTCTGGAGGCTTTGCCTCCAGCCCTCATTAATTTTGTAATTAGAGAGATTGGAGCCGTGGCTTTCCCAGACTGAACCCTGCGGTTTCACCCATCTGCAGGTTTCCCTGGTGGTCCTTGACATGTAATCAATCGTTCTGATTCTGCTGAGGCACCAATCTAAGACAAGATCACCCAGGTGAGGGTGGAGGAGTACAGGAGAGGGGCCTCAGGTCACTGGGGATGTGCCCTTGTGGCCCAATAGCTCGAGGTTCCTGTCTCTTGCACACATACACACTCTTTCTGACTTTCAGTCTTCCTTTACAAAAAATATGGCTCTCCCCAAAAAGTGGCCTGCCAGAGCTATTGATTAAAGTGAAGATAAGATTAACAAGTCTAGAATTGATGGTTCTTAGCTAAAAATAATGACTTTTCCTAAATCTGAGACACTACCTGTATTCTTTTTTATGGCTCCCAAATTACAATTTTAAAAATTTTAAATATATATCAATTTTAAAGTAGGCTTTATTCATTCATTTTATTTATGACTTTTTGTCCTGTACAATCAGCCTCCATATTCATGAGTTCCACATTCATGGGTTCCACACTCATGGGTTCAACCAACCTCAGATGGAAAATATTCAGAAAAAAATTCCATAAAGTTCCAAAAAGCAAAACTTGAATTTGCTGCACAACCAGTGCTACACTGAGTCACACAAACGAAGTGATGTATAGGCACTGTATTAAGTATTTTAAGTAATCTAGAGAGTAAAGTATATGGGAGGAGGCACATAGGTTATATGCAAATAAATACTAAGACACCTTTTTAGGGCTGGGTGTGGTGGCTCACACTTGTAATCCCAGCACTTTGGGAGGCTGAGGTGGGAGGACTGCTTGAGCTCACGAGTTCGAGACCAGCCTGGGCAACACAGTGAGACCCTATCTCTAAAGAAAAGAAAAAACAAATACTACTACATTATTTTATATAAGGGACTTGAGCATTGTAGATTTTAGCATCCATAGGAGGTTCTGGAACCAATCCCCCAAGGATACCAAAGGACGACTGTATTTAGATAACTATTAAAAGTCTGAAAAGATAACCAAAGTCTTTCAGTGTATGCTTTACTATGAATTATGCCATTGTGGCTGACAATTTTGGGGGTGTGAGCTGCATCCCTCCTCAGTGCCAAGGGTCCTAACGTGTCCTGGCTTTCTCAGTCCCTTCTACAATTTAGCTCCTCCATCTTTCTTACAAGCATGTTATAATCCCACTGTTCAGCCATCCCACTTTCAGGAAACAATCCCTATTTTAAATATTTCATCGTATCCCCATACAGACACTTGCAATTTTTCATCCATGTCCCCATACTTTTAATTCAGGAAATACAGCAGTTGTATTTGTAATAAATGCTAAAAAATAACAAAAACAAACACTAACTACTAGGTGTGGTGCATTATCTTATTAAAGCCTCCAGGGAGGTACCAATATTATTATTATCCCCATTTTTCAGATGCAGAGACAGAGAAGTGAAGTAACCTGCCCAAGGTCACACAGCAGGCAAGTGCTGGAACCAGGAATAAACAATATGGCTGTGGTGCTCCAAAGTCTGGACTCTGTGCTATCACAGGAAAAAAGTGAAGAGTCGCGTTATCAAGCTGCTTGTGGGTAGAGGGAAGAACGGTTAGCAGATATATAGATAACTTTTTGCTTTCAAAATCCTATTGCCCAGCTCTGCAATTTGCCAGCTGTGTAACCTTGGGCAACACTTCTCTGGGCACGACAACTCTCTTGGCCTCAGTGTCTTCATCTGTAAAATGAGGATAATAAGTGTGACTGCTTTATAGGATTGTCGTGTGGATTCAATGAGTTGGCATATGTTGAATGCAGACACCGTGTCTGAAATACAAGAAGTGCTATGTAAGTGTGAGCTTTCATTGTTATTACTGCTTGGAACTTCTAGGCCTCAATTACTCAAAAATCAACACTTCTCAAAATAAAGATAGTAAATTTCTGTTTCTCACTGCCAGATGTTATAATGCTGAATTAGAATATGCACTGGCAATTGGGGGAACTGATCTGAAATGTCAAGTAATTTGGCCAATTAACCTATATTGTTTACACAAATAAGCCTTGGCTTTTTCCATGAAGGAGGTTACAATCTGGTGGAGGAAAGAAATGAAGTGGATTTTAATAGGATGTGGGCTACAGAAAATGTTGAAAAAAGGTATGGATGGGCAAAGTTCAAAAAATATATATTCTCTTTAACATTCTCCATAACTTTAGGCTGCGTATAATGACTCTCTCCCAAAGAATACAGTAGGGGAAGAGTGGGAAAGAGCAATTTTACCTCGGAAAAACTCAACGAACACTACTTAGCCAAGAGACGAAGGTCAACATCAACAGTGATAACTCATGTTGAGAGGGTGATGCACCCTTGATAGGATGAGATGAGAACAGATCCTTACCTCTCTGATCTTTCTCCTGAAATTCCCAAACCTCAGTCAATTCATGAGAAAAACATGAGAAAAATCCCAATTGAGGAATGTCCTACAAAACACTTGACCAACATGCCTCAAAATGGGCAAGATCACCGAAATAAGGAATGTCTGAGAAACTGCCACAGCCACATGCCTATGAAGACATGACAACTAAACATAATGTGATCTCTTGCATGGAATTCTGGAATAAGAAAAGAACATTAGGTAACAACTAAGAAAATCTGAGTAAAATATGGTCATCAGTTAATAATAATGTATCAATATCCGTTCATTAGTCATGACAAATGTACCATACTAATGTAAGATGTTAACAACACTGGGTGGCTAATGCCTGGAATCCCGGCACTGTGGGAGGCTGAGGTGGGAGGATCGCTTGAGCTCACGAGTTCAAAAGCAGCCTAGGCAACAGAGCAAGACCTCATCTCTACCAAGAAGTAAAAAGTTAGCCGGGCATGGTGGTACGCACCTGTGGTCCCGGTCATTCAGGAGGCTGAGGTGTGAGGATCACCAGAGCCCGGGAATTTGAGGCTGTAGTGAGCCATGATGGCATCACTGCACTCCAGCCTAGGGAACAGAGTGAGACCCTGTCTCCAAAAAAAAAAAAAAAAAAAGCAGGGAGGTACTGGGAGGAGCAGATGAAAACTATATTATCTGTATTATTTTCACAACTTTTCTCGAATTTTAAACCTATTCCAAATTAAAAATACATTAAAAGGGTTTTTAAAAATTCTATTGAACTTAACCAGTCAGGGCATAAATCCATCTCCAGTGTTCTAATGTTCTTGTGAGTGGTGTGGGTTGGTGAAGTTAAGTAACTTGCCTGTGATTCCACTGATAAGAAGCAGGGCCAAGATTCCAACCCAAGTCATTGGACCTCAGAGCCCACCCTGTTAACTGCTTGGCCCCACTACCCCCCTAATGTCGTGGAAAGCCACATGCTGGGTATCTCAAGGTCAATGCTAATTCAATGCTGGGCACCTGCCTGGTCAGCTGTTTCTATGGATAGCACCAGCCCACCATCTTAGGTTCTGCTGTTTTAGGTCTTCTGTATCTTAGAACCATAATCCCAATCCAAGATGACAACTCCCCAAGTTGGTGGATGATTGAAGCCTGTTATTTGAGCTCTTCACTTTCCATCTCATTCCAGAGTGACATGATAATGGAAACCTTGAGCTGGTATATTTTCAGCAACTACCCCTTTTTGTTCCACACACCTGCGTGCAATGTGGTGTGTAACCAGAGGGCAGCCATGCACATGCCTGAACCTGACAGTGAAGAAATTGTTTCCTAACAGCTTCTAGAATGCTTCCCCTGGGAGCTAAAGTTATTAGGACTGCTGCCTCTGACTCAAACTGAATTTTTCAGAGATCAAGGATCTTAAGGTACAGATGGTAGTGCTGCACAACTATCCCTTCAGCCATCAAACATGTTCCAGGCACAGAGAAGCCGGCCTGGAGGAATAGAAAGATGAACTGGACAGGGAGGCTCTTTCAAAGGAACATACAACCACCAGGGGAGATGGGACATAAACATCACTGTCATCACAGTAATAACCACCATCTTCTATCTGCCTCGCTCTGTGCCAAGTGTTTTATAAACATTCTCTTAAAAGCCCTGTGAGGTTGCTGTTGGTATCTCCACTTTATAGAAGAGAAAAGCAAGGCAGAGCAATGAAAAGACAGGCAGAGCCAAGCTGAGCACAGTTCTGATCCGATCCAAAAATCCAGACTCCTCCCGATCAAAGGAAGAGAATGAGACATGCTACCATGGGCTGCTGTGGATGACGTGGAAGAACAATGAAGCAAAGGCATGCAAAATTTACACAAGTACATCATATGGACAAGTGAGGCCTGAGATTCTGCACTGCTAACATCTAACAACTGTGGTGCTGATACTGCTGGTCCTATGACCACACATTGAGTAGGAAGTCTTTACCAAGCAATGATGGGCATCGACTCATGGGCAGTTCTATATGAAGAAGAGGTTGGCCTCATTAGACTTAAATACTGAGTCTATGACATAAACACCAGACTTAAAGTAAATTAAGTGGTCATAGTTTGTCTTGAAAGGGTTTGAGCAAATACTATTTCTCATGAGCTCCAAGGCATCATTTCTCAGCCTTTACGAGCCCTCATCCCGAAGATACTTTCCCAGTCCATCATTTTCACGTCCCTGCCAGGCAAGAAGACTTGTCCTGCTTTGCTGTCTGTATTTTTGTATGGAAAAAACCAGCAAAGTGAATTGATATGTTTTATCAAATTACAGTCTCACCCTCATTTCTAATGCATATCCCCTCTGTATGTTGCTGATGCACCATTGAAAACAGCTGAACTAACAGATGTCCTAGAGGAAAGTAAATGTTATATAATAAAAAGGATTGTTCTTCACAATCCACTGTATATGGGACTCTAGAATGAATCTGCTTTTTATCACATTGAATCCAGAGTTATGATCTCTTTCATATGTCTATGCATAAATACATGTATAAATTAAATCTTCTATACTGCCACAAATGAATACATGATACTGTTTAGGAAATAATGCCCTGGTTTATAACTCCGAGGTTAGCTCTGGTTAAATGAATGTCATCACAAACAAATACTGCAATGTACTTTCCCACCCATTCCGCCCTCCCCTTCTGCTCGGTGTACCCATATGGATTCAATTTTAGCAGACACTGAGCCACCCTGGCAATGGGAGAGGAGAAGATATTTGCAAATACCTCTATTCCACAATGTAAGGTTTATGTTCCTTGAGGTAAGCAACATTCCACATTGCCTGTGGAATGCAGCATGGTCAAAGAGAGTCAGTGTGAGATCTGGCCCTGAGGTCTAAGAACCTCATTGGGATGCACATATTAGAACTCCCAGACATTAAGACCAGATTATTCTAAAACAGTTTGCAGTTAAAACCCAGTGCATGGCAGCCCATGAGGCACTAAGGACAGACACTCCGCTGAAAGGTCCCCAAAACAAGCTACCATCTGAACAGGAAGACAGCGTCAGACCTCAATGTCTCAGACTTGACCTACCATTCCCATTCCTTCCACCCTGAAATCCAGGAGGACGAGGGCATCTCTATGAGAATATCAAGGACGGAGTCCCTACACCATAACTCAGCTCACAGACTCCAAAGGGCAGGTGAGGCCTAGGGAAGGAGGATCAGAAGGCATAAGTACAATCTTTTCAGATTTACAAGTTTTCTTACAACATGAAGAAACAGCTCCACAAGGAGTGATTTTATAACCCCATATGATGTCATCTTCTAGCCAGAATCTTTGCCACAGGGGTTTCACAGAAATATAAATGTGTCAGGCTTTACCATAATTAGCTACTTTTTAAAAAATGTATAATTCACATCTTAAATTGCCTAATGGAGATGGGGTTGGTATAGCTAATCAGAAACTTGGCTTCTGCGAAGAAAGAATAATTGAGCTTCTTAATAAGATGAAATAAAAAGATTTCTAGCCCTTACATTCTGGTGCTTAATAAATCAGTATGCAAATGAAAATAATCAAAACAAAAGCTCCCAAGAAATCAGCCTACACATGCATTATGCTCTTCAGTCTGGCCGTCTGGAGATTAGCAGAGCTTCAAGGCCAGGCACCACTCACACCAGAAACCATGCAGCACCGATACAGGATTACATGATGAATCCTTCCTTCCTGGGAGGAAACATTAAAGAGGACAGTGGCCTCTCCTGCCCTCTCAGTGGGATCAACTGAAATCCATCCACCTGGCAACCTTCAGGTATGTGTTTGTAATGTGATAAGAACGAATTCAAAAGTCACTAAGCAAAAAGTTCATTGAAATCGAAATCACTAAATGGGAACCGTGAGCAGCAAGTGACTAACCGCAACTTGGAAAAATATTGCTGGGAAATTGTCCTTGCTCTATTTGCCCGGTTCTGAGGGAAGAAGGAGGAAGAGGCTAAGTCGTGAGAATTGCTAGAGAAACCACAGACGGTTTCAGGGTCAAGGTCTTCATTTGTGGCCCATATCACACTGTCAAAGAAAATGGAAATGAGGGGTAGAGTCCTTGATATTCATTCTGTCACTCTCCTTCCTTAGTCAAAGCAATATTCTGAACTAAGAAACCAAATTTATCGCTGAAATATGTCATTTTGCTAAATACATTTATTTATTCATAAAACTTTATATCACTATTACACTGACAATGTTGAAGGAAAAAAAGAACTGTTATTTCAACATGAACCTTGCCAAAGGCTTAAGAAAACCACATTTTAGTTTTCCCTTTCTCTATTAAAAAATGCATCTCTACTAACCCAAGATCTCTCTTTCATTATAAGTAACTTTAATTTCATTGAAAGGATTTGGGGATGGGGGTAAATTTTAGTTTCATTCTAAATAAATGCCTTCAATTTCCCAGCCTCGGCCCAATCCAACGGAAATTTTTGTAACGGGACATGAGCTACAGCCAAAAAGACTTATCCAGAAAAGCTGCCTGTCTCTGTCTCTCTGAACATCCATTGGCTGAGGCCATTTCACAGTGCCTTCTTTTCATTGCTTATTGATTGGCACTTGCAACCAGCTCCTACGTTTCCACTGTCCCCGACAAGTGATAATGATCCATGAACCATCTAAGACTCCAAGTGTCTTCTGGGAGCACAGTTTGGAAGAAAATGTGCTCAGAAGAATCATTATCACGCGGAGAATCCTTCCACTCATTTATTTATTGATTTATTTATTCATTTTTTTAGTTGTCAAGTCCAGGTTAAGGGGAGATGGCAGGAAACAAAAGAACCATCAAAATAAGCCTTGAAAAGTCTCCATTTTAGTAATCATCCCTACTTCATACATTTCACCTGGTCATATTTTCAGGCTCAGAGGAAATTAAACTTATAAGTTCTTCCCCAGGTGCTTCACAAAATGCCAGTGTTTTCAGGTTTGATGCCAGCAACCAAGATAAAGCATGGCCAAGTACAAAACCACAAAGGAATCCATGACGCTGGGAACACCTGATCATGTTTACGAGTTCATTACACTTCTTCCTATTCTTTCCAACCCAGGGCTCCCTGGCTTCCTCAAGTCTTGGTCAGGAATCCAAAGGGATGATAATCAAGTATACAACTAACTATAGCATGATGTGATGAGTACAGTCATGGAGGTGGGTTCAAAATACCATGGAAATTTATAAAACAGAGTGATGGAATCTGTTGAGGGTATAGGGGTTTGAGTAATTGGGAGCTCATCAAGAAAAGAGATTTGGAAGCAAGACATGGTGGTGCGTGCCTGTAGCCCCAGCTACTCAGGAGGCTGAGGCAGGAGGTTTGCTTGAGCCCAGGAGTTCAAGACCAGCCTGGGCAACATAGCGAGAACCTATCTCTAAAAGGAAATAAAAAGAAAAAAGATTTGGCAGTGACACACAACAGCACTTAAACAGGGTTGCATGAGAGGGAAGTCCCTCATAGCATGAGACCATCCAGAGGGTTATGGTGGGTGTGGGGGCCACTGTCTGGGGTGGGGAGGGGAACTGTAGGGGATGATGTAGCTCAGGAGCATTGTAGGATCATTGGGACAGTGAGCAGTCTTAGGTCTTATAACCATAAGGCTCTGTCTCATCAATGGCTGGCACACGGTGGGTATAGTTCTGTGGGGTATGCAAAGTAGGCAGGCCCTGAATGGCTAGAAATCTGCTTGTTTTGGCTATTTTTAAAACAAATGGATGTGTAAAAATTTGAGGTTGGGAAGGGGTGTAGAGAGCTTCTGAGCTGGTGAACACACAGGTGGTGGGAGGATGGCATGCCTGGAGAGGGCATGGACGCTCTGCACCCCTCCCGCACCTTGCCCTATGTACCTCTGCATCGGACTGTTCCTTGGTATTCTTTGTAATAAACTCATAAATATTTTAAAAATTGAGTTTGGAACCTACAGGTTTTTGAGACTGTTAGGTGCAGTCTGTTGTGAAGAAACAACCTAGGAACCAATACACCGTCTTTGGCTCATTCTTATAACGGGGTGGGGGTGGGAATCATCACAAAAGGGCTGTGAACTAGACCTTGGAGTGAAACTTTGCCAGTCAAAAGGGAGAGGGAAGGCACTCCAGGCAGAGAGGACAGCAAACATGAAGGTTCAGACACCATGACATGGGCAACTTCAAGTCATGCTGTTGATGGCAACAAGACAGGGACATGAAAGCCGATTCGTGGGGCTGGAAGCCAGGGTGTGAGGGAAAGAGACGGTGGGAGAAGAGGATAGACAGAGATGAGACCAACACATGATGTGGGGATTAAGAGCACCAGTTTTGGAGTGCAGCTGCCCAGAGCCCAATCCTGGTTTCATTGCTTTTTAGCAGGAGCCACTGGGCAAGTGACTTAATCCCTCTAGCCTCCATTTCCTTCACTGTAAAAAAGATTTACAAACAATGCCTACCATGATGCCAGATATTCTGACTGTTAGCAAACAACCATAGTCATGGTCTGGTCTTGGATCCCATGCCAAGGAAGGGTGTATGCCATTGACAGTAATGGGAAGAAGGTACTATGTGTAACAGAGAGAGTGACTGGGCCAGATCAGTGCTGGGAGAACATGCACAGGATGGAGAAGAGGCAGGAGGCAAGGAAACCAGAAGACTACTGCACCAGTCCTAGCAAGGGATACTATGGGCCTGAATTAGAACAGTAACACAAGGGAAGAAATGAATGAGAGGAATTCCCAAGAGAGATCTCAGGGAGAACCCACAGGGACTGAAAAGAAGAAAGAATGAGGGAAAGAAAAAATAAATCAACAATGACTTCAATCTTTCTTTGCAGGATTTTCCCATCCTTTGTATCCATGTCACTTAATCTTTCTCTCTCTCTCTCTCTTTTTTTTTTTTTTTGGACACAGGATCTCCCTCTGTTGCCACAATCATAGCTCACTGCAGCCTCAACCTCCTGGGCTCAAGCGATCCTCTTGCCTCTCAAGTACCTGGGAGTACCGGCATGGACCACAACACCTGGCTAATTTTTTACATTTTTTGTAAAGGCAAGGTCCCACTATGTTGCCCAGGCTGGTCTCAAACTCCTGGCCTCACTGACCCTCTCACCTCAGCCTCCCAAAGTGTTGGGATTACAGGCATGAGCCACCATGCCCACCCACCACATCGCCTAATCTTTAAAGACAAATACCATGGTAGAAAGAAGGAAGACCATCATCTTTGAGCGATTCTTCTCCTAGGAGAAAAAAAATGTCACTTTCTGATACAGTATTTTAGAAAGGAGAAGGGAAGAGATGAAGGTAAGTGTGGCTGATGGAAAACATGAAAGCTGGCTACAGCTCCACTAAATTAGCCTCACTGGGATTTATACTGACAGAGTGGCATCCGGCTTCCCCAACACCTTAATGAGCCTTAAATCCACGTGAAATTTCAATGAACCATCTCTATCCTGAAAAGCTCCTGCGAAACATCTAAATCATGAATCAGGGTCTACAGCACGAATCCATTTATATACTCAAAGTGCTTCTGAACCAAAAGAAACTTGGCTTCCACCACCTTCTTAAGGCCACAGATTTTGAACTTATCATATTTTGGAAACCCCAAAGGTGAGTCAGGAGGCTGGATATCCAGGCTGAAGCTTTGAGAAGAATTCCATGGAGATTCAAGACATCTTCAGTGGAAGTTCACAAAAGTGAGTGGAAAGAATACAACAAAATGAAGCAAGTGCTTAACCTACATTTCAAGATAGCTAGACTTTTTTCTTCCTTCCGTCACCTTTTCCTGTAGTATGTCAATGAAGCTGCCAAGTAGATTGCTAAGACTTTATGCTCTAGTCTCCCTAAACTGTCAATGTCCTCACCAGCTTTAAGATCCATTTTCATCACACAGGAGCTTATTGTAGGACTCTAGTTACATTGCCAGCCTCTGGGTATAAAAAGGTCTCAAGACAGGGACAGAGGCAAATCATGCAATAGAACAAAGCACAAGCTAACATGGGCTAAAATGGAGAATAAGGGGATCAAATAAGAAGTGAGGACGTGGAGGAATTTATAGGCTAAGACCAGAAATGATGATGATCATGATGATTATAATGATGGTGGTGGTGGTGGTAGTGATAACTAACATTTATTGAGCATTTAACTCTTGGATAGATACTGCAAGTTGTCCCCAGTATCCCACCTCTCTTTCTTATACAGTAATAGTGCTTTGAGACAGAGTCTCACTCTGTCTCCCAGGCTCAACTATAATGGCGCAATCTCGGCTCACAGCAACCTCCACCTCCCGGTTTCAAGAGATTCTTGTGCCTCAGCCTCCCAATTGGCTGGGATTACAGGCTTGTGCCACCATGCCTAGCTAATTTTTTGTATTTTTAGTAGAGATGAGGTTTCACTATGTTGGCCAGGCTGGTCTTGAACTCCTGTCTTCAAGTGATCCGCCCACCTCAGCCTCCCAAAGTGTTGGGATTACAGGCATGAGCCACCGCACCCAGCCTGTAATCATGCTTTTTAGTTGGGCATCCAGCTAAAGACTACAATTTCCCTGCCTCACTTGTGAATAATGTGATCACATGATTGAGCTTTGGCCAGTGAGATGAGACAGTGTTGTGAGTAACTTTTCGGTCATGTTGTTAAGGGAAAGAGCCATGCCTTCCATATCCCCTTTTCCCTTACTGGCTGGAATGCAGAAATGATGGCAGGAACTGAAGCAGCCACCTTGGACCAGGAGATGAAAGGCATACATTGAAGATGGCAAAACAACAAGCTATAGAAGGCTGGGTCTCTGATCATTGTGGAACCTGCAGAACCAGTCCTAGGCCGTCTACCCTGACCATGTATCACGGAGAAATCAATTTACATCTTTTTAAAGTCATCATTATTTGGGGCCTCTCTGTCAAAGCAGCTGAATTGATAAAACAAGTACTGGGCTACATACTTTACATGCATGATCTTATTTAATCCACACACAGCCCTATAAAAGAACAAAGAGAGTCAAGCCACTTGTCTGAGCTCTCAAAGTAAGTGGCAGGGCCAGGGATGGAAAAAGGCAGCCAGATTCCAGAGATTAGAATACAATGTCTCCCTGTCACACAACAAGTTGACCTAAACCAAGGAAGGAATCTAATAACCCCCAGAAATGTATGCCAGACCTAACAATCTCTCCAGCAAAGAGTAAGTAGGCACAACTCCTTAGTTACTCTGGTCTCCAGGTGCTCAATTTGCCCTCATCTCCTTCCCCAGCCTCAGGGAAGCTCAGGCAGAGACTTGTCCACCTCTCTATTTAAATTTCATTTCCTCCACAGGGTCTGCCTGAGCACTAAGGTAAAATGAGAAAGCTGTGGACACAGCTATTTCCTGATGGCAGCCAGCTCTCTCTACACTAGACTGAGGTCCTACTTGCCCAGCGGTGTGTTTACTGAATTTCTACATTTCTTTATTCTTCTCACCTCCCTTCCAAAAGGTAAGGTTGCCCTCAGTGGATTCAGTGGTATGGCACAACTCAGAAAGAATTGCAAAGTCAGTCCTGGGGACACTGCAGCACAAGGAAATACTGTCAAGTACATTGGATCGAAAATGGCCAGGTCATCCCTCTTCTTTCCCAGGGTTTTAAAATGAAAAATAACTAAAAGCCTTGATAGCACCTAGAGCAAAAAGTGAATTTAAAATTCTCTCTATCTGAACACCAAAGGAAAAACAGCACAGTCTAGTGCACTCACTAGCTCTTCTTATAACCTGACAACATCTTGGAAAACTCCTCCAGGTCTCTTTTTCCATATCTAAAGAGTGGCAGGTGGAAGAACAGCACTGGCCACCCAGTCCCCAAGCTGCAGGGGGACCCAGTGAACTCATGATGGTTCTACTGAACAGAGTTGTCACTGAACAATTTCTTCCTACGTTTGCAAATGAAGAGTGAGTTAAAGGAGGTTTCATTTGCTCGCCAGTTTCATTGAAATTTACTATGTGATTGAGCACCTGAAGAAAAATCACTTTGGAGTGTCAAGCCCTGCCAGAAATGATCTGGAGGCAAAGAAGCCTTTAGCTTTTGAATCTTCTTGCTCACAGCTGGGCTATGCCATCTCCCAGATAAAGCTGGCTCAAATTTACTTGAAAATACGCTTACCTGAAAGGATGTTGTGACAGTTAGGTGAGGCACATGCTTGTTTGGTGTATAGAACGTGCTCAGTAAATACTAGCTAAAATTACTAGTGTTATCACGGACATAACCATCATCATCTGGGACATACCTGTATGAAGCTATTAACACCCTGTGAAAAATCAAGGTTTATCATCTGATATGGTTTGGCTCTGTGTCCCCACCCAAATCTCATCTCCACTTGTAGTCCCCACGTGTCAAGGGAGGAACCTGGTGGGAGGTGACTGGATCATGGGGGTGGTTTCCCCCATACTGTTCTCGTGATACTGAGTGAATTCTCATGAGATCTGATGGTTGTAAAGTGTGGTACTTCCTCCCTTACTCTCTCTCCTGCTGCCATGTAAGACGTGCCTTGCTTCCCTTTCACCTTCCGCCATGATTGTAAGTTTCCTGAGCTCTCCCAGCCATGCAGAACTGTGAATCAATTAAACCTCTTTTCTTTATAAATTACACAGTCTGAGGTAGTTCTTTACAGCAGTGTGGAAACAGACTAATACATCATCTTTTCTAATAGAGCACTAAGTTGGGCATAGCGGGTAGCTTCCTAAGGAAACAAAACAATAAAGTGTAAGTCTTAACTAATTCAATAAACACTGATTAACTACCAGGCTCAGAGCTAGGTGCTGTCTCTGCCCTCAAGGTTCTCAGAAGAGTATAGAAGATCCACGTCGGTGGGGAGGGGAGGGAGACAGAGAGAAGGATGGTCTCAGAGGGCCTCACGCAGAGCAGGTAGCCTAGAACTGAGTCATAAAGGATCTGTAGTTTCTCAGGCAAGAGAAGAGAGCTCTGCCCAAGGTCAGAAAGGCAGACAGCAGCCAGAGACAAAAGACCTCCTGTGACACTCCATGAGGTTGGAAATATACCCCATCGGTCAAGGTAGCCATGTGTATTAATCCACTCAGGCTGCCAAAATAAAGTACCACAGACTGGGTGGCCTAAACAACAAAGTTATTTTCTCACAGTTCTGGAGGCTGGAAGATAAGGTGTTGGCAGGTCAGGTCTGGTTTCTGTGCCCATCAGTCAGACTGGATTAGTATCCACCCTAATGACCCCATTTTACCTTAATCACCTTTTTAAAGGCCCTATTTATCTCTGAATACAGTCACATTCTGAGGCATTGGGGGTTAGGAATTTGTGGGGAGACACAATTCAACCCGTTACACCATGAAAGGACTGGCAAGAGGAGAGCCATTTTAGAAAGAGTGCCGTGTGGTGCTGAGGAGAATGGAATTTGGGAGGGGAGGCTAGAGGCAGTCAGGCCGCTGAGGACCCAGGGAGGAGAACACGGAGGCCTTGCCAACCCGGGAGAAAAGAGGACAAGGTATGGGCCATCTTGCTCAAGACTCAACCCCTTATTATTCACCGCAAATCCCTGCCATCCCCTGTGGGGAGGAGTCCACTTATCTGTGTGGGTTCTCAAAGCAACCCTTCCCTGGCTGGGCCTGATCACCCACTCCCAAAACCTGCCAGGGTTCTCGGAACCCCCAGAAGCTAAACATTTCTACCTGAGGAGCACAAATAAAAACAAGACTTGCAGTGGGTTGAGAACACGAGTCCAGGGCCTGAGAATCAACTCTTCAGAGTGGAAGAACTGGCGCTCTGGTGCCCCCACTGGCCCATCAAGCCCCCTCTAACAAGCACCCCTCACAAATAAAGCCCCAGCAGGAAGCCCATTAACACCTCACAGGGGCAAACCTCAGGCCCGGAGGAGAAACTTCAAAAGACATCCCAGCAGCACAACATGCCAGAAGGGCCATCAATCAAGAACACCATCCCAGGAAGTAGCCGGCTGAACTGGGGAAAAGAGTCAGGCACATAAATTAAATGTCCCTCAGCCCCTATATGGAGCTCAATTTATTGCAATAGAGGCCAACTGGGCTCCTTAAGTTTAAAAAGGATCAAGGCCTCTATAAACAGTATGTAGAACTACCTTCCATGGAACAAAAACACCAAGAGAAATTCTCCCTTCTTTTCTTTTTCTTTTCTTTTCTTTTTTTTTTTAAGAAAATGATCCATTTGTGAAAATAATTCCCACAACACTGAACTCTTTGCCTCAAGTGTTATATAAAAGTCAACTCACTGGTCAACAAGAAAAAAAGTCAGATACAACTACCAATCAGCCTTTCTGATTTGTTGAAATTAATTTCAGAATTGGATTTTCTAAGTGGGGTCGTCTGCCGAAAAGACATGCTAAAAACCTAAAATCTAATTCGTGTTAAAATTAGCTGAAAATCTGAAGCATTGTTTATAGGCTTGACGCTCTTTCTTCTCCCACCCCCACCCCAACACATACAAACGTTTCCCACCAATCCTTGAACTGCAAAAAACAGCTTGGTAAAAATCGGCATCATAGCAAAGATGCAAATAAGGGCTATGTGAGAAACCTTACGATTTCTCAGGAGATTGTTAGTTGTGTAATACCAAAAGGCATCACATATCTTATTTCCACAGAAACCCTCCAATGACCAATATTTGGTTTTCCTTTTTTTGTTAACTATCTAATCTCTTTGCCCTTAAAAATAATCAAAATAGCACTTACTATATCCCAGGCCTGTGTTGAGTACTTTGCAAATCTTTACTCTCGCTTCATTCTAATACCAGTTCTCTCAGGTAAATACTGTTGTTATTCCCATTTTATAAAGAGGAAAGCTGAGGCTCAGGGAGATTAAGTAATTTGCCCCAAGTCACACAGGTAGAGAACAGCAAAATGGAAATCCAAACCCAGGTTTGTCAGACCTAAATCCTGTGCTCTTAATCATGAATTTTAATGGCCTGTCCTCATGCTAATTCAAAAGATGATGGAATCCTCTTCTTCTCAACTGGCCTTTCAGTAAAATACATTTAGAAAGTGTTTGCCATTTAAACTTATGGTTCAAAAAGTAATTCTGAAGAGTATACACTATGAGGTTTAAAAATATCTCTTAAGAATTAGGAGCAGTGGCTCATGCTTGTAATCCCAGCACTTTGGCAGGCTGAGGCAGGAGGACTGCTTGAGGCCACAAGTTCTAGGATCACTTGAACCCAGGAGTTGAAGGCTGCTGTGAACTATGATCATGATACTGCATTCCAGCCTATGTAACTGAGACTGTCTCTTAAAAAAAAAAAAAAAAGAAAGAAAAAAGGAAAGAATTCCATTGGATACCTTAATAAATTACAGTCATAAGATTTGATCTTTTTTCTGGATTGTCATTTCTTCCCTCTTTTTCTGTTTAAAACTACAAGCACTTACACTATGCCGAGTTATGCAAATCATGAAATCCAACTCTAGAACTTGAGTTTATAAAAACAAATGAAAGTGTTACAATGGTTGCATGCTTTGCTCTGTTCACAGAGATGAGAACCAAAACAAAATAAAAATAGGTATGTGTCAAGGAAGAATTTGACTTAAAATTTAGGAAAACATCCTGTACCGCAGACTGTAGGCTCCTTGAGGTCAGAGATCCTGTCTTATTTGACTTTTCATCCCCAAAACCCAGGACAGAACTGGCACCCAGTAGGTGCTTGATAACCATTTGCCAAAATGGAGGATGGATGGATGGATGGGTGGATGGATGGATGGATGGATGGGTGGATGAATGGATGGACGGACGGATGGATGAGTGGATGGGTAGAAGAGTAGGTGAGTGGATGGATGAATGGAAGGAGGGATGGAAAATGGATGGTAAGGTGGATAAGTAGATGAATGGATGGATGGAAGGATGCTTATACCAATGGTTAAATACTGAAATTCTCTGTCAAGAACTCATTCCCTATACGTGTCTATGTCTGTTTTCTGGCTGGATATATATTTTTAAACAGTCCATCCTGGATTAGGACAAATGAATGAACTAGCTGCAAAGCCCACTAGCTCTCTGACTAAGGGTCAAATGCAGGCCACTACTGAACTATCGCCTTCCCAAGGAGAGGCAAACAAATGCTAGCAACTGTACACTCCATAATTGCCCATTTAACAAACACATGGTGAATGCAAATAATTTTTCTGGAAGGCTGCCCTATCTGTTGGCACCAAAACCTATTTATAATCCTCTCCATGTGTCCTTCCTATTCTCGAGTCACTGTGGTGGGAAGCAACATTTATTCGCAAGAAAAATACTTTGGGTCAGTAACTAATCCAGAAAACAAGTCTTGCTGCAGCACTATATGACTCCAATTGAGAGGCAAAAAAAAAAAAAAAAAAGAAAGAAAGAAAACAAAAATATCTGGCTTTCCTGAACACTGCAGCTTTGAGGTTGCAGATCAGAGCTTCTGTCTTTCACCCCAGAAAACACAGGGAGATAGGGACTTCTAAAGACAAGCTATGTGGATAGGGTGAGGTGAAACCCATGTGAAATTCCAGAAAACCCTTCCTCAAAGTGCCTAGGCACTGCAGGGTTCCCAGAAGACTAAAAAGCAGAAAGAAAACTTATAAACAAATAATTTTCCATGTTTAACACAGAGAGAGATAACAGGTAAACAACCAGCAAAAATGCTGAGTAAATGCCAGTGTTCTAACAAGCAACAAAATATTCCTTTTACAGTAAGGGTGAGGCTGCTCTGCGGTTTTACAAAAGCATTTTTACATAAAATATTATTTCACTTGAGAAAGCTAAGGAAAGGAATGTGAGCACTCCATTTCACAAATAAGGGAACCAAGGCTCACTCTCTAAGGTTCAATGACTTGCTGAAGGTCACAGAATCAGGAAGTGGAAATGGACAGATTTCCTGATTTGGGGTTTTTTTCATCTTTCTCTGATATATTTCTCTTTGCTCAACAAAAACATCTGAGGCCACACGTTGAGTGCCAGGTTATACCCAGGTAGATTCCAAGCTGGGAACAGATCCCATCTATATGACACTTCCAGATGGGATTTAAGGATTGGAGCCAGAATTCAAGTTGGCTTCCCTCACTCCAAAGCATGTGGGTCCTCCAGGAAGCGAAAAGAATTCTCCCAGTATTAAGCCAGCCAGAGGAGGAGGGACAGAGACAGAGACAAGAAACCCCACCCACACATCTGGAAACAGATAGGAAACTCAATGTGGACTCTCACCACTCCATCTTAAAGCCATCTCAGAGATAAGTTTCTGCATCTGAAGGCAAACCCTATGGTGGCCTGAACAGATATAATCTGGTTGTCTTTAGTACTATGAAGATTGCCTTTTTAAGAAGCAAATTCTCCATTTCTAATTAGTCAAGCATCACAGCTTCTCTTATTAGACGATTATTTTTAAATTGTCCCCCTTTCCTACCCCACCTATCCCAACAAACTTGCTGTGAACAGAGCCCAAATCAAGCATGAAAAAATGATCAGATTGAAATCCTCAAGTCTCTATACCATACCACCATTTTGCCTTTATCAAGGATGATGAGAAAAAATAAAACCCATCCTACAGAGGTCCCCAAATGTGGCTGAGGATTCAAAATAGCACAGGGGGAGCCTTTCAGAATGATGCGATAGGACCAGGCGCAGTGATTCACACCAGTAATTCCAGCACTTTAGGAGGCTGAGGCAGGAGGATTGCCTGAGGCCAGGAGTTCAAGACCAGCCCAAGCAACATAGCAAGACCAGCCCTCCACCCGCCACGTCTACAAAAATATTGAAAAAAAATAGAAAAATAAAATAAAATGATGGAACATAGGGCCCATCTCCAGAGATTCGGATGAGTGAGTGGTCTGGGGGAACCCTGGTATCTGATGCTCATGCTGGGATTATTTTAAAGTACACCAGGTAATTCTGATGATCAAGCCTGCCTGAGAACCCTACACCAATACACGTAAATACATCTACATCAGGCAAAAGGCTGTCTTGAAAGCTCGGACCTCCACATGAAGACCCACTAAATGCCAAACACGAAGTGAGGTGTATCCTACACACCATACAATCTCATGTAATCCTTACAACATCTGCAAGGGTGGCACACTGATGCCCATTTTACAGATTAAAAATAACACGGCTCAGTGAGATATACTGATACTCCCAAGTTTATGCAGCTAAGGATGTTTGAATTTCTAGGCTTTCCCAGGAAGTTCGCTCTGTGCTCCTAAATTGTGTGGAAAAATCCCCTTCTGAGAAAAAGAGCCAAAGCAAATACTAGAATACAGAGATAAATGTATTGGAGAAGCCAGTGCCGGCATAAGGAATTTCTTGATTTAATTTCACATTATTGATTAATATAACTGGGAAAGAAATGCTAGTGGAAACAGACATCCCAATTTTATAAGCTCCAGGAGAGTCGAATTTTCCGGGCACAGAGAGGGTGATAAGATCCTGTCTGAGATTTCACCACCAAGCAGGAACTAGGCCAAACAATTTCATTAGCCTGTAGTTCAGCCTGCCCCAGCCTGGGTGACCCATTCAGCAGCCATGAGCGGGGATAAAGGCAGAAAATGCCCACTGGCAGGGAAACAAGATACGACTCACCAGGCTGGGGACAGAAGAGGCCCATTTCAATCAAACAGTGGAGTAGACTCAAATCAACTTTTCCTCAGTGGGCATAGAATCAAAGAATCACTGTGGGATCCCCAGAGGACAGAGTGAAGTACTTTGACACCGTTACGCAGGACACCTCCATCCAGCCCTCATTCTCTTAGCAGGATACCATTTCTTCCCAGGATGTGTTGGGGCAGAAGCTAGATGCAGTCACCTTCCTGGAATTAGGTCTGAGCTAAGCGTCAGGAGAGCTAGCTCTCTATGACCACCTCACTCACTCAGTGTATTCTTGGGCAAGTCATTTCACTTTGGGCCCGAGTTTATAAAATAAAGACGTAAAACGACATCATCTTTGAATTCCTTGCCATCTCTGACAGTATACGAAACCAAGATCCACAGTCACAACCAGGCTGACCAGACAAAAGTCTGCAGGGGGATTTAATCCCAAAACGCGGACCACAAAGAAGGGAGAAAAACCAACCTGCATGTAATCATATTCACCCAGGCTCACCTGTTGCGGATATGCATTGCAGAAAAGCATGCAGATAAGGAGAAAATAGTTATATGGGAAGGGAAAAGGTGGAGGCCCAGAGAAGAAGAATGTTCACCTTAAAGGTCCCACCAGGGTAGACTCGAATACAATGGCAAATCTCTGAACCTTCCTTTGGATCTCCAAGTCATTCATCTACAAATATGTATTGAGCAACTTCACTGGGAGACAGGATACTGAGATCAACTATTATCCTTATCCTTATTATGATTACTATTTAATTAGGGCAGCTGGGGAAAAAAAGACATGTCTAATTAAGTGCTCAGATTCTCTAAATAGATTTTTTAAATCCACCATTAAGATTCAGAATATGTTCTATTCTTTCCCACCGGACTCACGTATTCCAAAGGAATATCAGACAGTCACCTTTAAAACAAATGGACCACAAGCCTCCAGGGTCAGAGAACAGAAGGGGTGGCTGCACACGCCACTGGCTGCAGACTGTCTGACTTCCTGAGCAGATACAAGCAAAGGCCAAGTGCCCTCAAGGGAATTCAAAAGCCCCTGCCATCCCCGCTCCCATGCTGTGAGCCTGGGACAGATTTAGCCTCCAGCCACAGAACACTTCACTGCACCAGCTTGATGCTCAGGGCTTATCCTGAACATGGCTAGGATCATGCCCCAGGAAGAAGATCCTATGAGTGAACAAAATTACGCCATCCTAAGAATCCCCTTCAAGAAGTGCTTTGCAATTTCAGATGCTGGAACAATCTATCCTATAGCAGACTGAGAGGTTTGTTTTTTTTTGTTTTGTTTTGTTTAAAAAAAAAGGTTACACAAGTGGCTAAGTAGCAGCAGCAGTGGTGCTCCTCCTGACCACCACCCATGTACTAACCCGCCCTTCTTACACTAACAACTGCTGCTCCTACTTAGCAAACTAATCACTAACCATTAGTCCTACTGCCTCTCACTGAATGCACCCATGTCCATTCCTTTAGGCTTATAAAGCATTTACTTCTCCATTAGCTTATGTGGCATGTAAGATCCTGAGAGATGAGCAGAGCAGGTGCCATTGGGCCCATTGGACAGATAAAGAAACTAATGCTCAGTAGTTCAGAGACTGTCCTGAAGCCTCCCCAGCTGATGAGCAGTGAACTGGTTTTGCTGCCTCATCCCTTACTGCCTGTAGCATGGGTGTGCAGAAAGACAACAGACAACTTTGATCAGTTCCGACGCCAGCAACTAGGAATGAAGCTAAGACATAAGGAACATGGAGCTCCTGCACCCCGTTCCCTGATGGAGTCCCAGTCCCTTGCACAGCTGTGCCTCCTAAATTAAACACACGCACTCTCCATAAGTAGTTTCCTAGGAAAACCAGACTACTGTCCTTTAGGAACCAACCCTGCACCTGCAGAAAAGCCTTCAACAAAACCAACTGTGAAGGCTTTGCCGAAACAGTTCTCAGAACAGCTGTCCTGGTCCTGCCACAGCACAGGAAATCATCCCATCTTGGCAAACCCCACTCAACCATGTTTCCATGCTGCAGCCTTAGAGGAATGAAAATATCAATCTGAGCCAAGCAAATCTAACAGGCTATCATGCAAAATGCTGGTGTCAAATCAAGCCTCAACCAGTAATTATCCATCAAGCAGGGCCATAATAACCGGCTCCCTGGGGTCACTTCGCTGGGAGGCAGGGAGGTGGTTACTAAAGAGGGAGTTGGAATTGGACAAGTGACAGCCTTAAGAGAAAGGCGTTCATCTCACTTTTCTAGATTCTTCTACAGGTTAGGGGGTTCTACCCAACCCTCTAACCAAACCTATCCCCACTGAGGTCAAAACCCATCCTGTGGCTGCCTCGAGGCATTTATGATGACGCACTGGGGCAGATCTCCATCTATCATGCTGTGCCCTCCTTTAAGTTTAAAGGAAGTTGGCTTTAGCTAATGGTCTGAAAGGTGCTTCCTTTACCAACTGCTGTCATTAAACTAGCAAACTATTAATTTAAACTCTTATGGTAAGGGGGTTTCCTGGAAATTCCTTAAAGGAAGTCTGTAATTGACAGTGTGGTTAAACATCATACAGACAGCACAAAAATCCTAATCAAATACAATTAGTGCAGGCTCAAGTCCCCTTGTAGACCAATAGCACTTTTGTTCATAAGAAGTACTGTGCCATACCCCTGTTTAGGGTTGGGACTATTATGGAGAAAGAAACACACACACACACACACACACACACACACACACCTCAAGAGTCCAGGCCTAGGCCTCAAAGTTCATCATGACATTTGCTCCAACTCTATAATCCGACTGAAGAGAAGAAAGAGTTAAAAAAAAAAAAAAAGAAAGAAAAAAAGAAAAAGAAAAGATTTTAAGAAAAAAATGGTTTCTATTAAAATGCATAACACCATCTTTCAAAGATGAAAGGACTTAGTAGAAACACCATAAACCTCAGAATTACACAGTAAATTGCTTCTTTTGTTTAAGGCAAATTAATATTGGATCACAGATAAAAAATAAATCCTCCCAACATCCCCAGCTAAAGGATGCTATATTCATTATGCAGCTTGGAAGACTGCATGTTGACTATTTTGTAGAAAATGAATGAAGGGTTGGTTATAATCACCTTCCCACTCAAATCCTGTCTCATTACCTGAAGTGTTTTTCCTGCAAAGTGACACACAAATGATTTTCTAGTCTTCGCTTTCTTCTCATAAGCCACCATATGCAGGGCGAGGGAAAGTCCGGGGTGTATTAACTATGCCAGTGAATCTGCCCGGGGTCCTTCAAAGTGCTTCCCAGAACACGGTGCACAGACATCGTATTTGCCTAGGTCTTTATCAGAGTCCAACTGAATCTGGCACAAAGGCAACTGACAACCTCTGAATATCCCTTACCGAGCCCATATAATTAGTGAAGGAAATACAGCATGATAACATGTGTATCATCCGAATCTTCCCTCCTTCCTACTCACGCGCTCCTGTCATACTTGCTAACTCAAAGGTGGTCTTTATTTTTATGTTTATTTTTTTGAGACAGGGTCTCGCTCTCTCACCCAGGCTGAAGTGCAGTGGCACAATCATGGCTCACTGCAGTCTTGAACTCCTGGGCTCAAGCAATCCTCCCGCCTCAGCCTCCCACGTAGCGGGGACTACAGGCACGTGCCACTGCGCCTGGCTAATTTTTTTATTTTTTTGTCAAGTAAGGGTCTCACTATGTTGCCCAGGCTGGTCTTGAGCTCCTGGGCCAAGCTCCCACCTCAGCTTCCTAAAGTGCTGGGATTACAGGCGTGAGCCACCATTTCTGGACTCAAAGGTGGTCTTGACTCAGAGGCGGGAACTTCTCACTGCCAAAGCGACCTTAGATCCAAAGTTATCCAGTACGATCCTCAGTGGGAAAAGGCACTGACATGCAGTAGGTATTCAAAAAGTGTTAGACACTACACAAAGAAAAGGGACCAATTATAAAATGTCTGGCTTCATTTCGCCAAGCTCATCAGGAGTCAGCTTAAGGAACACCACATCCTTGTCATTCACCTCTATCACTCCGATTCCACATTCCCACAGAGATGAAATTCTTCCTGAGGTCAGGTTCCCAGGTCGCTTTTGAGGCAAAATTTCTCTTCTAAGAATTTGGTACAGCCTCTGAAGTAGGGTGAGGGTGATGGCATCTAGAACTAGGGACTTCAGTGTGGCCAGAGGACACCCACCTCCACATCATCACCCGGGAGCTGGTTACAAATGCAGGATCAGACCCCAGGCCAGGCCTATGGAATCACAACCTGCAACTTAACTCCAACCCCAGGGAATTCCACATGCATCTAAGTGTGAGAAGCTCTGGTGTACAAGTGATGATTGCAAACAGGGGTCTGGAAGCCCCTACACCACCCCCTGGTTCTCCAGACATTAAAATTGACAAGCTTCAGAAGGAAGAGGGCACTGATGACCATAAAATGAGGCTGTCAACAGCTTGCTGCTCCCCTGTGTAGACAGACCAGGATTAAATCGGCTTCAAGACACCCATCCAAGCGCGGGTGCAATAAAAGGCTCTGAGGATGGAGCCCAGGCGCTGAACTTTGGGGTGCAGTTTTAATTTCGCTGGACAATTCTTGGGCTTCTCTTACAGTGCACCCAAGATTTTACAGACAAAAAAGGCTGCAGAGATCAAATTCCAGCTTCCCCCAGTTACTTAACCACTCAGCCTGGGAATGTTACTAAACCTCTCAAGGCTCTTCCTTCATCTTTAAGTGGCAGTAACAGCTATGATGGAGAGGATTTGGAAGGGGGGAAAGAGAATGCATGAAGAGAGCTTAGAGCACATAAGAAGTGCTCAGTAAACATCAGTTATTGCCTTTTTACCATTCGTAACTCTAGAAGGAAGAACAAACAGGAACATTTTGCTCCATGATCAACTTAGGCATAGGATAGAAGGTAGAGTGGAGGAAATCAATCCAAATGAGCCCAACAGGGCACACAAATTCAAAAATACATTTCTGCTAGGCTCTCCTAATGTGCCCCTTCTGCTTGGTGCCCTGAGCTTCCGTTCCTCTTTACAGCAAGGCATGCCTTTAATTCAGCATGCCCAGTGGTGACTTAGGTATCAACTCATCCTAGGGGCTCCCCCAGGCAAAGAGGCCAATTTTCAATGGATGGCATGTTACCAGGGAGCCTCAGAGGAACACTATAAAAGCACCTCACTCTTTTATCTGTATGTCTCCCCTCCTGGAGTTCAGATGGGCCAAAAGCATGGACTCAGGGGCTCAGGCACTTTTCGTAAGCCTTAAGCCCTCCAATTCCAACCACGCCTAAAAGTGGATGGAGGAAATGATATCCACCTCATTGCTTCACATAAGGGATGATGACTAGCAAGAGAAAAAAAGGCAATGAAAAAATTGCAAAGATGACCATTTTAGTAGCTTGTATTTTAACACAAGGATCTGAGCCAATCACATAAATCGTATACTTCTCACCAGGATATGAACAGACACCGTGCTCTCTGCTGAAGAAAAGGTGAACAGGAGACAAAAAGAGTCAGGGTCTCTGCTCTCTCAACTAACATTTGCCCCAATTTTGCCCCTAGGGGACATATGACATTGTTTGGAGACATTTTTGGTTATCACAACAAGTATCTAGTGAGTAAAGGCCAGGAATGCTACTAAACTGCCTCCATTGCACAGGACAGCTTCCAGCAACAAAGATTTTGTTCAGCCCTAAATGTCAATACTGCCAAGGTTGAGCTTCAACTCTTATCTGCCTGGAACTCCTTCTCTTAACCACTGCACTACATGGTCTCCCTTCGTGTTTCCTATTGTTCTGAAGATAAAATAATTTTTTTAAAACAGGATCACATATCAGATTACCACAGCTCTGTAGCCAATGCTGAAATTAAAATACACACAAAAATGCTCTATGCACATTGCTCTCCTTTGACCATCTCCAATGCTTGCACCCCAAGGCTTTTGAACTTGCTTCGCCCTCTGCCTAAGCAGACTCCCCGCTGCCCCAGCCCCATCATGTAGGTTCAGGGCTCACACCCCACCTCCTTCACATCACCTATGGCCTTCTCAGTATGGCCTTTCCTAATAGTCCCCACTCTCTCCCCCTGCCCTTCCATATCATCCATCACCCTCAGGCGGGTCAGGAGTTTTTATTTGTGTATTATCTTACTCCTCCCCCTAGACTGTAAGCTCCAGGAGGGCAGGCATTTTCTCCTGTGTCACTGCATTTTCCTTACCACCCCTAACAGTGTCTGGCACACAGCAGGAACTCAAAGAATATTTGGTGAAACAATGAATGAATGAATGAATGAATGAAAAAACAAACTAGCTTTGATTTCTTCCTCAGAAATTTGAGAGCCTTAGCTTTCCCCAAGCTTTAACACCATCGGAGGGAAAGACCTCTGTGTAGAACGCGATTCACCTTGCTACAAGATGAACAATAACCACTGTCCTACATCAGGGGCTGGCACATTTTTTCCTGTAAAGGGCCAGATAAGTGCCTTCAGCTTCACAGGCCTATTCAGTCTCTGGAGCAACTATTCAACTCTGCCATTATCGCACAAAAGTGGCACAGAAAGTACGCCAACAAGGGAGCATGGCTGAGTTCCAGCGAAACTTTATTTAAGGACATTGAAATCTGAATTTCATAGACTTTTCATGTGTCAAGAAATATTGTTCTTCTTTTGATTTTTTTTTCCCAACCATTTTAAGATGTAAAAACAATTCTTAGCTCACAGGCTATACAAAAGCGGGAGACGGGCTAGATTCAGTCATGAACTTAGATGCTTCATCCAATAATACGACACCACATTAAAACGACCCAGAGTCCTTTCACAATGGCCATCTCATTCATCCTCAGAACGACCCTAACAGATTGGTTCTTCATATCCTTCTTTACCCCAGTTTACCGCTGAGGAAACTGAGGCACAAAGTGACTCATTGATATAGTTCAGATATTTGTCCCCTCCAAATCTCATGTTAAAATGTGATCACCAATGTTGGACATGGGGCCTAGTGTGTCATGGGGGCAGACCTTGCCATCCTGGGGTAACGAGTGACTTGTCGCTCTGTTAGTTCCCACAAGAGCTGATCGTTAAGAAGAGCCTGGTACCTTCCTCCCCTCTCTCTCTTGCTCCCTCCCTCACCATGTGATAAGCCAGTTTTTCTTTGCCTTCAATCCTGAGTGGAAGCTTCCTGAAGCCCTCACCAAGAGCAGACACTGACGTCATACTTCGTGTACAGCCTGCAGAACCGTGAGCCAAGTAAACCTCTATTTCTTTTTTCTTTTTTTTAGAGAAATGTTGTAAAGCTTAGCACATCCCAGCACCAGTAATGGTATGGAGTCGTAGCAGCAGGGACAGGCAGGTGACCCCCACAGAGTCTCACATGGTGAAGAGGATGAGGAAGGCAACCATCAAACAGAAGAGCCCCATGACCTCAGACAGGGCAAAGCCCAGAATGGCATAGAAGAAGAGCTGCTGCTTGAGAGACAGGTTTCTGGCACAGCCAATGATCAGGCTGCCAAACACCGCTCCAATGCCAGCCCCTGAACCACCCACACCAACTGTGGCTGCCCCAACACCAATAAACTTGGCTGCTGTGTCAATGTCCCCGGAGACAACACTGGTCTGGAACTCCTATGTGGCCACCTGGAGTAGGGAACTGCTGTAGGAAGGCTGTTTAGATGAATTCTCTGGGCTATTCAAGAAGGAGGCAGACACAGGCCTGATTAGACCCCTGGTACCACAGTAAACCAGAGCTAGAGAAATGAGTAGTGCCCCGGGGGTCTGCATTTTTTAAGTCTGCACTCCCACTGCCCTGCAGCCCCTGCTAAGCCCACAGCACTCGCCCAGCTCTAACCCTCTCTTCTTTAAAAATGACTCAGCCTCAGGTATTCCTTTATAGCAACACAAACAGACTCAGACAGTGACTTATCCAAGGTTGCCGAGCCTTGGCCTTCTGACGCCACTGCCAGAATTCTTCCTGCACTTAAGGGACTGTCTCGAAACCTTGCCAATAATGAATACAAAGACCTCAACTAATCCATCATCAATTCAGAGAACAGCAGGGAGTATTCCAGTGAATCGAGCATTGGAATCAGCAAAGATTCTTGTGGGAAGACACAAATACCAAATCAACAAGAGGATCACTGGGCCTCATCCATCTTATGGCACAGATGGTCGTTCAACTTGCCTTGGAGAAAGAAAAGGTGGAGACCAGCATCCTCCTGCCCTTTGGTGTTACAGGAAAAAGTTAATGACACAGAAAATTGGTTGTGTTGCCCAGGATTGCAAACGAGAATCTTAAAGATGAAGGCTTCATAATAAACACACAAAGGTTATATGTTAGTACCTAAGCCAGAATTCTTTTTTCCACCTTAATTTCACAAACGTTCTGGAATGGTAATTAAGACACTCAAACCAAATGCAAACACTGGGGGTGGGGGAGATTTACCTCCCAAATCTGAGAAGTCTGAACTGCATTCCTCTTGCTAACGAATTTAATAATCTCTGAATATAGAAAATATCACCTTTTAACTGTCTCTGAAATTATTGCAACCAGTATTCTCTCTGTGTATGTGAGACATGGCACAGAAACACTAAGTTTCTGTGTTTCAAGTTTCAAACACTAAGTCAAGGAAGGGTACTACCCTGGCCCACCTCTCCCTCCCTCCCCACCCCCAACCCCCCCCCCCCCCAGTCATGACATTTGGAAGCACTGGCAGAAATGCAAAAGTAGCCTTGAGCTCCACCCCTCAAGACCTGCATACCTAGACTCAGGAGGGAAATGGCCATACAAACCAATGACCTAGCTAAGCATCTCATGTGCAACCTGGAGTTGTTCCCTATTCCCACAATGCTTTTGCTGGGGAATTTTTAAGGCAATTGTTAAAGCCTAATGGAGTCTCCAAGAAAACATCTGAGATATGCTGATTGGTGAAACCTAAAAAGGCTGCGCACCTGAGGCTGCTCTTCACACTCTGGAATTCCAGATGGCACCTCCAGTTGGGTTCTGTCCATCACATTGGTAGTATTTGGTTTACTCTATCTCCAAAATGCTTTCCCCTCTCCCACCTCTTCACTGGTCCTACCATCTAGCCTGAATTCAACTCCCTAAAAAATACTTTTCATCATGCTCCTTCTTGTTTAGAGAACTTCCATAGTCCTTTTCTGGAGAAACTCCCTCTACCTCAATAATAGCCTATATTGATGACCCTATAATTAGTTTCCCAAACCAGGACACTTAAAATAAAAGGGGCACTGTGAATAATTATGCTAGGACAAGAGCAGTAAACAGGATTGTCCAGGGAAAACTGGGACACACAATCACCCCAACTCTAAGGCCTGGGAGGGAGAACACCCTGACTTATTCTCTTAACTGTACTACCTATTTAACTGAACAGTTCCTAGCACAGCACCTGACATAACACAGGCACTCGATAATAAATATTTGTGGAACTGAATCTATAAAACAGGAGCCCTAAATGATATCACAGATACTACTAACTAGAATGCATTTGCCTCCACAAAGGATCCTGTAGAGCGCTACTAATTAAAATCATACCAGAAAATTACTGCTTCTGATAGTCTATTTCATTTTCTTTCTACCCTGGATGTTTTTAAATCTCTCACTAACAGTGATTTTGTATATCTTAATAATTATTAATAGTACATTCAGTCTTCTATAACTTCAGGTTCTGCATCTACAGATTAAATCAACCACAGACTGAAAATATGTAGGGGAAAAAATATAACAATTTTAAAATACAAATAAAAAAATACAGTGGAACAACTACTCACATAGCATTTACATTATATTAGTTATTAATATTATAAGTGATCTGGAGATGACTTAAAGTATATGGGAGGATGTGTGTAGGCTATATGCAAATACTATACCATTTCATAGCATTGACTTGAGCTTCCTTGGATTTTGGTATTTGAGAGGGGTCCTGGAACCAATCCCCCATGGATACCCAGAGATGACTGTGGTTACCATTACTGAGTCCTGCATTTGCTAAGTAGCCAAGGAACCTCAGCTACATTCTCTCAGCAGCCCTAATAAGGAAAGTGATAGTGTGCCTAGTCTCCAAGTGAAGAAACTGAGGCTCTGCAAGGATAGATAATTCACTTGTGGTCACAGACTCTGCCCAAGGTCATTCCCTTCCATTGACCAGAAAACTCACCAACCAGAACATTTCAGTTCCAAAGCATTATTTTGTTTAAACGATTTCATGACCTAGCCGAGGTGGCATAACATTCAGCATACTAAAAAAGCCATGAAATGGGCCATGCATGCTCCAACTATACCACTGACTGTCAACTGCATTTGCTGTAACATAATGCAGATTCAAACTCAGGGAAGCCAGAAGACCCAGAAGAAAGCCAGCAAGACTGGATGATAACATATCACACGAGCCTTCTATGAGCAGAAAGCAGAAAGGCAGAAACTGGCATCCTCTTCTCCAACTTCCAAAGAAGTTTTGCTGGCCAGCCTCGCAAGTGGGAAACATAATTTCCTGAGCAATGCAAAGAAGGAAGTCCCTGCTTGCCTGAAGGGAGGTGAGGAGAAGGCTGGGAGGAGGAAGAAGAGATTCTATTATTAAACAAGACAGATGAAAATTCCTTTTGAAAAAGGGAAGGGAACTTAGGCTATAAACTCTCTGAAAGTGGAGACTGATTCAACCCAGGGGTTGTCCCAAACTTCTCCAGCATTTTGTCCACCTTATCTTTCTCAATGAACTTCCTCCACACACAAAGTCTAGAAAATTTATCTCCCATAATGCTTTGATTTATGGTCATTTCAAACAAAAGGTTTTGGGCTTTTATTTTTTTAAGTAAAATATACATATTTAAAGTTCCCCTCCAACCTACTCATTTTAAAGTATGTATAAATATCCCAAATCTATAAGACTAGGCTCTCATGAGTACATTCCTCAAAGTACAAGCTATCAAATATTTTACAGTAATACAATGGGTTGTTGACTCCTCTCTTAAAAAAAGAAAAAACAAGAAACTCACATACACTTACAAGAATCACTAACCAACTTCTCATAAATACACTCCCAGGAAATTAACTGAGCATCTCAATCCGAACAAAGGGAAGGCTTTGTCTGCCAAACAAGACATTCTCTTCATTAATGTCTCCCTTGTATTGATTATGAAAGACATGCTGTACAAACAGTGTTTCCACAAAGAGGAGCAAGGAGCAAAGTTTTGCTGCAGTCACTGAATTTAATAGTCACCCACTCCCTGCACATTAAATTCTGCTCCTGGAAGCACATTCAGCCACCATAGATCTCAAAGGCTTTAAACCAAGCAAGGTGGGCATGGTGTTTCCTGCAGCTCTCAGCCATATAAACATTCAGTCTAAAAATGAACTGGGTTCTAAGAACAGCACGAAGTAACATTCTTATCTTCATCATGCATAAATTGCAAACAGCAGCTCACAGTCTCCAACCCTTCCCCCATTTCTGGTTCAAGGGCCCCCTTTTAGTCACATGGCTGCAGTCTAGAGCCAATATTGCATGAAATGGAAGCAGGGTTTGGTTAAGATTGGTTTAGCAGTAGAAAAACAGATAGAGGTGTAAAAAAAAATGTTTTGGCCTATCTCCTGCATAAACACTGATGTGTGAGGTCTTACTAAACAGAAAATGAACACATGGCTGACTAGATTTGTCAGCCTCCCCAAGACCAAGTTCTGGCCAGTGGAATGGGAGAAGAAGTGATGGGGACCTCTTCTGGGCCTGATTCAGTAAGCTCAATGTCCTTATCCCCTCCAGCTAGATGCCAAAAAAGTAGATGACCTTCACCGTGGCCTTGAAAGCCTGTGTTAAAGATGGAAGATTCTCAACATGGAAGGAGCCTAGGTCCCTGAAACACCAAATGGAGGAGAGTTCCCCAACCAAGAACACCTACTCTAAGCTATTCACATCAGTGGGAAATTAAGTTTTTCTTGTGTTCATTCACCAAGATTTTGGGGCTTACGTTACAGAAGTTCATGTTACCTTAAATAACACAGGCAATATGGAAAGTCCATTTATAAATATCAAAATTAGAGGCCCCACTGGATCTCAGGCTTGCTAGCATATGCCTATCCATGAATTCCAATGTCTCATGTCATTCATGAGTTCTACTCTATTCCACACCTCTGCAACCATGGTTGTGGGGGCGGGGGCCTTTTACTGCAATTTTTGGTTTTAGAACAAGAATATCACGAGAGTAAGATGAAATTCCTCTATCAATGTTCAACAGGTATAAATTGAGCATCTATTATATGCCAAATCCTTCTCTTAGATGTTAAGGTACAGAGACATGTTTTCTGCCCCCTTATATAGGGGAAAACAGGAGACTCAAAAACTGTACTTCAAATACACTGTGTTAAAACAGAAGCAGGTACAAGATACAAAATAATAGAATGCTGTCTTAGTCCCTTTTCACACTGCTGATAAAGACATACCCAAGACTGGGCAATTTACAAAAGAAAGAGATTTCATGAGCTTATAGTTCCACATGGCTGGGGAAACCTCACAATCATGGTGGAAGGCAAAGAGGAGCAAGTGACATCTTACATGGATGGCAGCAGGCAAAGAGAGAGATTGGGCAGGGAAACTCCCCCTTATAGAACCATCAGATCTCATAAGACTTACTCACTATCACAAGAACAGCACAGGAAAGACCTGCCCCCATGGTTCAATGACCTCCCACAGGATCCTTCCCACAATTCAAGATGGATTTGGGTGGGGAAAATGTTACTACTTGTTTGGGGGAAGCTGGTTAAGAAAGTCATCATAGGGAAGATAACCTGGCAGGGGTGTGAAGGATTATAGTCATTCTGGTTGAGCTGGGGTGATGGTGGTGATGATGGTGGTAGTGGTGGTAGTGATGGTGGTGGTGGCGCGGCAGTGGTGGTTGTTGTGGTAGTGGTAGAAACAGCAGGAGTAACAGTAGCAGCAACACATAGAAGGAAGAGAAAAGCATTTAAGAAAGAAAAAATCTTACTTGCAAAGAGGTTCAGGGGGACCAGCTATAAGAAAGACTGTCACACCACATAAATAATCACAAGAGATAATTACCTCTGCTGCTGCCACATTTCTCATATATGATCATAACCACAAGAAGCAATCATATCATCATTGCCAAGTTAAGGATAAAGCTGATGGTTGGATAATCCAGGCTTATGGAAAATGGTCAAGATTTCCTTTATTCAGGGGACCAGAATGAGACAGAGTGACCCTGTTATTTCTGACACATCTCAAGGTTAAAAAGGTTTATTTTGCTTTGTTTTTCCCAGTTATTGGATATGATGCACACCCTTGCTTCAACAGCAACAGGGAAAATGTAAACTCTGCTTTACAAAAGCAAACATCTATTGAGCATTTCCTTTTTGTTTTTTGTAGTCACTGATACGTGCTTTACAATTCTTATTTAATCCACACGACAACCCTGGCAGAGAAGGAAGAAGGTTACGATACTTACTTTACAGAGGAAGCACCTGAAGCCCAGAGAGGGTGAGAAACTTGCCAGGGTCATGAAGCTTTAAATAAATGACATGAACCAGCTTTAAACCCAAACAGTCTGACCCCAGAGCTGAGTTGATCAGATGGGTAAGCCAAGGGGTAGGCATTACAGGCAGAAGGAACAGCAGTACAAAGGTGTCATGGACGGGGGTAATAGAACAGTATATGGAGGGAACTACAAGAAGTCAGAGGAGAAAAGAATTCCTAATCTGGGTGTCTCAAGGTCGAGGAGACCAGTGAGGATCCTCTGTCCTAAGACTGGTAAGTGGATGAGGATTTGCTTGCATACGAAACTGTGAGGTTAGTACTCATGGTAGATTGCAAAAAACACCCCAATTCCATACACCTTGGCACTGTGACTCTGCAGTGCCATCCTGGGAAGTGCAGTCTGCCAGGAGCCTTGATGCTGGGCTCGGCCATGTGACTTGCTGTGGCCAATGGGATGGCAGCAAACATGGTGGGGGGCGGGTGAGAAAAGAACTTAAAAGCAGTTACATGAGTGGCTCACTGGCTCTTGTACCTTTGCCAGATCCATGAGAATTTGCCTGGGCTACACCACTAGAGGAGGATGAGAGAGATACAGGAAGCTGAGACAAATCATCTCAGTCATTCCCCTCAGCCAAAGCCATCCAGACATGAGCAAGGCCAGCCAAGACCAGCAAAGCCCTCTGGCCAGCCCAGATGTGTGAACAACAAACACTTACTACTGTGTGCTACTGAGGTAGTTTGCTGGGCAGCATTGTGGTGGCAATAACTGATGAGTACTATTGCCACCATTACCATTTTACAAATGGGGAAACCAAGGCCCAGAGAAGGGAAGAAACAGGATCAAGATGACATGGCTAGCAAAAGCAGCAATCTGAAAGCAGGCAGCGGTGCCAAAGCCTTTGCTCTTAGCCATTTTCATGTGTTAAAACTTCTCTCAAGGAAGCAGCAAAAGCAGGATCTGTCTCAGCAGGAGGCAAAGCATGCTGCCTGGCTCCCAGGTGGGGCCACTGGGCTGGGAGAAAGAGCTCTGGATATCCTGCTAATTGGCAGCATTCGCCCTCTCCAGTCATTGATTTAGGTTGGCAGTGACGGAGACCATCTGCTCGCACTTCACATCCTTGCCCTCCCCGGGAGCTCTGCAACACGCACAGGGAGCCCGGCACACCTGAGCTTACCCCACCTGTCCCTGCACTGAACCGTCACAGCTCAGACCCTTCCCTCCAAAGATGCCTTCTGGGACCAGCACCTGGAGCCAGCAGGGGCTCTCTCCCCAGCTGTGCTCTTCCCCTCTGAATCTTCCCGGCTTGGCAACCCCTTCCAGGAAGTCTGCAGCAATGTCTCCAGCACCTGCCTCTGCTCCCACCTTCCATCACCTCCCCTCCTTGTTTCCAGATTGCTTATGCCTGGCTCTGAGGTTATCCCATTTAGAGGTCGACTGTTCTGACAGCCAGCTGTATATGTCCCCTCTCCCCTCCCTGTGGTCCCTCCTCTAGCCAAGTAACGAATGATGGCTTGGCAAAGAAAGCACAAGCCCTTGCCAAAATAAAAGGTCTGTCGGAGCAACTCTCAAGAGTTACTGTGTCCTCTTAGCCCTCCCGCCTGGGGAACATTTCCTGCGAAGTTTCCATCTCTGTCGGACACCAGAATCCCAAGGTGATCACTGTAAATTTAGCACCTGGACTAGGTTTCTCAAAGTGGCACAGCACAGCTAGAATCCCTGAGGGTGCCTGTTTGATTCCAAGCCTCATCCTGGCCCTAATGAATCGACTATCTGAGGGGGACCTCTGAATAAGTTTCCAAGTGATTGTCCCACTCCAACATTTGAAAACAGCCTTTCTAATGTGCAGGACCGTCCATCCTGGTCAAGTCATCCAGTAATTTACATGCATCATCTCACCTCTGCCTCACTTCAACTCTAGAAGCAGATACTATTTTGTTCCCATTTTAGATATGAGGAAACTGAGGCTTTGTGATGTTATATAACCCCAGGTCACACGGCTAATACGTGGCAATGTTGGACTTTGAACAAAGCTCAATCCCATACTCAAAACTCACTCTGAAATACTCCTGCAATAGGTGACTTGAGTATTTCAGGACACTGATGAAACTGGTTATCTGCGTTCGCTTGTCATCCTTCTCTATGGTCCCTAAAACCATGGTGAATGGAAACGCACAGATCAGACACCTGATTTTTGGGACATTCCTTCCACAGTCACTTTTGTTGAGTGAGTGGAGAATAACTACCATGTTTCCAGAATTTGAAGAATGACTTGGTGATGCCTCCAGTTCTCAAAATGTTTCTCTTGGAGTTGATTTTAAGTCCTATTCCAGCCTCACTTCCCACCCCATGACAGAAGGTGTGGTGACTTAGGAGTAAAAACAATGCTAGTAATCTTTATAACTCACCATCACAGAGATAATGCTTTCAATCACCTCCCACCTCATCTTATTTTTTTATAGCAAAGCATGAGACACAAAATAGGTAAATAATGAAACAATGGACAATTAAAGCTGAACTGCTAAGCAAATAATAACGGAGTGAAAGGAACGGCTACATTTGCTGAATGCTTGCCAAGGCCAATAACCTGTGTTAAGCTCTTTACACATATTATCTAATTTGGCCCTAAGTGATATGATCTCCATTTTGCAGATGAATAAACTTAAGGTGACAGAGGTTAAAATAACTTGTCCAAGATCAAGCAGCTAGTTGATGGTACAGCTGTGACTCCAACCCACTCCTGAGTCACTCTGAAATCAATTGCTCTGAAAATAACTTGCTATGCAAAGTGTGGTCCCCAGACAGGCAGCGTCAACATAACCCAGGAGCTTTTCAGAAATACAGACTCTCAGGCCACACCCCAGACCTATTAAATCAGGACCCAGTGAGTGCAGTTAAGTCTGAGAAACGTTCGTCTAGAATAGGGTTGCTTAGCCTCTGAACTACTGACATCATGTGCAGGGTAGCTCTCTGCTGGGGGGGTGTGGGGGGTGCTGTTCCATGCAGTATCCCTGGCTTCTACCCACCAGATGCCAGTAGCAACTCTCACCCCTTTACAAGTCATAATGACCAAAAATGTCTCCAGCATTGCTAAACGTCCCCTGGGAAAGTGAAATAGCCCCCAGGTAGAATAGAACTGCTGGTGTCTATAACAGCGCTGTTCTGCCAGGCTGAATTTCTGGCATAAATCTGGGGTTTGTGGGCAAAAATTACAGAAGCCAGTCTAATAGGTGTCTGTAAGCCAAAACAAGAGCCTCTGAGTTCCAAGGTCTGGGTTTGGCTACAGGTCTGTCACTGACATGCTCTGGTGACAGAATCACAGACTTGCACCTCTGCATTCAGCACCAGTGCAAGGCTGGACTCTGGCATGGCTTCCCCAAACCTTGCTGCCTATGAGGATCACCTGGGAGTCATTTTTAAAATATTGATTAAGGCTCCCCCTCCCCCACTCCAACCACCCAAACCAAATCAGAACCTCCAATGGGGCCCCAGATGTTGCTTATTTTTCAAGACAGGGGGATGGGTGTCTCACTATGTTGCTCAGGCTGGTCTCCAACTCCTGGGCTCAAGGGATCACCCCACCCCAGCCTCCCTAGTAGATGGGACTACAGGCGCACACCACCCACCACACTCAGCCCCCGCTTTTTAAACAAGATCCTCAAAAGATCCAAATGTACCTAGGCCATGAACAGGCTTTTAGGAATCACTAGACGAGAACACTCCCAGGGACCCTAAATTGTAGGATTTGACCTCTTGTGCCCCAGGCCTCCTCCCTACCCAGATGTGTCACTTACAGCTTACTTTGAAGTCACCAGACCCGAGAGAGTCCTCAGACTCCCAGGGCAGCCATCTAGCCCAGCACGGGCTGCCCACCTGCTGCCACTGAGGTGACATCGAAGAAACAGGACTCAGCAGTGCCAGAGTCAGGAGTCTGGCATCTGGTTTTCTTAACACACATGCCACTGCGCCTGAGTCCACCCCGGTGAGAAGCCAGTGAGCTAATTACATTAACACAGCTCGACCAAGCTGGGCAAGGCAGGGCTGCTTCAGCCATGAGCAGTCGGGGAGAAATGGGACTTTTCTGCCGCTGCAAAACTATGGGAGGCACTGAAGTGGGCCCAGAGGAGCCCTTCCTCCCAGCCACCAACTCTCCCCACAGCAAGGCGCTGATGACTGCCCTGGGGGTGTGGGGTACACCCAGGTAAGACCTAGAGAGTGAGAATGATTATCTTGATGGAGAAAACTCAATGGAATGTTCTCTGCAGAGCCAGAAAGAAAAGCTAACATTGACTGGGTGCGTCCAACTTTTGAGGCATTTTACATCTCATTTCACCAGCTTTCTGAGCCCAAAATTACAAGGTTGAGTCCAAAAGCATTTTACCATTTTTAATCAGGAATCTGCCTGATGACTTTTTTTCCTCTCCACACAAAATTTTCTTTTTCTCCCCATAAGTCCTCATGCATTCATTCACAGCCCTTCCTTGGCTTCCGCTGGTCAGTTCCTGAAGCAATCCCTGGCCACAGAGAAAGCGAACGGGTACTAACTGTGTCCCGTGCTGATGTCCCACTGGTGGTGGCCAGAACTCCCAGGAAGATCAGGAAGCACCATCATAATCAGGAGAGCGGAGGCCAGCTTCCCAGTCCTGCAGGGCCTCTAGGGGACACAAGATACAGGGCCCAGGCACGGAAGGTCTCACTGGTCAAGTCCCAGTAAGAAGAGGAGCTCCCAAGTGAGAGAATGGAAAGACTCTTATTGTTGGCTACTTGAGGTGTGCCAGGAGCTGTTCTAAGCATTTACATGGATTTGCTCTTTTATTCCTAAACATGCACACACTTTAGAAGGTGGGTATTAAATGCCAGCCCCAACGTGCAGGTGTGCAGTGAGGCTCTGATAGTGTTAACGATTTGCCCGAGGCCACATAGCCAGGAAGTGTGGGGTTAGAATGCAGATTTGGGGTTAGAATGCAGACATGCAATGCCACACACCACCCTGGCAATGTCTGAATGGACATACTCCTACCATCTAACAACAGTTCCTTCTCTCTTGTAACTAACACCTTTAATCACATTACCTGTTAATGACTTGTCCGAGGTCATACAGCCAGGCAGCAGCAGATCTGGGGTTAGGATAGAGACAGGCAATGTCGCGCACCACCCTGACGATGTCTGGATGGGCATATTGCTCCCATCTACCAACAGCTCCTTCTCTCTTGTAATGAGCACCTTTAATCATATTACCTGCATCTATACATTACTCTCTAACCTAAATATTATGTAAGACTTTGCTACACAAAGTGTGGCCTCAGGCCAGCAGCATCAGCATCACCTGGGAGCTTGCTAGCAAGGCCGAATCCCAGCTCTGCCCCACATCTACTGAATCCAGATCTGCACTTTAACCAGAACTCCAGGCGATTCCTATGCATGTGCAGATTTGAGGGGCGCTGATATGGCACTTTTCTTGCTGACTCAGTAGAAGGGCCTGCCTCTGAATTCTCCTCTCCTGGGTTCTGGGCCTCCGTAGTGCTTGGATTCTAACTGAAGATTTATAACTTTCCATTGTTAAAATTCTTTCATGAACTCTTTCCTGATGATGCCCCACGCTGGTGTCTCTCTTAACTCAGTTTGCACTTGACAGTCTGAATTGCACCATGAGCTCCTTGGAACGTAGATCAGCTACCCAATTTAACACCTGGTGCTCTCTCCATCTGGATCACCTTGTTTCTCAGATGCGGGGAGTAGGGCTAAAAGTTAAGGGACTAATTTCAGAGGGAGTGGAGATAAATCATCACTCACAAATCAACTGATTTCCTTCCAATTAAATTACTAGCAATCTGAGGAGATGACTTTTTTTCCCCACAGCAACCAATGGGTACTCGAAAAATGTACATCTTTATTAACTGAGTCATCTGGCCAATTATTATTTTCCTAGACTGTTCTAAAAGCCAAGCATTTAGAAGAAATAAGAGAAGAATCTGGGCACAATAGCTCACATCTATAATCCCAGCACTTTGGGTGGCCGAGGCAGGAGAATCGCTTAAAGCCAGGAGTTCAAGACCAGCCTTGGCAACACAGCAAGACCACTGCCCCGCCACACCCCAGGTCTTTACAAAAAAATGTAAAAATTAGCCAGGCATGGTGGTGCAGGCCTGTAGCCCCAGCTACTCAGGAGGTCGAGACAGGAAGATCCCTTGAGCCCAGCAGTTCAAGCTGCAGTGAGCTATGATCATGCCACTGCACTCCAGCCTGGGTGACAAAGTGAGACACTGTCCTAGAAAAAAAAAAAAGTAAAAAAGAAGAAATAAGGAAAGAACAGTTGAGGTCACACGTGTGGTGTCCTAGGAGTCCACTCATGTGCTGCTAGGGAAAGAGAAAGAGGTGAGCTGTTTGCTCACAGCTGTGCCTTACCCTAAAATCAGCAAGGGCCACGTGTCTGATTAACAATTTCCACAGTGACTGAAGCCAGGGTTTACTGGATGGCACTTCTGATTTGCCAATGACTTTCTTTCTGCAAAGGCTCTCAGCCTCCCTGCCTGGCTAGAGAGAGGCTGACTCCTTCACCCAGCATCTGGTGGGTGGACCTGAAGGAGCTCACCGTTTGCAGACCATAACTCATGAGTTCATTTTCTCCAGGCTGACTATAAATACCAGACCAGGCTCTCGGCTGAGCACTTTACCTGCATTATGGAATTTAATAATCACAAATGCCAAGGAGGGTGCTCAGAGTGTCGGCTTGGGGCCATTTTGCAGGTCAAATGAGCATCTGTGAGCTAAGCGATTTGCCCAAGATTAGAAATCTAGTAAGTGACTGGACCAGGATTTGAACATGACCACCAAATGCTAGGCCACATTTCCTAAGAGGGAGAAAAAGTACTTCAGATCCTGAACCTTCAGGTTTGGTGCCTCCCCAAAATTACCTAGCAAAATTAAGGTGTTTGCTTTCAGGGACTGGGAAGTGCCCTCTTGTTACTTCCTGGATCCCAGGGCTCTACTATGTGTCCATCAAGGACACACTCTGAAACCTGTCCCTCCCAGGAACTCCCAGGCAGCAGGTTGTACAGTCAAAGGCAAAAGAGACCTGGGCTTGTGGCCCAGCTGTGGAAACAAGGAAGAGGAGTCCTTCCTTGAGCATCTTTCTACTCCGTTCCCAGACTCTAGTCTTATCTCTTATTCTAGAATGCTCTGAAAAGCTCCTCCACTTTTTTATAAGGCAGAAAAACTTAGATACCCTCTGATCCTCAAGATCCTGAAGGACTCCGAAGGCATAATGAAGTGTCCTGAACAGCAGGTGCTGTTTGCTGTAAATGCTGAGCTAGCGGAGGTAGGGATGGAATCAAAGGGCTCCATCCAACCTCCTCACAAGGGCAGAGATCAAACCTGCCCTCCCACCCGTGATCCTACAGAGATCAGAGCCTAGGGAACTTCCTCCCAGTTTACTCCCTAACGTCACCAGACTTACTTGCCAACCTACCGCAATAGTTCATTTCCACTACTCCGTTCTTATTTCTTTCACAGAATCAGATGCACTGAAAGCTAAAGCTCTGTGGACACACCCCACACCAAACCCAGGTCAAAAACTGACCACTTTGGCATCCAACTATAACCCTCCCTTGCAAGGGATTTGCAACTCCTCTTCTAAGATAGACTTTGTGGGGAAAAACATATATGTAGCTTCAAGAGAGCCAATGTCATCATTATCAGAGCACTGTGTTCACAAATCCCTTGCCTATTTGTTCCTCTCTTAGCTCATGTCATTCTTTCTGCTCATTTCACAGAGAAATACCAAACTAAAAAACGAATAAGTCTCGTGTTGGTAAAACATCAAAGGGTAGAAGAAGTCAGAAGTTCATTTGCCTTCTTCCTTGCTCGTTCATTTCTAGTATCCTTGGTTCATTTTGTCCCCTGATTAGCTACGTGGCTTAAAACAAATCATTTAAAATTCTCTGTGCCACTCATCGCCAAGCTGGGACTAATAAATCTAAATTCTTACCTCCCAATGTAAAAAAACAAGAGGCCACTAAACCCTTCGCAAGCACCAAGGCTGCCAGAGGAGAGGCAATATTATATGTTACGAAAATAAAATGAGAGCTCAGATATAAGCTGCCAGGTATTAATGCTAAGTAATAAAACAGGAAAAAGCCCAAGAGCAACGTTTTATGGAGATGAAGCAAGAACTTCTCCCAGGAAGGGGGAGGCCAAGAACTGAGCTTCTAATCTAATAAATCAAAAGGGAAAAAACAAACCATTAACAAGGCCCAGCAAATGCATCTCAAAAGACAGCTACAGGGAAAAATAGAAGGAGCTTAAGGGTCACCTGGGGTGCCAGATTAAAAGTCCACAATCAAACACTGCAAAGCTGTATGAATCTTATTTACCACCATCAAAAAAATACTGATGGAGCACTTCCCCCACTGAGCCCTGGGCTGGCTGTACCAGGTGCAGGGGGCTCAGAAAATGTCCCCAGAACCTGTGGGGGCAGTCCCATGGCCACAGGGGGCAGAAGGAGGACAGCAAGAGAACAGAGGGGCAGAATGAGGGAAGGTAGCACTGAGGACCGGAGGCAGCCCCAGGCCCAGAAAACCCACCCCTATTTTTGATCATTTCCCTTCCTGCCTTTTTTCCTTCTTTTTTTTTGGTGTGAACTCTTCCAGCGTTGAGCTACCTGCTGTCCAGACTTAAGTGTCTATTTGATTTACATAATAATGATTTCTTTCCACTCATGACCCACCAGGATGAATTTGTATCTATTTATCAAAGCACATTTTCTCCAGGTCTCCCCTTTAATGTTTTCTTGCTGAGGCCAAGGTTATAGGATACACAGTCTGGCCCCAGAACTACATAAAGTTAATGGCCCAATCACCAGTTGCTGCTCCAGGCTTAGGGTGGGCTGGAGAACAGCCCAGGACCTGGATTTGGAGTCCCTAATTCATCCCTTTCCACTCCATGAAGGCAGGGGACCAGGAGGTACAAGCAGTTCTAACTGAGCTTCTGGGGCCCCACTGGCTGGTCACAGGCCTCACCCGGACTCTGATGCACTCCCAAAGACACTCCTACCCCTTGGCCTCAACAGAAAGCCCAGGTACGAAGCAGTAAATCAAATCTAACAGCCTATGAGAAAAGGATTTTAAAAACCTAACACCCTCTCCCATAAAAAGAAGTATTTGCTGAGTGTTACTCTATTCTCTGGGATCCATGTGAACTGAAAAACAAGAATCATGGTCCCTGCTGCAAAGAAATCAAATTCCAGATAGGGAGATCTAAATTAAACCAGCCATGGGAGGAAAAAAGAATGAGGACTGGCAATAGTGAGCCACTGAAAGTTCTGGAGAGGTAGAGTGGTAGCCATTCTGAAAACGGGTTAAGAAGATCAAGAAAAGATCAAAGGAAATTCAAAGTTGAATCACCTTTCTTCTTCTTCTGGAAAAGCATATAAAACAAAAACAACTCCTCTCTCCCACTACCTAAAAACTATCGTATTAAAGGTTCATAAAAGAAACCCTTAATGTTATCGGCTGCAAAAGACGATTAAAATCAACGGCTAATTCAAGTGTTCCAAGTCTTTGAACTGAATCCACCCCACATCCGCTTGAGCAGGCTCTCTCGGAAATCATTAAGAGTTGCACAAATAACCAAGACCCTTTCCCAACAAGTTGGATAACCCAGATGTGAAACTCTCAGTGAAAAAGGTCCTATAGGGACGTTTTCAATAAAAGCATCTTTGAAGGCCTGGCCCTCCCGTGAACTCCACAGTAGATTATCCCAGTCATGAGGCGCTAACACCATCCCCAGCCTTCCTGTACACATCCCTTTGTTCTTCTGGCTTTTTAGTGGTTTGAGGTTAAGCCCCACTGACAGTTTAAAATTCCCCTAAAATCTAGTCACTTCCGATCCTATCTGACTATTCCCCAGTCATGATTGGCAATAAAGCCTTTAAAATAAAATGGACCCATATGCTTGGGGAAGTGGAGAAGCTTACATTTGCCCCACCCCCAGCCCAGGAGGGAGAAGAGTGACAGAGATGGCAACTGTTATTAAGATGACAGGTGAAGCCTAACAGCCCTGGAGCTGTAGGACAGAACAAGAGAGGGGACAGGGTCTGGTGCAGTGGCTCATGCCTGCAATCCCAGCTCACAGCACTTTGGGAGGCTGAGGTGGGTGGATCACTTGAGGTCAGGAGTTCAAAACCAGCCTGGCCAACACGGCAAAACCCCATCTCTACTAAAAATACAAAAAATTAGCCAAGTGTGGTGGTACATGCCTACAATTCCAGCTACTCGGGAGGCTGAGGCACGAGAATTGCTTGAACCGGGAGGCGGAGGTTGCAGTGAGCCAAGATCTCACCATTGCACTCCAGCCTGGGTGACAACAGAGTGAGACTCTGTCTCAAAAAAAAAAAAAAAAAAAAAAAAAGAGGGGGCAGGAAGATACTCAGCACATGCAGGGTGGAGCGGGACCCTGAGCACTTGCCCCATATGCACCTGTCTGCATGTAATCAGCTTGTGAAGAAACAGCAGGCTGATCACACTGTTACCATCCGGTCCCCTCTCTCCAGTCCATGTCACCCACTATCACAGACCCAGGTTCTCAGCAAGGCAGGGAGAAAGAAGACAGATGTGGACATACGGTAAGAAGGTTAGCAGAGACCAAGAGACTTTGGTTCCTCATGGAAAACCCCAGAAAACAACTTAAGAAGAAACCACCAAGGAAACAGTGTAGAGAAAACAGGATGTAAACATTTTTTTTTAATACGTGAGGTACTTAAGCATCAGAGGAGTTTAATCATGTATTGATTTGCCTGGGCTGCCATAACAAAATACCACAGAGTAGGTGGCTTTCACAACAGAATTTTACGTTCTCACAGTTCTGGAGGCTGGAAGTCTAGGATCAAGGTGTCAAGCAGGGTTGGTTTCTCCTGGGGCCTTTCTCTTCGGCCTGCAGACGGCCACCATCTTGCCGTGTCCTCCCATGAGGCCTTTCCTCTGTGCGTGCACAACCGTGGTGCCTCCGTGCATCCAAATTTTCTCTTCTTACAAGAATACCAGGCAGATTGGATTAGGGCCCATCCTAATGACCTCATAATCATTTATTTGTCTCTCTTAAGACCCCATATCCACATGTAGTGACATTTTGAGGTACTGGGGGTTAGGTCTTCAACATATGAACTTTAGGGGAACAAAATTAAGCCTGCAGCAAACAAAAATGACAATATCTGTCCTTTGAGGTATAGCACCTGTTAAGTGAACGTCTTATGACAGAAACCAGGGGCTTGATATCCAGGAGAGGTCCCAGGAGGCAGGTATTCTCATCCACAAGTCAGAGGTGAGAGTAGCAAGTACCACACTGTTGCAAGAGGGGCTAAATTATCCACAATCATAACTGCAGAGGTAGGCCTGAGCCCATGAGGGAGTCAAGCAGGCCCCTCTTCCCCACCTCCAGTGGAAAGTTTTTCTGGATGGCAAATTCTTGTGGATTTCTCAGTTCCACGATCCTCAAAACACACCATACATAAAACATCCTACAAACTCTCTAGGATTTTGTTGCAGGAAACAACATCTCATATTTTCTTTGTCTTGTTTAAAAAAAAAAAAAGTTTTGAGGATTAGTCTATGACTTGAGCTCTTGACAGAGACTTCATTTCATAGCACCAAAATAAGAAAAATGTTCACAAAACATATCAAAGAGTGAAGAGAGGCCCTGCAGACTTAATTGGCCCTGTTAGAATGGCCCTGTGCCATTATTTACTGATAGGATTACCAGATGTGAGTGTGGAATTGGTCCCCCAACTTAAAATAACATAACGGATTTTTTTCTAATGTAATTTGAAGCATTTGTTAATACAATAATCCAACACAAACATTACAGCTGATTTGGGGAATTGTGGCCAGCAGTCACTTCAACAGTGCCTAAAGGCCTCTGGCCCATTATTAGGTCTAGTCAAAAAACAAAATTAAATATGATAAAGATTAACAAAAATTAAACCAACTGTGTCACATTGATTTTTTATTTGACAGGCATTATAGCACATGTATGGCTTTCCAGAAAATCTGGTGGCTCTAAGAGTGAACCTTCTAATGCAACAATAACTCATCAACACACCTTCCTCCCCACTGCCACACACACACACAGATTTGGAATAGAAACCAAACTCAAAGTGGAATAGTGTCAAGAAAAAAATGTTGTGCCTCTCTCCTCACATTTTCTATTATTCATTTAACAAGGGAATTCAAACCAAAAAAGTACAGAGTATTTTACAAGCCCAGGGCTTAGGAGACTAGGCCACTATTTCTAAAGCCCTCGCTTAAGTCTGCTATCCGAGGCATCAGTGATGACTGAGGCATGGGCCTTATTCCAAGTTTTCATTCCTGGGCACTTCAAGGAACTCCATTCAGGAGTCAGGATGTCATTATCTTCTATAACTTTCTTGATATGGGTCAGCTGAAGATGTGAATTTTAAAGAGCATAGTCAATTAGGAAAAGAAAGCCAGAGAACACCCTAGTAGCCAGACGGTTGGGTTCAAATCCAGGCACAGGCTTCAGTTCGTTGTGTGACCTTGTATGAGTTCCTTACATTCTCCAAGCCTCAATTTCCTCATCTATAAAATGGGTAAAAATGGAACCTCTTCCTCACAGAGATGTAATGAGAATTAAGTCATGCAAGATGCTTAGAACACTTAATAAGCACTCAATAAATAGTAGTTATCAATTTTTATTAGTACTAATTTATGTATTGGTTACCTGAAGTATAAATAATAAAACTACACTGTTTAACCATAATAAGATATTCCTTTACACCTACTAGGACTGTGACTATCAAAAAAAAATAAAATTAGAAAGTAACAAGTGTTGGCAAGGATGTGGGGAAACTGGAACCCTTGTGTACTGTTGGTAGGAATATAAAATGGCACGACCACTGTGGAAAAGAGTGTGGTGGGCCCTCAAAAAATTTAAAATAGAATTACCACAAAACCTGGCAATCCCACTTCTTTCAATTCTTTCAAAAGAATTGAAAGCAGGATTCCGGAGAGATATTTACACACCTATGTTCACAGCAGCAGTATCCACAACAGCCAAGACACAGGAACAACCCAGATGCCCATCAACTGAAGAACAGATAAACAAAATGTGGTGTACACATACAATGAATTATTCAGCCTTAAAAAGGAAGGAATCCTGTCACATGCTACAACATGGACGAACTCTGAGGACATTAAGCTAAGCAAAATAACCCAGTCCCAAAAACAGAAATACTGTATGACTCCACGCATCTGAAGTGTCTCAAGTTATCAAACTCATAGAAACAGAAAGTAGAACGGTGGTTACTGGAAGCTCAGGGGGTCTGAGAAAATGGGGAGTTGTTGTTTGCTTAGTGGGTACAGCATGTCAGTTTCGCAAAACAAAAAAGTTCTGGAGATCTGTTGCACAACAGTATGAATATACTTACCACTGCTGACCCGTACTCTTAAAAAGGATTAAAATGGTAAAGTTTACATTGTGCTTTTTTAACCACAATTTTACATTTTTAAAATTATTTTTAAAAATCTACCCACAAAACAAAACACCCTGAATTGTTTAAGTGTTTTACAAAATGAACTCTAGATGCCTCCGAGTCAATCAGTGAGCCCGCACCCCACCCCACAGTTATTATTCTGAATTCGTGGTGACTTACAGAGCTAATACGCCTACGACATTGTTCTGAGAAGCGCTGGAACCCATCCTCGGCAGTCAGCTGCTAGCAAGAGGATCAAGATCAGAGAAGTTTTGTGAAGTTAACTTTAAAAGGAATATTCTGACTTAGAACGGATTCTATTTTAATGCTTTGAGACAAAAATCCTTCCCCTGGGAAACTGCCTCCAACTCACTTGTCACATCCTCAGAAGTGGAGACCCTGTTTTTCATTTCTGAGATGTTATCACTGAGACATTCAAATAAGAGCAGTGTTGAAGAACAGTGACATGTGATGTGGTGGCTTTAAGGCAGTGACGGGCTATAGACACTAAGAGGCCAAGGCCAGAGGGGTCAGCTCACAAGCTCACAAGCTCCTGCCTTTGCTTCGTGGTGCAGGCTCTGTCTCTCATCGGCACGGCATCTCTTCAGAGGGGATCTCCTTGGAGATTTGGGGAAATCAGCTCAATTTTGTCACCCAGCCTGTAGTCCCAAGTCCTCGTGACTGTGGATGGGCCAGGAATGTGGCTTCACATACAGACATCTTGTTAGGCCAGGCACGGTGGCTCACACTATAATCCCAACACTTTGGGAGGCCAAGGCAGAAGGCTTGCTTGAGCCCGGAAATTCAAGACCAGCCTGGACAATACAGTGAGATCTCAAAAGATTACCCAGGCATGGTGGTGTGTGTGTTTAGTCCCAGCTACTTGGGAGGCTGGGGTGGGAAGATCACTTGAGCCCAAGAGATGGAGGCTGCAGTGAGCCAAGATGGTGCCACTGCACTTCAGCCTGGGTGACAGAGCAAGACCCAGTCTCAAAAAACAAAACCGAACACCCTGCTGCTGCACATGTGATACCACAGGCAGCATCACACCCACTGATGAAATGTGTCCGAAGGGACGGCCCTCCACAAACTGTAAATGTGTCTTTCTACATCCAAGTCTCTCTTGTCTTTCCGTGCCTACCAGGGTGAGTCACTTTGAGCATTTGCCTGAGCCAGAGTTGAGGGAAGGGTAGAGACGGCAAGGAAGGAAGCTTTGATGGAACGCCTTCAGGCCTTCAAACTCTCCCTCCATTTCCCACTTCTGAGGCATTTGACACACATTCGCATACACTATTTCCACCCCTCTCACCAGGACATGTCCAAAGCCACTGGATTAGAAGCCACAAAATGTACTTCATTCACCAACGAACCCTCAGCACCTGGCACCTCATAGGTGCTCTGTTAAGGGAATGACAGGTGTACTTCAAGAACACCTATGTCTATTAAAGAGCAAATTAAGTAGCCCAAGGCCTACCTGGTTCCAGGGCAAAAACATTCTCTTCCACATCCATCATCTGATGAGAAAGCAATAAACATCTTGCCACATTACTGGATACCAGCTCCAAGGTAAACACTAGGATCAGCGGCTCCTGCCTGAATGTGAATGGCTGAGGCCATCTGCATTGCTTGCAAACCACTGAGCCATCGTGCACCATTTCCATTAGTTTTATTTCACTTTCCGATCTTTTTTTGGTCAAAAACATCTGACCTCACTGACAGTAGGAAACACAGCTATAGGTAAGTGTGCATTTCATTTCCACTTCATTTTCCTCAGTTACGTCCTGGATTTTTTTTTTTTCCTGAGACTGGGTCTTGCTCTGTTGCCCAGGCTGGAGTGCACTGGTGTGATCTCGGCTCACTGCAACCTCCGCCTCCCGGGTTCAAGAAATTCTCCTGCCTCAGCCTCCTGAGTAGCTAGGATTACAGGTGGACACCACCATACCCGGCTAATTTTTGTATTTTTTAGTAGAGACGGGGTTTCACCATGTTGGTCAGGCTGGTCTCAAACTGCTGACCTCGTGATCTGCCCGCCTCGGTCTCCCAAAATGCTAGGATTACAGGCGTGAGCCACCGCACCCGGACACATCCTGGATTCTTATTACTAAAACCTTAATCAGCTCAACTGATGTCATGTCCCATGGTAGTATCTTCAAACTGTATCTTGTTCCAGACACACAGATCAATAGCCAAAAGTGTAATCTTAAAAAGGGATCCTATTCTTTACTTGCAACTTCCAAAGGGCATTAAAAGGGATTTATTCATTTATTTAGTCAACAGTAATATTTACTAAGATTTTACTTTAGAGCAGGCAGGCACTGGGGTATGTGCCAGAGACACATAGTGAGGGGCAGAGAGACAGAAGTTCTGGCCTCAGGAACTTCTATTCTGGTTCGGGGAAATGGATGATAACAAGGAAAAAGAAGAAAGAAGCTAATTTTCAGAGAGTGATACATGCCTTTAAAATAAATAAAACACTTTGGGAGGTGGAGGCAGGCAGATCACAAGGTCAGGAGATCAAGACCATCCTGGCTAACACAGTGAAACCCCATCTCTACTAAAAATACAAAAAATTAGCTGGGTGTAGTGGTGGGTGCCCATAGTCCCAGTTACTCAGGAGGCTGAGGCAGGAGAACGGCATGAACCCAGGAGGTGGAGCTTGCAGTGAGCAGAGATCGCGCCACTGCACTCCAGCCTGGGTGACAGAGCGAGACTCCATCTCTAAATAAATAAATAAAACAGAGTGACATGGTAAGAGGAGATTCTTTGGACTGGTTGGTCAGAAGAGGTGTCTCCAAGGAGGTATACGAGCTAAGACTGACTGATGGAAATCACACAGCCTTTGGGAAGAACAGCAGGTGCAAATGACCTGAGGCAGTTTTAGAGACAGGAGGAAGATCCACATGGCTGGAGCACAGCAAGTGAGGCTGCAGGTGGTAGGGGGCAGGTCACAATGTTGAGCAAGGATTCAGTCTTGAAGAGTCTTGTGGGCCCCAGTGAGTGGTGGGAATTTCAACCCAAGTGCAATGGGAAGTGCTGAAGTGTTTTGAGAAGGGTACTGGCCGAGTATAGTAGCTCACACCTGTAATTCCAACACTTTGGGAGGATGAGACAGGAGGATCACTTGAGGCCAGGAGTTTGAGACTAGCCTGGGAACATAGCAAGACACTGTCTCTATTGAAAAAAAATTTCTTTTTTCAATTAGCCAGGTGTGGTGGCACAAACCTGTAGTCCTAGCTACTAGGGAAGCAGAGGCAGGAGGACCACTTGAGCCTGGGAGTTCAAGGCTGCTGTGAGCCAAGATCATACCACTGCACTCCACCCTGGGCAACAGAAACAGATCCCCATAATACTAAAAAAAAAGAAAAGAAAAGAAGAAGAAGAAGAAGAAGAGACTAAGGTAAAGTGGTTCTTGTTTCTGAAAATCTCATTCAGACTGCTACATAAAGAATAGATCATGGGGGGCACAGGGAGATAACTTTTATTATATAGATTTTACTTATACACTCTTGCTAAATTATCCTGTCCATCCCACCCCCGGTCACTCTCAGAAAACTCCAGATCAAATGAGATGAGTATGGTGAATAGGGCTGGCAATTAGAGGATACTCTCCAATGGTGATGAAGGGAGATGTCTGGGGGAAATCCAGCAGGATGTTGATTTAGTATGTACACAGTGAGAGGATACTTGTAGAGAACCTAGAATCTTCTCTGAATGTGACGGGCCCTCAGAGATAATTGTTAACAGATAAGTGGATGATTAAATACACTTCCTCCAGTAGGCTAGATGTTAAGACGGAGATCAAAAAAAAAAAAGCCAGAGACCTCCCCTGCCACCCAGCACAGCACCTGTTCCACAGCAGGGGCTCTGAAGTTGGAGAGAGAGAAGTGAAATGTGAGCAAAATGACAGGCTATGCCAAAGATCGCCCTGTGTTTTTCTCTTTGAAGGATGGTCAATATTTTATTATTTCTCAAATCTTAGAGTTCTGAAAATGGTTCAAGAATAAACACTCCTGAGATCAAAATATTGTCTCTTTAGATCTGCCACACATACTAAAACGTGCCACGCTGACTTTTTTTAAATGTCAGTTCTGGTGAAGAATCCATCCTCTCTTTTCAAAGGGTGAAAAAAGCCCACTTTCCACTTCTCAAATTCCCCTGACCAATGTTCAGCAACAGCAGGTTCAAGACTTAACACAGAATAAAAATGCAGCATCAACTCCAATCTCTCTCTCTTGCTTTTGTTGAACTTTTCAAGAAAGGAAATCATTGTGCTTGTACCTTGATCTGGGAATGGTGTAAGCTCAGGGCAAAATGCTGATATGGTGAAGTTTTCTGATAAACTCACATTGCCTACAACTTCCCTTAAAACACTTCGGCACCAACTGCATGACACGGTATGTGTCCATTTTAATATTGGTGCAGTTGGGTAATACCTGAGAACCTTAAACAGGAAACACACATGCCAGGGGTGATTCATATTTGAAAGACCATATCAGAGCCCACTCCCATTGGCAGCCTAATAGCACGTCTGCCATCTTTATCTCCTATACACACCAGAGGGTGGGAAAGTTAGTATAACGAATGAGGGCTGTTCAAGATGTGTGATTTGGCTAGGCTTGCCCTGCTTTTCCTCAACCAGCTAGGCCAGGACACACATCTTTCAGAGTACACTGGCCCAGAGAGCCACCTGGTCTGTGCACAGACATTTTCAAAGGATTCTGTTGCCTAATCCAACTAGAAAGCTGAATGCTGCCCCAGAACTTTCTCATCTGTCATGGGAGAAATTTCCATGCAAAGAGAGCCTCAGAGGACAAACAATTTGAACTTCATCAGGCTCCAAGTAGAAGCTGCATGAATGTTTGTGTGCCTGCTTGAGGTAGAATCTGGTCTGAGGCTTGCTTTCATCCTACTAGTCCCATGATGTTGAGAGCATATGGAGAGATCAGTGGCCCTCAGCTCCCTCAAAATACTGGAGGCCACAGGCCTCTGCCAAAATCAGCCAGTGATAGTTGTTATAGATTGAATTGTGTCCTCCCCTCCCCTAAATTCATGTTTAAGGATAGGGTATTCTGGCCGGGCGCAGTGGCTCATGCCTATAATCCCAGCACTTTGGGAGGCCGAGGTGGGTAGATCACAAAGTCAAGAGATTGAGACCATCCTGGCCAACTCTCTACCAAAAATACAAAAATTAGCTGGGCGTGGTGGTGCATGCCTGTAGTCCCAGCTACTCAGGAGGCTGAGGCAGAAGAATCACTTGAACCCAGGACGGGGAGGTTGCAGTGAGCCAAGATCGTGCCACTGCACTCCAGCCTGGCGACAGAGTGAGACTCCATCTCAAAAATAAATAAATAAATAAATAAAAGATAGGGTATTCCTACCCCCAAGGACCTTAAAATGTTACTATATTTGGAAACAGGGCCTTTAAAGAGGTAATTAAGTCAAAACAGTGGATGGACCCTAATCCAATCTGACTGGTGTCCTTGTAAGAAGAAATTAGGGCCAGGCGCAGTGGCTCACAACTGTAATCCCAGCACTTGGGGAGGCCGAGGCAGGCAGATCACCTGAGGTCAGGAGTCCGAGACCAGCATGGCCAACATGGTGAAACCCCATCTCTACTAAAAATACAAAAATTAGCTGGGAATGGTGGCGGACGCCTGTAATCCCAGCTACTTGGGAGGCTGAGGCCGGAAAATCACTTGAACTTGGGAGGTGGAGGTTGCAGTGAGCCAAGATCATGCCATTGCACTCCAGCCTGGGCAAAACAAGAGCAAAACTCCATCTCAAGGAAAAAAAAAAGAGGAAGAAGAAGAAATTAGGACACAGAAAGAGACATCAGGGAGGTGCACAGAGGTAAAAGACCATGTGAGGATGTGAGGACACAGTGAGAAGGTGGCCATCAAGCCAAGAAGAGAGGCCTCAGGAGGAACCAACCTACCAATATCTTGATCCTGGACTTCCGGCCTCCAGAACTGCGAGCCACCCAGTTTGCAGTACTTTGTTATAGCAGCCCTAGCAAACTAACACAACGGTGAACAACCAAACAGGCTTGGTATGTGTATAGACACACACACACACACACACACACACACACACGCGTACACATACACACATACACGCACACATACACACATACACACACATACGCATACACAGACGCATACACATACACGCACACATACACACACACATACACACGCACACACACATACATGCACACATACATACACACATACGCATACATACGCATACATACACACACATACACACGCATACACACACATACACGCACACATACACACATATACACACAGAGATACACACACATATACACGGACACACATACACACACTCATACACATGCATACACACATACATGCATATACACACATACATACATGCATACACATACATAGACACATACACATACCTGGACACACGCACACATACACACACATACACACGCATACACATACGCACACACATGCATACACACACACAGACCTCTCTACTCTCAGGCTCCCCAAGGGGCTTTGCATGTGGAGCACCTCCTCACCCTCCACAGCACCCTCACCTGCACCTGCCATCTTGGGCAGCAACATCTTTCTCCGTCCTTTGAACGTGGTTCCCATGTGCAAAGCCAATTCTCAGAAGCCCTGGGCCCCTAACAAGCTAGCTTAATTAAAAAGAAAAAAAAAATCATCCATATAAAAAAATTAGTTGCCAGATAATGTTTGTTTTTGAAAAGTTTGCCAGGATTTTAAACCAGGCGTGGTGGCACGCACCAGTAGTCCCAGCTACTTGGGAGGCTGAGGCAGGGGGATTGCTTGAGCCCAGGAGTTCGAGGCTGCAGTGAGCTATGATTGTGTCACTGCACTCCAGCCTGGAAAACAAAGTAAGGCTCTGTCTCAAAAAATAAAAATAAAAATAAATCTTCTAATAGATGTACGAAGTGGTATCTCCTTGTGAAAAAAAAATAGAGAAAAAAAAAGAAAAATGTACCAGTATTTTAACCACGCAAGGAGACATGCAAGAGAATACAAATAATTAAATGATACGCAACTCTATGTTCACCCAGGAAGCTCCACTTTGTTTAAAAAAAAAAAAATAGGTACATACTGTTTCGTATGCATTTTTACAGGATTCTTAAAGGAGCCAGCAATCTAAGTTCAGCTGGTGAGCTCAGATAAATATCTTTACCTCTCCAAGCCCAACTTCCTCATCAGTAAAATAAGGACAATGAAAACATCTCTAAAGCTGTATTAAACAAGACAATGCCAGGAGCAATGGCTCATGCCTGTAATACTAACACTTTGGGAGGTTGAAGCGGGAGCATCGCTTGAGCTCAGGCATTCAAGACCAGCCGGGGCAACATACTGAGACCTTGTCTCTACAAAGAGTTTAAAAATTAACCAGGTGTGGTGGCATGTGCCTGTAGTCCCAGCTAGTTGTGAGGCTGAGGTGGGAGGATCGCTTAAGCCCAAGAAGTCAAGGCTGCAGTGAGCTATGATCATGCCACTGCACTCCTGCCTGGAAGACAGTGAGACCCTGTCTCAAGAAAAACAAAACAAAAAAAGAAAAACCAACATATTGTTTCTAAAGCACCTGGCATAGCATGTATCAGGCACTCAAGAAGAGACAGTCATTATTATGAGTCTAGTAATGTTGATAACGGGGTTATTACAAGCAAGAATTCTTGACAGTCATGGGATGGAAAGAAGGCTATTTTTAGGCAGACAGAAACTATAATCTGGCAAGCCTGTGTTCTTCATTTATAAAGTCTACTGTATCGACCAAAGGATTCACCGAAAACCAAGAGAGGACTTTAAAATATCTCAGACCAGAAATGTGCTTTGCTTTGGTATATTCCTAACTCTATCTGGGCATGCCTCTTTATAAAAGCCTTGCGCTGTTGGATTGCTGAATTGGACTATTATGTATTTGTGTAACAAAGGGTAGAAGGCTAGTATGCCCCCCTTCGTTTTAAACATGCTCTTCCTTCAGAAATCATGTTCAGCTGCAATGGGAGTAGGGCAGGAGCCCCGAATTTGGGTCTTCCTACTCCCAGGGAAGTTCTTTTCCCCTTCAGTCGGCTCAGGGGCTCTTTCCAGCTCTGAAATTCCATGATTCTATGATTCGGTTTGTGCCAGGGAGCGGCCCTGGCAATGAGGCTTTCGTGTGTGGTCATTAAATACTCACCATGGTGAAGCCTGACTGGAAAGTTCCAGAAACACACCCTTCTAGACAATCTCACCATCCAGACGTACCAGAAAATGCAGCCCACATCTGTCAAACTCTCTCATGCATGCATGGGCTGTGAAGCCCAGGATTAAGTTCTGGCTGGTGAACCCCACAGTCCAGCCACACTGTGTCACCAACAGGCAAGAAGTCAGACCCCCAAACAGCTGAAGTCATCATTTGTGAAAGCTGGGAGCACCCCGCTGCATTCCCCGATTCCTGTCCAAACAGCCATTCGACAGAGCGGCCCTCTAGTCTAATATTCATTTCTGTGTCATTAAAAAAAAAAAAAAATCACACTGACTTTAAAACACTTTTTCCCCATGGATGTGAAGTGAAGCAGGAAGACTGCCCGTGACTGGTATACATCTGCTGGAGAACACAGACTAATGATCATATTTTCCCTAAAGAGAAAAATTTAAAGGTCAAGCAAGAATGACTAGCAGCATGCACTGGAAGTAACCCAGCAAAGTGAAATTCACAGCACAGGGAGCCCCAAAGCCCAGGCAGGGAAGGCTGGGAGGGGAAGGAAGACGAAGATGGGCACACACACACAGGCACACACAGGCACACACGTGCACACATGCACACACATGCCCACACACACACGCACACAGAATGGTGCGATGACTTATGCTCCAGCTTTTAACCAAGCAGGCCGTGCAAAGGCCCAATTCACCTTAAATCACCCTGCCGCCTAACAATGGTGCATCAGTGATTACAACCCAAGGGGCCCTGAAGGGAGGAGGCAGGTGGATCAGCAGGAAGTCTGTGGTAGGAGGTCTGTTCAGTTTCCACCGTTTCCATTTGCAGCTCAAGAACTCATGATAAGTCCCGCTGATTACAGATGCGTTGTGGTTATGAATGTTAAAGTTGCTTTGGGCTTGAATTCAAGGCTCCCCACGACCAATTCCTAAGACTGGCAATGTCAGGGAACATAGAGAAGTGCCCGAGTCAGTCTACCTTCTGCAGAGAAAGTCTAAACCGATTGTTTCTGCCATTGTCACAACTGCACACAGACATTGAACAACCCTGAAGTTGGAGCTGGGTGTCAGATGGCCAGTTCACCCTCTGCGGTGAGCAGAAGGCCAGAAACAGCGAGGTTCCCAAAGGTCGTGGATCCTTCTTAGGATCTGCAGCTCCTCCGAGCCCCGCTCCCTGCAGCTGTGGCCCTCCTGACATGGGGTTGCATACCACTCTTCTTGCCCACTGTGTACTTTCTAAGATCAAATACAAAGTCTCTAGAGGTGCCCCTGTATATTCTCTGCTGGAATCATTTGCTGTCGTGCCTTCGTGTTCCCGATTTTTTATAAGAGTCAATCTTCCAGAGATGTGTTTCTCAAAGCAAGGTCGGGGAACCTCCTGCAGCAGAATCGCCTCAGGATGTGTCTGTTAAATAGATTCCCAGGCCCCACGGCTGCATTTTGAGTGAGACTCAGGTGATTTCTAAGCACATGAACCTCTGAGGCCCGCTGTCCTGGAGCAGCAATTCCAAAAAATATTCCCAAGGGTGCTCCAAATTTCTGGGGTAAGTTTTAAAGACATTCATTTCTGGACCCCACAGCCTACTAGAGCCTGCCCCTACCTCCCTAATTCTGAAATAGACAGTCCAGAGAATTTAACTCCCCAGACGGCACCCGTGTGTGTAAGCCCCTGACATTCGGGCCATGATTCCCAAGGCAAGGAGGCCTCACTCCCTTCCCACTCTTTTCCAACAATCCCCACATCCTTCATGTCTTAGCTTCAGCATGGCTTGCTCAGGAGAGAGCCTTCTGTGACCACTACCGCCATCCCACCTGCCAACATTCATTAGGTTTCCTTGCTATGTGCTCTCTTGACACCCTGTCCTTCTCTTTTGTATAACTTAACGCCATTGTTACTAAATAGGTACCTGTTTAATTGTTTAATATCTGATCCTCCACTAGGGTGATAACAATCATACATATGTATCACTGACCACTTACAATGTCCCTGGGCTGTGCCAAACACTTACCCTGCATTAGTTCATTAAATGTAGACCTCACCATAACCCTGCAAGGTAGACACTCCTGTATACCCATTTTATAGATGAGAACATTGTAAGTTTGCCAGGTCTGCCTTGTCACCTCCATATCTCAGGTGTGAATAGCATCTGCACAGGGTAGGTGCTCAGTAACTATTTAATGAATAAATGAAGTGGTACCTCTCCAGTCCCCAAAAAAGATTCTGTGGTTGTGTAAGTTTAAGAAATTCTGGGTTAACTGGGGTTCTTAATGGCAGGACTTCCCAGAGCACTGAGTATGTTAATGTGATCGTGAATCGTCATGATGGGGCTGTCCCATTTGTGATCTCAAGCCAAGGATGCCTGTTCCCAGGAACCAGCACACAGCTCTCCAAGCCCAGTCTTTCCCTCCTTGGCAATGACCCACTGAAAGATGACTTGTCTCTGTTGCCCACTCCAGCCACTAACCAGGAGAGGAACCATTAGGAAATGGGTCACTCTGACCATGATGCCATCTAATCTCATTCCATCTTATGCCAATTCCCAACAATGGCAAAAAGAAGACCTAGATGCAGGTGACTATGTAGCAGTAGAAACAGCAGACCTTCGCAGACAGTAGTAGAAACAAACAGACTGTAGAGTCAAGCAGGCCCAGGTTCAGATCCTCCCTGACCCCAGCAGCAGACCCTCTACTTGCAGAAGCTACAGAGACTACGTCCCCACCTTTGCCTCCAGCCTCCTCCACCAGGCCAGCTTCAACAGCAGGTAAGAAGAGCCACAGTCCTCCCCGACCCCAGGCCTCACCTGGGTCATTCATCTACTCATCTGTTCCTTTCACTCACCCAATAAACAAACTCACTAAGGGGGCGTACTGAGGAATAAGTACACGTGGAGCTTGTGGAGCAGAATACTGAAGAAGAGACATAAAACAAACTCAGGTACCCCTTACTCTCCAAAAGCAGGAACCAAAGAGATGCAGGTAACATTGGGGAGTTTGTATCTGAACTCTCTTCTCTTATTATCCAAAATTGGCAGGCTGAATGAATCACATCCTGAGGGATTGCTGCATGGACAAATGGAGTGCAATGAAAAAAAGTCAAAGTGCATGGGGAGGCCGGGCACGGTGGCTCACGCCTGTAATCCCAGCACTTTGAGAGGCCGAGGCAGGCCGATCACCTGAGGTCAGGAGTTCAAGACCAGCTTGGCCAACATGGCAAAATCCTGTCTCTACTAAAAATACAAAAATTAGCCGGGCATGGTGGCTGGCACCTGTAATCCCAGCTACTCGAGAGGCTGAGGCAGAAGAATCTCTTGAACCCAGGAAGCAGAGGTTGCAGTGAGCTGAGATCACGTCACTGCACTCCAGTCTGGGCGACAGAGCAAGACTCCATCTCAACAAAAAACAACCAAATGCATGGGGAGAGACTGTAACCAAGGGACCTGCCTTCAGGAACTGGGATGTGAAGGGTGTGGAGAATGGATGGGGTGTGAAGGGTGAGCATGTGAAGATGCAGGAGTCCAGTTTTGGAGATATTGCACCAGGAGGCATGTGGGTATCAATGAACTACATGAAAGGATGTCCAAGTTGTTCTTAAGTAGAGCCAAGGTTAGAAACCTTGAATCTGTGGTGACCCGAATCAGCACTGTTTCAGACAGGATGACTTTCTCCCATGCTGACTCCGGGCCAAGTCTATGAGAACCACCATCTGTTCCAAAAAGTAAGCAGAGACTTCAGACGTGAAGCCACTAAAAGACAGAAGAAGTGGGGACATTTTTAAGACATTAAAGTCTTAAGTGGGGGGATGCACAGACTCTGGAGTGAGTTGGGACCGAGTTGAAATCTGCAACCTTGGGTAAGTGGAATGAGTTCTCTGAGCTGCTGTCTTTGTCCAGGTAACATGTACCTTATGAGGCCGTTGTGAGAATTTGAGGCAATGTGTGTGAAGCTCCGGGCACACACTAGGTCCTCCATAATTGTCAGCTCTTATTACAACAACTCCTACCTTGCTCAAAGGACCAAAATCTTGTCTCATCGATCTAAGCAAGCAGAACCACGTTGGAGTTCTGTGAGCCTTTCCTCTGTGGGAAAAGCCAAAATGACACTGAGGGTGGGGAAAGGGAAGGGAGGCAGTGGCCACATGGTCTAGGAAAGTGGTGAGCCCACTTGCCTAAAAAATAAAGCCATGTGGATGTAAAGGATGTGCCTAAACTTAAAAGAAGTAAACACCAGCTGCCCATTTGACATGGCCTCCTTTCATTTTTGCGGGGGGGGGCTCCCTGTTTGATGTGGCTCTGGGGCCCAGCAGCCCCAGGTGGCAGAGCAGCCTCCACTGGCTCGTAAATACCCAGGGTTACCCCAGATGACACACCGTCTTCAGCAAAGAGAAGGGATGGGGGAAGGCGAAAGGAAGGCAGAAGGTAGTGAGGAATAGGAAAAAAAAAAAGAGCCATACATTCTTTATATCAGCAACAATCTATCCAAAAATAAAATCAAGAAAACAATCCTGGGGAGGCTGAGGTGGGTGGATCGCTTGAGGTCAGGAGTTTGAAACCAGCCTGGCCAACATGGTGAAACCCTGTCTCTACTAAAAAATATATATATATACAATAAAATTAGCCAGGCATTGTGGCGGGTTCCTGTAATCCCAGCTACTCGGGAGGCTGAGGCAGGAGAATTGCTTGAACATGGGAGGTGGAGGCTGCAGTGAGCCAAGATCATACCATTGCACTCCAGCCTGGGCAACAAGAACAAAACTCCAAAAAAAAAAAATGCAAGAGAAAGGAAGGAAAAGAGGGACGGAGGGAGGGAGAGAGGAAGGAAGGAAGGAAGGAAGGAAAGAAGGAAGGAAACAGTCCTATTTACAATAACATCAAAAAGATATTCTTTTTTCAAGTCATAGACGAGTAAATACTCTGTTCACTTGGATGAGACATTTAGGTATCAGAAACCCCAAAGCCCTCTCCAAAAATGCCTTCCCTTTCTTAGCCAATCTTTGCCATATCTGATATCGTTGCCCCCCATCGACGCGTGAGAGAATCCATGACCGCTCCCTACAGAAGGAAGCCACCAGCTGGAACAGTGGGCTCAGGTGACTGCACCCAGGTTTGGTTTTTGAAACCATTTCTTTCAGTGGCTTAAAAAGCTGGGCCAAATTCTAAAAATTGTAAAGTATGACAGTAGATTACTTTTTTTAAGTGATAACTTATTCCAGCGCACCCAACTGGGAAGGCCAATACGAGGAAGCAACATTAAACGGGACCTGAAGGAAAAGCACGCCAAGCACAGGGAACGGCAAGTGCAAAATTCGTGACGTGGCAAGAGTGTGGTGCTCATAAGGCACTGAAAGAAGGCAGAGTGGCGCAAGTCCAGCTGGGCAGGGGAACAAGGAAGTGGGACCAGGCAGGCCTCAGTGAGGCGGGACCTTGAAGTCAGGCTAAGGATTTGGGTTTCTCTTCTGGGTGCAATGAGAAGTCATGAAAGGCTGTACCTTTGCAGTGTTACAGCAGAGCAGAAAGGCAGCTCTCTTCCCATTTCATAGCTGGAAAGTACGGCACAGAGAGGTTAAGTGACCTCTGCTGAGTCACATCCCGGCACAGGGGTGAAGCTAAGAAGCCACATCCCCTGACTCCAACTGGAAAGAATCCCTACTGGGTCAAGGCAAGAAATGTGTTCCTTCAGACTGCAGTATTTTCCCAGGACTGCTATAACAAAGTGCCACAAACTTGGTGGCTTAATACAATAGAAATGTATTCCTTCATGGTTCTGGAGACCACAAGTCCAAAATCAAGATGTTGGCAGGCCCATCCATGCCCTCTCTGAGGCCTCTAGAGAAGGATCCTTTCTTGTTTCTTCCAGCTTCTGGTGGCTCCTGGCATTCCTTGGCTCATGGCAGCATCAATCCAGTCTCTGCCTCCATTATCACACGGTCTTATGTGTGTTTCTGTGTCTCTTCTCCTCTTATAATAAGGACGCTAGTCATATTGGATTAAGGGCACACTGTCCTCTAATATGACTTCATCTTTTTTTTTTTTTTTTTTTTGAGATGGAATCTTGCTCTGTAGCCCAGGCTGGGGTGCAGTGGCACGATCTCAGCTCACTGCAACCTCCGCCTCCCAGGTTTAAGCAATTCTCCTGCCTCAGCCTCCTGAGTAGCTGGGATTACAGGCACCCGCCACCATGCCCAGCTAATTTTTTGTATTTTTTAGTAGAGACGGGGTTTCACCATCTTGGCCAGGCTGGTCTCAAACTCCTGACCTCGTGATCCACCCACCTCAGCCTCCCAAAGTGCTGGGATTACAGGTGGGAGCCACTGCACCTGGTTGACTTCATCTTAACTAACTATATTTGCAATGCCCCTATTTCCAAGTCAAGTCACATTCTGAGGTTCCAGGAAGAACATGAATTTGGAGGGGGGGGCGGGGACACTATCAACTCAGTGCACTGACTAAGCAGATGTTTATGAAAGATAGGCCTGAATTCAACAGGGGCTCAGAGCACTGACCAACTAAAGTATAGAACCTTTTGCAGCAGAACTCCTGGTTGACCCCCAATATCCATTCTCTGTCTTCCTTTAGAATAAAGAAAACACAAGTTTAGCACATGACCACACGGAATGAAGACTACCTTTCCCAGCCTCCCCCACAGACATAAATGGCTGGAGCTAAGTGAGATTTAAGCAAAAGTGATGGATCCAAGGGGAATGCCCTCCGCTGGACCTCTCTCCCTCTTCCCACTGGCAGGAAGGCAGACATGGTGGTGAGCCATCTTCAACAAGTGGCATGCATACATGAGAAAAATATGTCCTGTGGCTTCTTCAAGCCATAGGAACACATTTGTCTTCTAGCAACAGGAGGTAAACAGAATCAAAAGTTCATGCGGCCATTTTCAGTCCAAATAGGTTTTCCTAGTGGCAAAAAACTTCCTAGCATACTACCTACTACCTAAGAGTGCAAGACTTTTTAAAATCTAATTATATATTTTTTACCTCTTGCCTCTCTTGGTTGTTATTCATCAGAAAAACAAGATCTGATGCCTGTCTTGGATAAGAGCATCTCCAGTTTTCTTTCTCTCACTCCCAACCTTACTCTCAAACTGGGCATGTGATCCCGGCCACACCAATGAGATTTGCTCACTCAACAGATTTTTACTGAACACTTGCTGTAGGACAGGCACCGTTCTAGGAGCTGGGGATGACAGTAAACAAAATATAAAAATCCCTGCCCTTAAGAACTTTACATTCCAGAACTTTTGTGGAAACTGCTGGAAAAAAGAAGTACTCTCTCTTTCTACTGGGACTGCTGAAAGGCTAGGATGGAGGCTGGAACCGCAGGCAGCCATCTTGCCACCATGAGGAGACAGACACAGCATGAACAATCACATGCTAGGGTGCTTGGTCTCTGCCACACTGAGTTTGGCTCAGTTCCCTGAGCCAAAAAAAAGGGGGGGCCCTTTTTTTTTGCTTAAACCAATTTGAGTTGGGTTGGGAAAGGAAGGAGTTGCATCCAATTTCTACCAATACGTTAAGAGTCCCTCAGAAAGATATCTGAGGCAAGTTTGGAAATGCCAAGTAAAGACAGGTGACTCTTTTGAAAACGGCTTTTCCTTGGACATGCCTTGGACATGCACTGTTTAAAGGCTCCTTCCATGTTGTCATTTCCAGTTTTAAAAACCTCCTTTTCAATAACCCCCTAGAATGAAGGCACCAGTTCACTGCCTCTCCCACTATGTGTTAAGAACCAAACCATGTCATCTCATCCCCCAAATGACCAGAGACTAGATGGTTCCAGTCACCTCCTGAAGCTCTTGAAATTGCCTGCCACTGCTGCTGATGGCCACAGGGAACACCACCTTTATTTCCCAAAAGGCTAAATCCCACCGGTTTTCCTCAAGGTAGTGACTGGGCCCCAACATTTCTGATAATTGCTTTCCTTCCCAGGCAAGCACCTCCATGCTCTGGGGCCCCGTGAATACTCAGCTGTTAACAGGAACAGCCTGAACTAGACTTACAGATAACCGAAGCTAACTGACCACATCCTACTTAACAGGAAACCTAATAGACAGCTATTTTAGACTTATTCTCACTTCCCCTCATCCGCTTCCATCTCGGCACTCTGCTGCTGGGAAGTCAGGGTGTACATAAAAGAGACTATGGGGAAGGGGTCAGTGGAGACTCCAGAATTCAGATATAAAAAGGCTTAGGGACGTGGACCTGGTGGAAGAGAGGTGCTGGCACTGCATTCACGTGGCAAACATCACATTTTTACTTACAGTGTATTTTGGGGTCTCTGGTATGGGCTAGTGGAAATCATTTTTTTAATGTTTAAGAAAAGAAAATAATAAAATTAAAATATACCCAGGCCTTCCTTCTGGAGATATAAGTAACAGAAATACTACACAGGAAGCTCCATCTGCCGTGTGTGTTTGTGTGTGTGTGTGTAACGATCAGCAATGTCTTTCACTTTTGCAAGAAGAAAGATACAGTTTGAGTTATGGGTTTGCTTTGGTTTTTCTCTCCCTGTCTCCCACCCCCACTTCCTGTTAGGGGGGTTGCTTCCCAAACTTGAGAGCCCCATCAACACACAGCTCCCTGGAGAGGCTTCATTCTCAGGGTGCTGCCAGCCATCACCCTTCTTAGAGTCATAGGAGACATGTGAAGAGCTCTTAGACCTTCTCACTAAATGAACTTCCTCATAACTGAATTCCTTTCTCCAATCAGTTGAGGACAATTGAGTGCACAATGCCTCCTAGAGCTATCATTGTGTCTTTCCAACTGCAGAGCAATTGTTCATTTTCCTTTCAGCTCAAGGATCGTTCCTTGTCTTAGTCCATTTGGACTGCTATATCAAAATATCCTGCACTAGGTGGCTTGTAAACTACAGAAATTTATTGCTCAAACAGTTCTGGAGGCTGGAAAGTCCAAGATCGAGGCACTGGCAGATTTGGTGTCTGGAAAGGTCCCACTTCCTGGTTCTCACTGTGTCCTCCCATGGCACAAGAGGTGAGGGTCTCTCTGGGGTCTCTTTTATAAGGGCACTAATCCCATTCATGAGGGCTCCCTCATGACCTAATCACGTCCCAAAGACCACCACCTTCTAAGAGCCTCATATTGGGGATTAGGTTTCAACACATGAATTAGGGAGAGACGCAGCATTCAGACAATAGGGTTTCTCCATATGTTTTTCCTCCTAAATCACAAAAAGAAATTTTTCTCGCAGATGCCAGCCCACGCTTTGCAGAGAGAAGTTCTTATTAGAGCACTTTGAGTCAGATGAGCCAGGGCATCCGAGCTCCACCAACTACTAGCTGGGTTACTTTAAGTTAATTACAAAACTTCTCTGAGTCCCACCTAAAAATGAGGATGAGGCCAGTTCTCCTCGCCAGGCTGTGGAGAAGACTAAATGATTTAACACCTGTAATGGGTACCTAGTGAGTAGCAGTGAAAATGTATCTTTTCATTGAATTTGAATCCTAAGGATGATCTATTATAGGACTCTTGGACAGGCACTGAGGGTATGGAGGTGGCTTTACAGCAAGCTACTTGTCCATTCATGAATCCCCCTATCCCTGGAAGCCCATTAATAAGATACTTTGTGACATCTGAAGAAAGTTCTGTTCTCTTCCCAGATCAAGTGAAACCTCTCCTTACCTTCCTTGGCTCATTCATTCAGACATGCAAGCATGTATGCAACAAACATTTATTTTATTACAAGTCTGTCATACGCCAGGGACTGGGGACACAGTTTGTGGCCTCCAGAAGCCTATAATCTAGTATGGACCAAAAACTCAATGCAAGCATGAATGTTGAGATAGAGGAAGGCTCCATCAGGAATCTGGATGACAGCTTAATCAAAGGAGCTGGGATATAGTAAGATGGACATATTCACACACTGCTGGTTGGAGCATCAATAGATACAATCTTCTAGAAAATAATTTGGTTACACTTATCAAGAGCCTTCAAAGGTTTATAACCTCTGAATTGCCCCTCTGAAATTTTATCTGAAAGGGACATTAAGAAACTCAGACAAAAGTTTAGTTTACAAAAAAAACGGCATTTTTTTAAAAGGGAAAATCTTTCTCAAAAATATTCAACAAAGGAGAATGGCAAAATGAAAATACATCCATCTGATGGAATATTACAGTGTTGTCAGAGAAAACTGAATGACATGAGAAAATGCCCATGATTCGGTGCTACATGGAAAAAGCAAAATACACTGTAAGCCTGACGATTTCATCTTTGTAAATATATATACACACATATATTACATATCTTACATATATGTGTATATATTATATGTGTGTATAACATATGTATATATTATTCACATATGTGTATATACTACATGTGTACATATTACATATATTACATATATGTGTAACATATGCTATTACATATAACATATATGTAATATTGTTTTTGCATGTGTTTATTATAATTTTTATAATTATAATTCTATTTATTTATATATTTATTATAATATATAATATATTATATTATATATTATTATTTATATTTATATATAATTATAATTTATACATATATAACTACATATATGTAATTATATATTACAAGTATTACATATATGTATATATTATAATATATTTATTTATAAATGTATACATTTATAATAATATATGAGGGATAACTTTTTAAAATATATCTTTGTAAATATATATAATATAAGGGACCCGCTTCTAAAAAAAAGTCATATATATATATATGGGACCTACTTTCAAAAAAATTCATCCCTAATCCCTGCCACCCAGGAAAAATCTCTTGACCTTCTGGTCTATTTTTCCATGGATATATACATATAAATACATATATATATGCATATATATGGCAGGGATTGGGGTAACTTTTTTTGGAAGTAAGTTCCTTTTTTCAAAATTCTCTATAATACACTTGAATTAATTTCATAATCAGAAATATATATATATATATATATATATATATATATAATGCTGCTTTACTCTGAGGCATCATAGGGCAGGGGAGGGAGATGATGGTGAAGGAGCCAGTGGGGCCACCAACCTTGCCCCTTGATAAATTTTATGCCAAGAACGTGAGCTCTATTAAGATAGGGATCATTGTCTGTTTTGTCCCCTGCTGTTTCCCTAGCACAGGAACAGTCCTGGCACAAACAGTAGCCATTCAACAAATGCTTGTTAAATAACTGAACAAATGACCAGAGCCCAGCTCAAATGTTCCTTCCTCTGTCAAGTTCCCTGACCTCCCCTAAACTAATTACTCTTTTTTTTTTCCTAGCCACCCACAGCCATTATTATAAAGCATTACAGCTAACAATTATGGGTCTGTCACCACTTGCTAAATTGCAAGTTATTTGTAGGCAGGAACTAAGTCTTATTTAGATTTGTCTCTTTGCTCAGATAAATATTTGGTCAATAAATGTTTGAGTGCTGGATGGAGGGGTGGAGAGATGTCAGACAGTTCATACTGCATGAACAGTAATTATTCATTTTAATTATGATTTAACCCTCATGTAAATGTGTATTGATTTTGAGAACTGCTAATAGCATCAGATCTGAGTTGGGAAGAGACCTTAGAAATAGTCTAAATAGTCTAAGTAGTCAACTGCAAAATTGTTGGTTTTAGCCCTGAAATACTTAATTCTAACAAAATTTTACTCAGAACCCAAAAATATGAAACAGATAAGCAAGGAGCCACTCTGATGGGGGTGGGGTTTACTGGGACCCCCTACCGCCGTCCAAGGACCTTCCCCCATGCTTCGGCTTAGAGGAGTAGTTTGAAAACTGCCAACATCTACATTGTTAGTAACACATGTGGGGTCCCCAAAGGGGGCAGAAGAACTGGGACAAGAACCCAAGATCCCTGATGCCCCACCCAATGCCCACCCAATGCCCTTTCTACTTTGTTGGAGTTTTATAACAGATCGAACACTCAGCAATGACCTCTGTGTTCCTAATCCATTCCTTGTTTATTTCCCATGAAAATAAAAAAGGAATGTTGCTGTGACTTTCCAATGACAACATCCTGCACATCCCTCAAATCTCATTTGCAGGAAGGCACTTACTATCAGCCCTGGATTTATTTTTAAAAATCTCATTTTGCTTTTACAGGCACAGGAAACAAAGTCAGCATAAGCCTTGAAAGAATTCTCTGCAGAGTCCCAAGAAAGAGCCCTGAGCTGCTCCCCTCCTGAATGCAATGGATTATCCTAAAGTGAGCAAGGCCACTATTCCGAGTTAATATTTTTAAGCACATAATTGTCGTTCGGATGATGGCTCACACTCTCCCAAAGAAAGCTGTTTTATTACAATTAACTAAAAGATTGCCTGTTCAGTTTCTGATCTCAAACCTGCACTTCCATTTTTGAATAGCAAAATTATACAGAAAACCCTATATATAATGAAACCTTCGCTCTTAAAGGATTTCACTAATTCTTCCAATTGCAAAATAATCCCCATTCCAATACCTTTGCATAGGCTTCCAATAATAAGTACTACCTCAATTAGACCTTCCAATCTCTAATCCCTAAATCTTTATAAGTTTGCAAGTGTAAATCCAGAAACCCTTTTAGCTTGCCTGTCCACATGCCCCCTTTAAAACACGCTGCATATCTGTGATTACATTATATTAGTTTCTTTTTCAATTAAGCCTTTGGAAGAGTTCTCCCTGTCGTGGTTGTAGTGGTCGCGGTGGTGGTGGTGGTGGTGGTGGTGATGATGGTGATGTTTTAACGGAAAATAAAGGGGATCAAAGGTGGTGAGATGCCCCTATGAGAAAACCAGCTCTCAATTATTCATCGACAGGCGTCAAGTGCTACAGTCTAGCAGAGAAAATACAGGCAGCCCTCAGCTTTGTACCAAGCACAATGGCCCCCAGAAGTGACTGTGAAAGCCACAGAGAGATGCCTTTTTACATTGTGTATGAGCTCTACAATAGCCCCATGCCCTCTCCCACAGCCCAGGAAGGGGAGCCTAAAAAAAGAGGCAGTCTTTTGATTTAAAGAGGACACAGGGCGGCATCTTTCAGGGGTACAATGCACTCAGACCCCACACACAGTGAACTTGGGTCTCGCTTCCAGGAGGAAGCAGCAGACTTTGTTCTCCATCCTTCACTGCTCATCTCTAGGGCAGCCCAACAGCTGCAGCCTGACCCGGATACACCCATGAGCTCCCACTGAAGCAAGAAACTCTCTTCCCTGCGACTATTTACACACTTTCCCTTTCTCCTGCCACTGCTTCCAGAGCCCTCTGAGGGTGAAGCTAGGGCACCATTAGCAACTGAGAGACTGAAATTTAACCTCCATGGCCTATAATTTTGGCCCGAGCAATGCAAAACAGAGGAGTTTCAAATCCCACTACAGAGTGCCTTTAAGCTCTTTCTTACTTTGCACTTTAGTCGTTCATGAATAATCTTACCTCCCATTAAATGATGATAATAGAAACGATTTCCAAATGGCCCCGAGTTCATTTTGAGAAAGTGAGTTTGAAACTACTGCCTTTCTAATGAAACAAGAGAGTTTAAATTCAGCTTAAATTTCATCATCTGAAAAACAGGAGACACTAAACCTTCTGTGGCTCCCTGGTACCAAGAATAAAACTCAAACTTTAGAGCATTCAGAGCCATCCAGGTTCACCTCTCCACCCCTGGGCTCCCGTATTCCCAGACATCACTCTCCTCACTGCCCCACTCCCTGCTCTGGCAGGCGTCCTCACCTGGAATGTCTTTCCTCTCCCTTCCCAGATTCCGCCAGCAAATTTCTACTCATCCTTCAGAGCCCGGTGCCAACCTCAACTTTCCCTGGAAGGTTTCCTTCCACCACCACCACCACAACCACCACCATCACCACCACCACCAAAATCAATCACCCTCCTCTCCCTTTCCTTCACAGTTTGTCTCTCTTTGTAACAGCAATCGCATCTGGCCCCATAAGACAGTGAAGTATGTGTGTTTACATCCACCCTAATAGAATGAATGTTCCTTGGGCCAGACTTTGCAGCTAAACGTTGGTATTAGAACCATTTGAAACAAAATTTAAGCAATTCCCTAAATCCTTCTGAGTCTCCATTGCCTCATCTGTAGAATGGAGCTAGTAACAGTTGCTCTTGCTACATGGCAGACTGTGTCAAGATCTCAATAGCACAATCAAGCTTCAGATAGCGACTGATTAACTAGAAGACTCTGAAGATACCTTAGAGGCCTGAAATGACTTTAGAGGGGTGTGTGTGTGTGTGTGTGTGTATAAAACTTTGCAGCCAATATCTTGTATTTAACATGTTGAGCCTTAAGATAATCAATATTATTCCCAAAGGGTATAGCTAAAACCCAGGAAAGACAACATCCCCTTAAGAAAATGGAAGGGGCGGGCGCAATGGCTCACGCCTGTACTCCCAGTACTTCAGGAGGCTGAGGCAAGATCCCTTGAGCCCAGGCATTTGAGACCAGCCTGGGCAACATAACTAGACCCTGTCTCTACAAAAAAAAAAAAAAGAAAAAAAAAATCAAAAATTAGCTAAGTGTGATGGTGCACACCTGTAGTCCCAGCTACTTGGGAGGCTGAGGAGAATTCCTTGAGCCCAGGAGGTCAAAGTTGCAGTGAACTATGATCATGCCACTGCATTCCAGCCTGGGTGACAGAGCAAGATTCTGTCACCATAAATTTTTTTTTTAAATTAGGGTGAGGGGAGACCAAAAAAAGCCCTAGTTCAATGTAGAAAAGGTTCTCTAACACTTTAGAGCTACACTATACATTACAGTAGCCCTAGTCACGTATGGCTAGTAAGCATTTGAAATGCAGCTAGCCTGAATTTAGATGTCCTGTAAAAATACACATTGGATTTCTGGAGACTTAGTACCAAAAATATGTAAAATATTGCAGTGAGTTTTAATATTGAGTACCTGTTGCAATATTTCAGGTATTAATCTCACCTGTTTCTTTTCACTTTTTTCAATGTAAAAATGGCTACCGGAAGATTTAGTTCTGTGTGCAGCAGCAGTGTATTTCCACTGGACAGTGTTGCTCTACAGAAGTCTTGTCTCAGACCCTCCCGTTGCAAACCAAATTAGCAGATCCCTTTCTGGGACACATTTAATTACCTTTGTGGTTACAGTGATGCAATTCCTACAACTTTGACAGTTGTTCACTTTTTGGCTGTTCACATTTAGCCATGGTATAAAAGGGGTTGTTCTTGGCTCTCTTAAGTGACAGCTCACCATAGAATCAAAATGAAAATCAAATCAGCATTGAAAATTCCATACCCGCTATCCCAAAAAGGGGGATTTTCTTCTTAGTGACCAATTACCATCAGTGTATTCCTTCTTTTAGCAAATAGTTACTGAGTGACCATTATGTACCAGGCTCTATTGGAGATGTTGGGATATTGTGCTAAACAAGACATGGCCCCTTCCCTGAAGGAGTCAATGTATCAGAATGAGTAATATTAGAGATGTACACACACAAAGTACCACAGGGATGACAGGAAGGACATCTATCCCCTCATTCTGACCAAGAGGGGATGGATGGTAACACAAGAGGTAATACATGAACTAGACTTCGACCCAAGGTCACATCCAAGTTGAAGAAAGACATGAGCGTCATCTAAACACAGATGATACCCCAGGCCCCAAGAGAGGATGAGCTCACCAGGGATAGCGTGTAGGGTAAGAAGAGAAGGGGCTATCATTGAATGTCCCACTTACAGAGTTTACAGCTGAGCTTAAGGCCTTTATGAAATAATTACTTCTTGACCTAATTATCTGAAACCAAGAACATGGAGATGGGCATACTAGTGAGGTGAAGAGTACAGTGTTTGCTGTCAGTTAGACCTGAGCCAGGATCCTGTTCCAGCTTTCCGATTAGGCAGGCTCCTTCACCTCTCTAAGCCTCAGTTTCCTCACCTGTATAATGGGATTGGTAAATGTGCATCTCACAAGGTTGTGGTGGGGATTAAATAGGATGGATAATCCAAATACAGCAGCTGACATACTGTTTGATACAGAGCAAGTATTTGGTAAGTGGTCATTGTTGTTACTGGTTTTTTTCATAAAGCATCAGAAAAATGTTGAATCAAATAAGGGTTTGATATGGTTTGACTGTGTCCCCATCCAAATCTCACCTTGAATTGCAATAATCCCCATGTGTCAAGGGCAGGACCAAGTGGAGTTAGTTGGATCATGGGGGTGGTTTCCCCCATGCTGTTCTCATGATAGTGAGTGAGTCTCATGAGATCTGATGGCTTTATCAGTGTCTGGTATTTCCCCTGCTTGCACACATTCTCTCTCCTGCTGCCCTGTGAAGAGGTGCCTTCTGCCATGATTTTAAGTTTCCTGAGGCCTCCCCAGCCATGCAGAACTGTGAGTCAATTAAACCTCTTTCCTTTATAAATTACCCAGTCTGAGGTATTTCTTCACAGCAGCATAAGAACAGACTAATACAGGGTTTCCCGACTATTGATATTTTGAGCTGGCCTATTCTTTGTTGTGGGGAAGTCTATCCTATCCATTGTAGGATGTTTAACAGCATCCCTGGCCTCCACTCACTAAATGCCAGTAGCACACCTTCCCCAGTTAATGACAACCCAAAATGTCTCCAGACATTGCCACCTGTCCCCTATGGGGGAAGAAGGAGGTCCCAAACCAGTTGCAAACAAATAGTCTAAATCAATGATTAGGTGGAATGGAAAGAGGTCTGGGTGCTTAAAAAGATAGAAACTTTTTCAACTTGTAAAGAAATGTGAGCCCTGACAAATATGCTCCCCTTCCTCTATGATAACTCTGCAGCCTAACAGGGACTATTTCAAATGTGAGCCTGGCCTCAGGTTGAAGAATGCCGGGCCTAGCCCAGATCAGGGTTATGGAGTCTTTGAACTAAATTTCAGCACCTGGTCTGGTGAAGAAGGGAGGAAATGGGTCTGTGCCCCAGCTACAAATGCCAGCCACAGAGCAAGCTCCATGACACCTGCAGTTAAGCAGTGGGAAGGACTGACCCCTATACAGGAAGAGCCCTTAAAGTCCTCCTCAGCACAGAACAAGCCCAATGTGGAGACATAGGGCCAATTGATGCTGTCCTGTGCAATGAGCCATGCTAACCCACCCAACAACTGCTCACATACAGGCTGCCATGCTACCACTGTTATTTTTCTGAAATGACTGCTTTTCATCCTCCTCGGAGTTCAGCTTCAGAAATGGCATTGACCAGTGCCTGTTATTTCCCAAGTGTCACTAGTTAAAGCTAATGGGAACCTGAGGAGTAATTAAGTGCATAATTGGGAGGAAATGCTGCGGTCACTGCATTCAGCAAAAAAACACAAGGCTGATTTCTGACCAAATATAAACTCTGCTTTGCAAATTGCTACACAGTTTTGGCCTTGGCAGCGGGTATGCCTGTTAGTACGGCAGACAGAGGGTGAGCACATACAGAGAGAAGATATTCACAGGAGCCTCACACTTATAGAAGTCAGATCCTTTCAGTAAATCTTACAGTGTAGGACGCACATGTTAAAAGGATAAAAACTTGCTCAGGTTTCAAACAGAATTAAATAGAACAGCATCTTGTTGACATGGAGATTCACATCCTTGAACGAGGAACCACACAGGTAATTTATCATAACAACAACATGTTTATACTGCTTTTACATTCATTTTTTCTTTTCTTAAAATTTAATTTTATTTAATTTTAAGTTCCAGGATACATGTGCAGGACATGCAGTTTTGTTACATAGGTTTACATCCATTCCCAATGCATTTTCACATCTAACTTCTCATTTAATCTTTACCACCGCCACCCATAAAAGAGGTAACATTACTACCTTCACTTGGCAAATGAGGGGACCAAATCTCTTGTCTGCGACTTTCACTCAGTCACTCATTCAATCAATTATTAAGCCCCTACACTTGCCAGGCACTTGCCCAAGTCATGGGATGCAGCCAAGTACTACGCCAGATGCTGTTTACACATAGAGTTTTGAGCTGTTTCTCAAGGAGGGGCATTGGTGGCATTTGGGCAGAATGATTCTTTGATGGGCAGAAAGGTCCCACCCTTCGCAGAATGTCTATCACTAAACTGCAATCATTCTCGCCAATCTTTAGGGTGGATGGGAAGAGTAATGCCCAAATGAGAGCCCTCCCAGATGTTCAGAGCAGCGGATATGAAGTCATACAGCCGGGTTTGGTTTTTATTCCATCCATTCCTCTCCTGGGGACCTTAGACAAGTGATAATGCTCTATGCTTCAGTTTCCCCCCTTGTAAAATGGTGGTAATTATAGCGTATACATTATACGAGTCCCATGGGGGAGTAATCTATATTCAATGCCTGACCCAAGTTGGCCTTCGGTAAATAATATCCAATAAATATCTTTACTATTTCATTGGTTCATCTCCCATCTACCCTCATCTCCTTCAATCTTTAAAGCGACCTTTGCAGAGAGAACTTCCCTGACAATCCTATTTAAAATTTCAATCCCCCCACCACTGCCACTTCACATCCCCCTTCCTTGCTTCCCCGCCTCCCGTAGCATTTGTCACCTTCCAACATACTCTATAATTTAATATCCATTTGTTATTGTGTCTCCCCCACTATGATGTATGTTCCATGAGGACATGGATTTTCACCTGTTTGATTCTACACCTAGAACAGAGCTTAACTCTTAGTAAGCATTTAACAAAAATATCTTGAATGATGTCAAATGGATATAGGGAACAGCCAAATCCTAAAAGCTGGTGTCCAGACTCCAAATTCTGTGCTCTTTTCACTATAATGAGTGACCTTATGCAATGATATTAAAGGTAAAATATGACAACCGTTAAGAAATGTTAAGTGTCCTGTTACAACACTACCTTAGAGGGGCCTCTGTGGTTTCCCTCTTCTGAGATTCTTCGAAGTTAACAGTTTCTAACAGAAACCCAGCCACCAGCTTCTTTCACTTGAGTTGCCTTTGTGAGTTTCTTCTCCCAAGGCATTTAAGATAACGATTCAAGCCAGAGAATGATAAGGACTGAAACACTTCCATTACCAGGTTTCTTTGTCTCTATCCATATCTACATGAGACAGAACCCAAGTCCTGGTGATGCTGGAAATATCAGCCCTCCCCATACAGCTTATCTAAAGCCAAACTAAGCCTCCACCACCGCTAGAACTGGCACCAGGTTAACACTGTACTTTTACCCAGAGTTGACAATGGCAGGTTTGACAATAACCAATGACATTCAAGGCAGGTCTAGTCCTGGAGTTCCAAAATCCTAGTGGACACTGTGCCACAAAAGGGGTCCGGGAAGGAAACATCAGACTTCCCATTTTTTGTTCATCTAGACACCAGACCTTCCATTTTCAGTTAACCTAAAAAAATTTTAACTATATCAAGAATACAAATGGCCACAAACAACTCCATCTAACCTGTCATATCAAATTACATGTCAGTTATGAAACTCAGGCAGGTATCCTCAACCACAAAATGAACTGGAGTGACCACCTCAATAATTCCACCATTCTCAGCATATTTCAATGAATAACCATTTACAACTGAATCATAAGTAAATTTACAGATTATATTATCTACTTTTAACTATCCTATTCCTCACAAAATAGAACTGAGGCCTAAAGAGATCCCAGCCAAGAAACCACAACTTGAAGATAATTGTCACAATCCAGGCACACAAGAAAATGGCATTCCTCCCTCTTGAGTACTAGCTCTCCATTGTATCTTTGTGGACAACATTACAAGGTCAAAAGGATGAAAGAATCAGAATTGATAAAGAGTCAGCCAACGGAATTATCCAACAGATAACGACATAGGGGTTTGCAGTCACTAGTCAGAAAGGATCCTATCCTAGATATGTAGATAATGGTAGTAATATGCAGAAATTATTTATAAACAAAATATATTGAGGGATGGCTGCTCAAATATGTTTTACCAATAGGGTGTGGTGAGTATTGTGATTATTTGCTCATCGTTCATTCTACCCTCCTTCTAGAAAGCTTTCTAGCCTGCAGAGGCTGGTAATTGAAAAGCTGTATTTCCCAGGCTTCTTTGAAGCTAAGGTTCTAGATGTGAATTTGGCTCTCCCAAATAGAAGCACTCACTTGAGATTTAGAAAGCAGATGTGGGGCAGAGAGGCCATCTTCTTGCCTTTGGGGCTGTTTGGCCGCTGGCAAGCATGGAGATGGGGTCACGAGGGTTTTTTGCAACAGCATTATAGGGTCCACTCTCCGGCTTTGCCATCAATTTGTTCTTGAACTCAATAGTTCCAGACACAGTATCAGAGGGTGTAGCACCCCTAGTGAGTCAGTTTTGTTTTTTGTTTTTTGTTTTTTTTGAACAGCCATGCCAACATACGTTTGTTTATTAATTATTATATAAACTACTACCATTAGCTGGGAGACATTCCTGGAGCCCCATTCCTCCAGCCCCCTTATGCCTCTATAAGCACAAAATTCCCTCTAGTAAATATCTTTCTGCTTAAAATACCTAGACTGGTGCTGGACACGGTGGCTTATGCCTGTAATCCTAGCATTTTGGGAGGCCGTGGCGGGCAGATCACCTGAGGTCAGGAGTTCGAGACCAGCCTGGCCAACATGGTGAAACCCTGTCTCTACTAAAAATACAAAAATTGGCTGGGCGTGATGGCGGGCACCTGTAATCCCAGCTACTTAGAAGGCTGAGGCAGGAGAATCGCTTGAACCCAGGAGGCAGAGGAGCCAGACGGTGCCACTACATTCCAGCCTGGGCGACAGAGTGAGACTCTGTCTCAAAAAAAAAAATTAAATTAAATTAAAAAATAAAATATCTAGACTGATTTCTATTTCCTGCCCTGAAACACAGCAGAACAGAAGCAAAGAGATTTGGGAGACAAAGGGACTAGACCACAGCAGATGCTGTTTGTACATGACAATCCAACCTGGCTCCTCCTTCTGAGTTCTGCGCACATGGATTGGGTGGTGACCGAGGTGGAAAGGCTTATCTTTGAGAATCAATTATTTACTCTTTAAATGTTTCCTAGGCACCTCTGGGCCAGGGTCAGAGGCTATAAAGATGAACCTGACAGAATCCATGCCTTGCTATGTCAAAAGAGGAAGATGTACAAAAAAACAAACAACCACAGTACATTTCTAAAAGGGCCAGAAAAGAGAAATGACAAAGTCATGACAGCTCAGTAGCCTTGAAAGAAACAAAAATCCACATTGGTGATACTTTCCCTGGGCAATGTTTATGTCTATTTCTAGATGAACTTCCAGGTTCAAGCCTCAAGTTAAATCACTTACTTCCCACCCTCCCCATTCTAACTCTTAACCAACCTCATCGTTAATCAGACAAATACTAACTACAAGCCCTGGGCTCTGAAAATAAGTGCCAGGCAAAGTTAAAAAGACTTGGACAGACTGCATGCCAGTCTGGCCATTGAGAAGCAAGTACTCAAGACTAACCAGGTACTTTTGAGCCCTCAGACTCTGCATCTTGGAGGAATGCCATTTTTCATCACTTACTGAGGTTATGAAGTGTGCCACAGTTTACATAAAGTACTTTCACAATTTACAGAGGTGGCCTCAGAAGGCATCCATGGTGAAGGCACACTGCTATTTGATGGAACACTAAGAAACGAAACAGTTGCTCGTTAAAGGGCAGCACGGTGCTGAGATGCCATCAATCACAACACAAATTGCATAATCACTAAAATGTGAAAAAAATATGTTCTGGAATCAATAATACACAATAATTTATGGGGATAGGACATGGGAGACCCCAGACTAGGACTCGGGTCTTCCACTCCCAGAGCGCTGATCCATTTCATCGTTTTATTTTTATTGAGTGCTGATTTAAGTCTGGCACTTTTTCTGGATATTTTTATTAACAAATGCCACCGATTGCACCCTGAAGATATTACGAATTTCCCACTACAAGCTCAGTCAAAATTTTTCTCAAATCTCTTTTTCAGATCTCTTCATTACTGCTTTAAAAATTGGAAATGGGACTGGGTGTGTGGCACACCTGTAAGTCCCAGCTGCTTGGGAGGCTGATGATGTAGGAGGATCCCTTGAGCCCAGGAGTTCGAGGATGCAGTGAGCCGTGATCTCACCACTACACTCCAACCTGGGCAATAGAGCAAGGCCCTGTTTTTAAAAATAAAGATAAATTTTAAAAAATTGAAAAAGGAGATGGTCTAGTTGGGGGTCAAGGGGGAGCAGGTGGTAGAGGGGAGATGGGACTTATATGGTGACCACTTAACCAAAGTACACTACCGGCTGCCCAAAGATGAGCACAAATGTGCAAGTAGAGCTGGGCACAGTGACTCACACCTCTACCAGCACTTTGGGAGGCCGAGGAGGGTGGATCACTTAAGGTCAGGAGTTCAAGACCAGCTTGGCCAACATGGCAAAACCCAGTATCTATTAAAAATGCAAAAATTAGCCAGGTGTGGTGGTGCATGCCTGTAATCCCAGCTACTCAGGAGGCTGAGGCAGGAGAATTGCTTGGGCCCAGGAGGCAGAGGTTGCAGTGAGCCCAGATTGCACCACTGCACTCCAGCCTAGGTGACAGAGCAAGACTCCACCTCAAAAAAAAAAAAAAAAAAGTGCAAGTAGGAGACTTCATTTTCAATCTTGCTACATTGCTTCCACCCTTATTCCTTGCCTCCCTGCCCCAAGAGACCTCTGCTCAAGCTTCTGCAGCGCTTCCCTCCCATCTACAGTTAAACCCAAGGCTCAAAACAATTGTCTCTCTCCGACTTGTCTCTCCCCACTGTGGTTGTTGGCTGCCTCCGTCCCTCTGCTCTGGGCACTCTGACCACCTTGCCATGCGTGTTCTTGCCTCAGGGACCAGATTTGACTTGTGTTGCTCTCTGCCTGGAACATGGCCGGCTCCTTCATTTCCTGCAGGTGTCTGCTCTCAGTGTCATCTTATCAATGACATTCCCTAATTACCTCTATATTATATTGCAACCCCTGCCTCTCACACCCCTCAACCATCTTCTCTGTTTTGTTTTTCTCTTAACACCATCTGATATACCATATATGTCACTTCTGCATTTGCTTAAAGTCTGTCCGCCCCACTAGAATCTAAGTTCCATGAAGGCAGAGATGTATGTATGTGTTACATCTCCAGTGCCAAGAACAGTATCTGGCACAGAGTAGAAGAAAGGAAAAGAGAGAGAGACAGACAGACAGGGGGCTGGGGAGGAGGAGAACAAGTCTGCTTGTAAGTTTCAATCACTCACATTGGATCTAAGATGCATCAAATTACAAGTTCTAGGAAATTTTAACTGACAGATCAGATTGTTCATAGGAAGAACTGCCTCCCCTTTTATTTGTTATAAAGGTGGTGTCCCAAAAATTCAAAAGAAAAACTAAAAAGAAAAAAAAATGAATCAGCAGAATGACTTCTGGTTTTCCTCAGAGTCTGAACTTAGAAGAGGCCTGCTGGCAATGACTTTCATGAGAGCCTTTTTCACTTGACCTCCAGACTAAAGAGAGGTCCTTTTGGTGGGTTTAAGAAGGGAAAGGGTGGTGCCTTTGCTTATGAGCCTTTGACTTCCTGTTTTGAAATGACTGTGCTGATAAAGCTATGAACAAAATGATCTTTCAACCAGACAAATACTGACAGCAGATACCTCTGCTGAAGGATGGATTCCCTCACCCCTCACCCCACGGAAACCCCCAAACCACCCTTTCTGTGGTGCCTGATCACCCCTTTTTATTTTGGAAGGCAATGAAAATGAGGACTGTAACAATCAAAGGAGATCACCTACATCTGTCTCATCTGAGCACAGCAATGAAAATGCTCCATCGAGGTGCAAACATTTAAATGATCAAGGAGAGACCCCATGCTAAAAATGTCTTCTCCTTCAGTTATTTTTTTACTTGTTAATTTTTATAGGTACATAGTAGTTGTATATATTTATGGGGTACATGAGATCCTTCAGTGATTCAATGCTGTTTTCAGAATTCATAACAGTCTCATATTTGAGACCCTCTTGACACCTTTTCAATGGAAGTTTCAGGTGTATAACATAAGAACAGCCCCTACAAATTGGTAAGACTCCAAACTATTCCATGTATAAGCAAAAAGATTCTGTAACGTAACATTAAATTTGTGCAACCACAGCAAAAAAAATAATACCAGACTGACATCCTGCAAAGGGGTAGGGTGGGAGGTGGAGACACATGCAAGTCTATACATTTAAACAGTTATGGTTAAACTTTGTCTTTAACTTTAATAACTAGTTGTGACAATGATGTATTTGTCTAAAATACTTATTATCAAACAGGATACAAAATGCATGATGTTATCTCAACTATGTATATGCATTTTGCATAGTTGAGAAAAATACAGAATATATAAATATATATAAATATATTCTATAATATATTTTTAAAGTACCAGTTGCCTCTTGGTGGTGGAATAATGATTGTTTTTCTTCTATACCTCCTAAATTTTCTTTTTTTCTTTTCTTTTTCTTTTTTTTTTTTTTTTTTGAGATGGTGTTTAACTCTTGTTGCCCAGGATGGAATGCAATGGCACAATCTCAGCTCACTGCAACCTCCGCCTCCCTGGTTCAAGTGATTCTGCTGCCTCAGCCTCCCAAGTAGCTGGGATTACAGGCGTGCACCACCACGCCCGGCTAATTTTTTTTGTATTTTTAGTAGAGACGGGGATTCACCATGTTGGTCAGGTTGGTCTCAAACTCCCAACCTCAGGTGATCCACCTGCCTTGGACTCCCAAAGTGCTGGGATTACAGGTGTGAGCCATCGCACCTGGCCACCTCCTAAATTTTCTAAAATGAGCACATGTTATGTTTACAATTCGTTTAAAATTATAATACAAAATGCATTTTAGGTTCAACCTGATCAAGTGAAAGTGCAAGGGGGTAAAATGAGACATCTTTAAATAAAGGATATAATCTTTCAATACATTCAACCGAGGCAAAGAAATCCCAGGTGACAGTGAAAATAAACATTTTGCAAAAATAAAAATAATAGAGAGGAAGCAGACAGGAGAGAAAAGGCTTTCTCCTCTGAAGGCTTCTTTCTATGAACAGTAGATTTCAAACAAAAACCACAATCCTATGGAGTAACACAAAAGGAAGGTTCTGAAGAGCTGCCTTTACACACTCTGTGCCAATGCAGCCTGGGGGGCCTCTCAGCTTTGCACTGCATGACACAGCTCCATCAAAACCCAGCCATCTGGGGCAGGTATGCAAGACATTTTAATGCAAGCTGATGAACTTGCATAGGAAGCATTCATTGGTGAACTCAAACCTGTGTAGAAATCACAGGTATATGGTTCCATTCTCCCTAGCTTTAGGAATAGTTCACGGCCATAGAAGGTGTCTGTTCTATGGATGGATTTCCTTAGAATCCATCTAAGTGGCTAAACAAGACCAACCTTCTCCAGAATCCAGGACACAGAGCAGTGCCTCAGCTGCCTACACCTCACGGGCTGCAAATTTAGGTCACGGTGAAAGCTCCTGTCTGGCGCCTGATTAGTTTAAACTGGGTCCGTGTCACAGTTCAGGAAGGCAGGAAGTTTCCCCACCAGACAGAGCCAGAGTTATTGACCAGGCATTCTTGGCAAGGCTAGAAGTGACCTTCCTGAAAACCAGAGAAGTGGGTCTACTTCTGGAGTTTAACCACTTCATGCATTCATCCAGCAAACATTCTATTGAGAACCCACTGTTGTCAGACACCGTGCAAAAAACATCGGGATTAAAATGGAGTCTAAAACCTGGTCCTTGCCCTATAAAATATTCTTAAGGAAGACTATTAACTCAGAGTATCAAAAACTTCTAAATGTAACTATCCTACTGACAAGGCCCACTTCTGCTAAACCCTTGTGCAACTGATGACCAATTACTCAAATTTGCAAATTAATCAATTCTATGAATTAGAAAAGATAATGGGCCCCAGATTAGAATCAGAGAGAGGGACAGCCAGCCTTGCCAGCTGTCTCCTTTTTGTCTCTTTTTTTTTTTTTTTTTTGAGACACAGTTTCACTCTGTCGCCCAGGCTGGAGTGCAGTGGTGCCATCTTAGCTCACAGCAACCTCTGCCTCCTGGGTTCATGCTATTCTCATGCCTCAGCCTCCGGAGTTCCTGGGATTACAGGCGTGTGCCACCACACCCAGCTAATTTTTGTATTTTTAGTAGAGATGTGGTTTCGCCATGTTGGCCAGGCTGGTCTCGAACTCCTGAGCTCAAGTGATGCACCCGCCTCAGCCTCCCAAGGTGCTGGGATTCCAGGTATGAGCCACCGCGCCCTGCCTTCCTTTTTTTCTTTCTCTCCCTCCTCTCATACCCTCCAGCCACCAACGAAGCCTGGAACCCATTGCTTTTGCAATACTATTTTTCTATTTCACATGTAGGTATCTGGAACCCCTGCCAGAGGCCTCCAAATTTTTAGCTACACAATCCGTGCCATGCTGTGGTCCCTTCTGCCTCTCCCAGGGTGATCTGGAGAGACAGAAACTGCAGAGCCAGGCTGAAGGATCAGCTCTCCTTACCCCCAAGATACTTCAGAGAAGCAAGGATCTTTAACTTTTAAAGAAATTCAAACCAGTGAAAGAGATTCCACATCAGTGGTCATTAACAGTGTAGCTTAATAAAATGAACCCCTCAAAAAGAAAATGTTTAATGTAGATTTGAAAGTATATTTTTATGCCCCGTGTAATGATAAACTGTTGACACAGAGCTTTTGTGGACTGTAAGTAATCTGAAATAAGGAAGGCCTTTCAACTGAACTATCTGTAATTCTACATTCAACACAATGTTTTGAAAGTAGTATTTGCTATGGACTGGAGGGAAATATCAGAAAAGTATATTTATAGAGATCTAAATAATAAACAATGGGAGAAAATAGGACTAGAGGGGGACATAAAGGATGGGGCAGGATCATCGACAGAGGATCTTTTTCAGCACAAGCTTAGAAAAGGTTCTCTGCCTCTTCCAAAAGGCTAGGCTGAAAAGATATGATGTCACTTTCAAGTCAACTTAAGACTAACAAGGGCTGGAAATTTTCACAAAGTGACAATTACAAGTTGGAAGTTTCTTTCTAGTATCTTTGGCTAGAAAGTTATTTCCCAATTCTCACAAAGAATTCCATGACAATTGTATTTCCCTGGGCAATTAACAGGTACACAGAAGCTCAAGCGCATTCCTGCTGAAGGCTGACACTCATCCGTGTTCTGGGCATTCGTACAGAGCATTACTGGCATTCACGGTCCCAGCGAAACCTGAACACAGCTCTAGAGTCTAGACCAAATCACCGGCCCCTTGTTTAAACTGTTTGAACCCGAGTGTATCTGTACACCACCAGTCCCCTGGCGCTCTGGGGTGAGTCTGGCCCGGTCTCCGGTGGGCCCTGGAGCTTGGCACTCTGAGATACCCCTGGCTGTCTGGCCCTGCCCACTGCAACCAAGGCCTGCCTGCCGGAATGCAAGCCAGGTCCATTTTTAAATTCCTTTATAAGTTTCACAACCGCAGGTTTGGGTGAGGAGACAAACACCGCTGTAGTTTGCTGACATTAAACTAAAAATACCCAGCTGCAAACAAAAGCCATCTTTAACAGGGCTGGCTCGGACGTCCTGAGGTTACATGTGGTAGAGTCGGACCATATCCTTGGCAGTGTGGCTGCCTTAACAACTGCTCCAGACCGAGTGGGGCAAAGGGGCCGTCTGTCCCTGCGCTGTCAAGGAATCTGCAGCCTGCAGCCCTGCCTGTTTGATGGAAAGAACAGCTTTATTCCTCTGCCATCGACCCAAACGCAGGCTTGATGAATTCGGGACTGCGTCTGTTTAAAGTGTTAGATACACAGTGAAAGGAGAAGGCGGGAGGCAAAAATGAAAAACACCAACCCCACTTCCCTGGAAGGAAATGCGTTTCCACCTCCCTCCTCCTTGCAATTAGAAAAGCAAATTATTGCTGTGACTACGCTGAGAAAGGCAACTCGGAGGCGTAGAAAATGGATTTCTGAGCCAACGTGGCCCGGCAGGGGGCTGCTAAGGGAGGGTAAAAGGGAGCAGGGGAGCCACGGCTTGGCGGGGAGACCCGCGTTACCCGGAAGGCTTCTCGGAACGTTCTACCTGTTGGGCTTCGCAGCCGAGCTGCTCACCCCCGGCCGCCGCGCTCGAGGGCGCCCCTCCCTCTCCAGAACCCAAACTTTCCCTCGCACCCCTAGGAAGCGACGAGCCTCGTCCCTCCCCCAGTCCAGATTTCGGACGTGGAACTTTGCCTGAGCCACAAGGGACCGGAGGAATGGGGTTCATTCCCACGCCGCCCGGGGGATTCCCGTTGCTCGGATCCCAGAAGTGGGGGATGCAAACGGACGGTCAGCCCAGGACCTGGCCAAAGTTTCCTCCAAAACTGCAGTGGTCAAGGCGTGACCCAGGAGCTCGGAGTTTCCAGCTCAGGGCTGGGGGCTGGAGCAGGCCCCGGGGCACCAGCCGCAAGGTCACTGCGGAGCCGGACCCCGGGGGCAAACGGCCGGCGCGTGGTGGAGGGGCAACGCTGGGCACCCGACCACTCTCCACACCTGCTCAGCTCTGCGCGGAGCCCGGGACACGTGGGAGCCCAGTCCCGGGCTCCCAGCCTGCTGCAGGGACTCGCAACCTCGCCGGGGCGTACACCCTTCGCCCCCGGCCCGGCAACCAGGAAGAGGCGGCTCGCCCGGGCGCAGAGCAGCCGGCTCCGGGTAACTCTTTCATCCTCCGACCTCGGCAGCAGCAGGGAGGGAGTTTCGTTCTCCTCAAACCAGCCCCTCACCCCCGGTTGCTTCCCACACCTCTCCGTTTCCCTGCTACCTCGCAGACAGACAGACAAGGGACACAAAGAAAAAAAGAAGAAGAAAAAAAAAAAAAAAAAAACTACCGCCCCTCCTGGTCCCATCCTCCAGCCCGGAGCCGGTAGGAAGAAGAGGGCGAAGCACACCTTCCCTTCTCCTCCCCATCCCGACGCGGTGACCCGGGTAGATCTGGGCAGCCAGGAGCTCTGGGCAGCCAGGAGCCCCGAAGAGGCCGAAGGCGGAGAGGTAGGGTTGGAAGAGGCAGAAATCAGGCGGAGCGAGCTAGAGCGCGAGAGAGAAGAAAATATCCAACAAAACCACGCTAACGCGCCCCCTACCTGGGTGCAACATACTTTGGAAATAGAAGATGACCAGGATAAAGGATCCCAAGCAAGTGGCCAGCACCATCCGGCAGATTCTGTTCATCCTCATCACTTCCAGCAGCGCTGGCTTCATGGCTTTGTCCTGGCTGCGGGGACCGGGGTGTCCGGGAAGCGCGCCCGGGGCGCAGGAGCAGGGACCCCGCCGCGCGGACCGGAGCCCGGGAGGCGCGGGGCAGAGCTGAGCAAGGCTCAGAGGGAGGATCGGAGTCGCTTCGCGGCCGCTCTCGGAGCCCCCAGCCCGGGCAGGGGTGTGGAAGGTGCCGGAGTTGGTCTGGAAGTGCTGAGATGCGTGGACCCGCTGGCTGCGCGCTCCTGCTCCTCCTCCTCGCCGCTCCGCCGCCTCCTCCGATCCCGCCGGCGGCCGCCGCTGCCTGGTCGCGGGCCGGGCGGCTGGGGTGCGAGCGGTGATGGTGGTGCCGCCGCCGCTGCCGCTGCGCTGGCCGCTGTGGCTGTCCGACGGGCCCTCTCCCTTCTCTCCAAAGGCTACTTCATTGCGCTCCAACGATCTATATATTCCGGGGCTGGGTTTTACCAAATGCAACTCGCGGCCCCCGGCGAGGGGAGGGCGCCTGCGGAGAGCCGGGAGGAGGGAGGGACCCTAGCGCCGGGGCGGAGCGTCGCGCTCCCCCCGCCCCTACCCGGGATATGGTCGCGTCCAGCTGTTGCCCGGGGAGTGCGGTGTGCGCGCCGCGCTCCCGCAGGGTCCCAAAAGCCCTCAGTCCCCGGCCGGGCTCGGCCGCCGTCTGGAGGTTGTGTCAGCGTTTCCATGACAAAACCCGGAGGAAAAAAAGACGAAGAAAATCGCCTCGGTGCTGCCACCCACCCCCGCCAGCGTTTGGAGAGGGAAGTGGCAAGCAGCGGGCTGGGTCTCGGAGGGAAGAATTAAGGGTTAGGGGGTTTCTGGTGGCTGGCAATTATTTAAAATCCCTGGGCGACGTAGCGGGGAAGTTGCCCCAAACCCCCAGGGAGCGAGTGCCCATTTTCCGACGCTCAGAACTGGGCGGTTTCGTTTTTCTTTCAAAGGACAGCCCAGCTTGGGAGTCGGGGTTAAAGAGGGCTGACTTAAAGTCAGGGTTAAGGAAACTGCACGACCCTCGGGTCAGGCGACAGCTGAGCTTTCCCGGGGACTTATACAGACAGAATCTCTGACACCCACCATCACCACCATTCCTCAAGGCAAAAGGGATCTGTGGGTTGCAAAACTCTGCTACCCCAAAGGGTAGAGCATCCTCCAAATTATTCAAAATTAACAGCAGTCTTAGCTGGGAGGGGGTGAGAAAATGCCCCTAGGAAGCCACCTCAACCAAGTCCAGAAAACTGCTGGAAAAGCCAAGCCAGCCATAGCACTGGCAGGTACATGGAAAGATGGTGCTGCTTTCTTGTATTGTGTAGAATGACTTCCAGTTTCCAATTCCATGCATTTAGGCTGTTTCACAATCAATAAAGTGGACACAGCCAATAGTGTAGGGATCACTCGTATGTCAGGGAAAAAAAAAATGTTAGTTAGACTAACCTTTGTGCCTTATCAAGTCATTACTAATTCAATTAAAAATGAAATAAGATACTGTGTCTTTCAATGCCTCTCACAAAATAGGCATTTGATAAATTCTTATTGAATCTGAATGTAATGGGCCTTATCCTCCCCTCGATAGACAGAGACACAACTTGCAGTTAGACACATGCAACAAAAACCACCTGGGCAACCTCAGTTCCCTTCCCCCAGAGTTCTCCTCCAGCAGTTGCATGGTGGGGAAAGTAACAAACTCAGCAGCCTTGCCTTTGATTACAGAAGACAATCAAAGCACAATATTTATGTAGCCGGTGTGCGCTGTATTAATTTGGACTTACCTGTGAATAAGTTGCTTGCTCAAGGAAGCCAGGCTGAACAAGCTTCAGACAGAGTCGTTCTCCAGTGATTCTTCTGCTCTGGTGATAGGAGATCAGGAATGGGAGTTGCACTGCACCCTCCCCACCTCCCCACCATCATCACTAAGAAAGGGGATTCCTTGCAGAGGGCATGGCTTAGATGGGCATTTGCACAAAGCCTTTGCCTGGAATATAAGTCTCTCATTTAACACTTGGCTTTACAGAGCCAGGGAGGGGAAGGGATTTACTCCCAGGTCACCCAAGTGACCTCTCACCTCATAGGCCAAAGACTTCAGTTACCTGCCCCAAAGCCTGGACATGCACAAGGCAGTTTGGGAAGTCACAGGGTCAAGGAAGAGATCAGAAGTCCAATTCCCTGTGAGTCACAGAGATCATGGAGTTGGCCCACATGGTGGGGGAGGATGGTGAATCATGCCCAACATCCATTCTTGCATTCCCACAATCAGGAACCTGCCCAAACACAGTGAGGATTAAGGCTGTGACACATAAGCTACCACCTCTCCCAAGAAGTCTTTGCTGTTTTCTCACCTGAAATTGCAACTTTCCTCCTCTGCGCTGTGAGCACTAGGTCCAAACCTCTTTTGGGCCACTGTACCCACTAGGCTGAACTCCTTCCTGGAGATCCAAGTTGTCTTCATCTCTGTCTCTTTCTAATGCCCAGCACAATGACTGGTACATAGTAGGTACAAATAAGTCAGAGGCAGAGAGGTAATGCCTACTTGGACTAGGAAGTTAGATTAGATCACCTCTAAAATCTATGACAAAGGTCAGTGGTAATGGTCTGTGATTCTGTTGTTCTATGCACATTGAGGGGTGATGAAAAAATTCTGTTTTCTCCTTCATCACACTCTAAACTGCCCAACTACAGTTAGAATCATTGCTTTCTTTCCATTCCTAGCCTAAGAAAATTTTGTTACATCTTATGCTATATAATAAATATTAGCCAAGTAAAGGACAGTATTAACTGATAAAACTGAGGAGAAAAATTTTATACTTTGAACATTGAAAGAGGAACGGATCAGTCTTCAGATCCTTTCTCCCTCATCTTTCTAAATTCCCTTTTGCCCTGAAAGATTCTGCAGATTGGCATTGTGCTCATTGTGGGACCTGGCTTGATTGATTGACTCTCCAAATTCAACAACATGCAAGTGAAACTGGGGCCTGCATTTTTGTTTTGTTTTGTTTTGTTTTGTTTTTGAGACGGAGTCTCACTCTGTCGCCCAGGCTGGAGTGCAGTGGCGCGATCTTGGCTCACTGCAAGCTCCGTCTCCCGGGTTCACACCATTCTCCTGCCTCAGCCTCCCGACTAGCTGGGACTACAGGCACGTGCCACCACGCCCGGCTAATTTTTTGTATTTTTTAGTAGAGACGGGGTTTCACCATGTTAGCCAGGATGGTCTCGATCTCCTGACCTCGTGATCCGCCCACCTCGGCCTCCCAAAGTGCTGGGATTACAGGCGTGAGCCACCGCGCCCGGCCAGGGGCCTGCCCATTTTAAAGCCTGGCATGGCCCTGAAAAACTGGTTGAGGAGAAAGTCTTATTTATGTTGACGATCTTGTAGAATTTATAGCAGGGGAAGAAATCGGTGTGAAGTCACAATTCGGGCTTCTGGGTGCTGTTGTCAATGGACTGACAGATGTTTATGTGGCCCTTCCAATCCGCGCAGGCTGAGCGCCTCCTCATTCCGGCAGATTATACCTACAATGCACTGTCTTGTTACGATCTTGCAAACCTGGCAACGATGCCCTTTTCTGCACCTTGTTGGAGAGAAAAGTGGGCCCAGGGTACTAGTAGACAGAGAGCTCTTCAGCATCCTTGAAGGGAGAGAGGGATGTGTCTTCTGCCAACATCAGCCAGGGGCCCCAGACTGGCTCCTCCAAGGACTGGCGCTGCCATTTGCATCTCTCTGGCACCTCTAGCACAAAGGATACTCAGTTAACCAGAGCACAGTAAATATTTGTGAAGTTGAATTATAAACCATTTGCCCGCAGTATGTGGAGATCTTAGGGTACAAATTTTCTACAGGTAGGTAAACCGCAAGTAACACAAATGGGTTACTCGTGACATGACTCTGAGAGCAGGCTCTGCTTTGCAGGCTTTTCTGAACAAGGTGGAGAAAAAGACAGCAAGAGAGAAAGGGATTGAAGAAGGGAAAGAGAAAGGGAGAAAAAGAGGGGAAGGGAAGAGACGAAGGGGGAGGGAAGGAGAGGAGAAAGGGTTGGGGAAGAAAAGAAAAGAATTGCCTGGGAAAGAGAAGGAGGAAGGATGGGAGAGGGAAAGGGAGAGAAAAGAAGAAAGGACGAAGGAAAGGAGAGAGGGAGGAAGGAAGGGAAGACAAGATGAAGAGGGAGGAAGGAGAGAGGGAAGAAGGAAGAGAAGAAAATAAAGGAGAGAGGAGAGGAAGGAGGAAAGGACTATCCCTCATTATTCTGTCTCACTTTCTTCTTCTTTTTTTTTTTTTTTGAGGTAGAATCTATCACTCAGGCTGGAGTGCAGTGGCGTGATCTTAGCTCACTGTAACCTCCGCCTTCTGGGTTCAAGCAATTCTCCTGCCTCAGTCTTCTGAGTAGCTTCAGTACAGGCATGCACCCCCATGCCCAGCTAATTTTTGTATTTTTAGTAGAGATTGGTGTCACCATGTTGGCCAGGCTGGTCTCCAATTCCTGGCCTCAAGTGATCCGCCTGCCTCAGCCTCCCAGAGTGCTGGGATTACAGGCGTGAGCCACCGCGCCAGGCCTTGTCTGACTTTCTGATGCCGCCTTTGCTCCTCCACCTAGTTTAGGCCCGAAAGACTCCTCTCCCTCCCTTACTGAGGACCAGGTCTGTGGGACCCTTGGGCCCTACCCTAAGCCGACTCCAGCTGCCCTCTGGATAGCCCTGGCCACCTCCCCGTCTCCAGGCACAGCCCAGAAATCAGTTCCGTGAGCCACTCATCCCTCTCAAATATTTCTCAACTGGTGGCCCCTGATCAACTCCTAAACTCTATCTGCATAACTAGGAAACCTTCAGCTCCTGGCCCTCCACCCACCCCAGTACCCCTCCTCACCCCACCAGGTGCCTTCACTGTGTTTTTTTCACTTTGCCCCTGCCAGCGCCTCTGCTGGCCCCATCCACCAGATCATCCAGGTCTTTCTATGGAGTCTTTCCAGGCCCCCTGCCTGCCTCTTGCTGCTCCTCAGTAAGGACATTAGCATTTCTTGAGCACACTTTGACATTCATGGCATGATAATTTATTGAAATATTCATTTGTGTGTGTTATCCTCCTACTTCCACTTCTCCACGCCCCCTCCATTTCAGGCAGGCTTTGTGCCACCTTGCCTGAGGGATTTGATGAAGGCTTCCTGGGAGAAAAATTTAAAACTGTGGAAGAGATAATGGCAGGGAGAGAAGGGGGTGTTGGGGGTGGATTTGTGAAGGAATAAGTGAGTGCCCTGCCCCCTTTTGCCTGGGAGGTGGATGCTCCATAGGTACTAGTACCTGGGATGGCTAAAACCTGGCACAGTGATCCCAGTGCCACCAGGGATTCCAGTGCCCTAAGCATGGCACAAAAGTCACAGAACTGCTGACCTGAGGGAGCTTCAAGGACAGAGCCAGGCAGATGCCTTGGAGGTGATTCGTGTGGCCAAGAGGGCCTGTCATGCTCGGTGCCAGGGCCAGATTAAGATGCTGAGAACCTCTGAGTGCTGGGAGCTTATGGTGTACCACTCCCATATGTAATTCAGAATAGAAATAATACTAAAGAAGGAAGCTGGGCACATTGGCTCACGCCTGTAATCCCTGCACTTTGGGAGGATCATCTGAGGTCAGGAGTTCGAGACCCGCCTGGCCAACATGATGAAACCCCCATCTCTACTAAAAATACAAAAATTAGCTGGGCATGGTGGCAGGCACCTGTAATCCCAGCTACTTGGGAGGCTGAGGCAGGAGAATCGCTTGAACACTGGAGGCAGAGGTTGCAGTGAGCCAAGATCGTGCCACTGCACTCCAGCCTGGGTGACAGAGTGAGACTCTGTCTCAAAAAAACAATAATAAATCAAGAAGGAAATACCTTTTAAAAGAGCAAAGTTCAGATTTGTTAATGTTTTTTCTCTCAGCTTTATTTAAATATAATTTACATAAATAAAATATATTCATTCTAAGTATACAGCCTGCTGAGTTTTGGCAATTGTCTATAGGTGTATACAAACCCTCATCACCATAACCAAGACACAGAGCATTTCCATCATTCAGAAAGCTCCCTCTTACCCCTTTGCTGTTGATCCCCAGCCCAGACCCTGGACCCAGGCAACCACTGATCATCTTGCTTTCATTATAGTTTTGCCTTTTCTAGAATTTCTTATAAAAGGAACCATACTGGACACAGCCCATCATGTCTGGCTTCTTTGACTTAGCAAAGTTATTTTGAAATTCATTCATCTTGTTGCATGTATTAATATTTAATCCTTTTTATTGTTGAGCATGGATTTACCATAATTTAGTTTTGATTGATGGACATTTACACTGTTTCCAGTTGTTAGCTGTTACCAAAAAATGTTGCTATGAACAATTGCATACAAGGTTTTGTATGGACAAATATTTTATCTTGGGAAAATACTTAGGAAACTTTATAAAACACTGCCAAACTCTTCTCCAAAGTGGCTATATCCCTTTGCATTTCCACCAGCAAGGTAGGAAAGTCTCACATCCTCACCAACACTGAGTGTTGTCAATCTTTTTAATTTTTGCCATTCTACTGAGTGTGACATGGTATCTCATTATGGTTTGAATTACATTTCCTTAATGACTAGTGGTGTTGAGTATCTTTGCATGTTTGTTAATCATTCATGAATTTCTTTATAAAATGGCTGTTCAAATCATTTGCCCATTTTTAAATTCATACTGGTATCCAGTTGTTCTAGCACCATTTTATTGTATTATTATTTTATCCCGTGTTGTGCAATTAGAGTATGCTACATCGGGACATAATCCTCACAGGCAAGGTATAGTCCTCAAGGCATCGATAATAGACCTAAGATTCTGAGGATGTTGTAGAAATGAGGCCAGAAAAGCATAATCTAGTTCATGTTGTTCCCCTAGAAAATCCTTCAGGATGTTCTGTGTTGTTCACCTACTAGCTGTTGTATTCCATGAGTTAACAACGGGCAAAAAAGAACATCTGTCCACCAAGAAACAAGAGGCCACATCACTGTAAAACCTCAGTGGGCCCGTTTTACTTTATTCATTAAGGATCTGACTGGATAATCCAAGAAATGCAAATTACAACACCCCTCATCACAGTTTACAGTAATTACTGGTTTAATGTCTCTTTTTCCTGCTGGTCTCTGAGCTTTCAGAGGGGATGGCTAGGACCATGTCTTTATCACCACTGATTAACACAGAGTTGTCTAAAAATACATATTAAATGAGTAATATAATTTTTACCTGGCAGCTTGGCAATGACTGTAAAACACTGACAATTGTCAGTACTGGGAAGGGTGTAGGAAAAAGGGAACTCTTATAAACTGATGGTGGAAGGTGGTATAAATTGATACAACTTTTATGACATTTCTGGAAAGTGATCCAAGACCAAAATCACTAAGTTATTGATTGATGAAACTGAGGCATTCATGTACTTAGCCGTGCTAAAATAACCTAAATTTTTAGTAATAAGGATTTAAACAAATTAGAAAGCCTCTGTATAATGGAATATTCTACAATACTATATTTACATATTCTCCTGTTTTTTGCATAAATAAGCAAACATAATTGTATTCATATACAAATATATATGTTCTCCATACAACAAAGTATTGATAGTAGGTATTCTTGGGCAGTGAGACTTTTTAATTGATTTACTGTATTATCTAAGTATTTTTAAAAGAGTACATATTATTGTTTAAAAGGAAAAATATGTAGCTATTTTCATTTTCAGATGGAAAAAATTCTGTCTAATCAAAGAATATGTTTCTTAAATCATCAACACCCAACTTAAGCTCCTACTTCTTCCGTGACGCTTTCTCTAATTATTTCAAACCATAGAGTTATCTTTATGCTTATAAGAATTAAACCACTCCTCTATAATTTGGCACTTCATATACAGTTGCAGAGTCATTTTGTGAGCTGTGCCCTATCTCCTTGGCCACACCATACAAGCTCACGCAGGTTGACTGTTAGAACCTGCTGTCACAGAACTTGGTGCAATGCTGACCACACACTGATGACCCACACGAACTTGCCGATTAATTTCCTGGTATGTTAGAATGGCCTCTGATTGCATACCCACTGTGGGCAGACTCTGCTATGCACTTTACATACACGACCACTGATCCTCATCCATCACACAAGGGCAGCATGAGTATCCCCTCACACAGATGGCAAAACTGAGCCTCACAAAGCTTAAGGGACTCACTCTTACTTACACATCTGTTAATTGGCAGAGGTGGGGTGGGATTTGAACCAAGCTTATAAGGCAGCAAGGCCCATGCTTCTGAGAGTCTGAGAGTATCCAGCATACGTTCTTTTTTTTTTTTTTTTATACAGGGTCTCACTCTGTTTCCCACGCTGAATGCAGTGATGCAAACACGGCTCACTGTAGCCTCAAACTCCAAGTCTCAAGCTCCTCCTGCCTCACCCTCGTGAGGAGCCGAGACTACAGGTACACGCCACTACACACGGCTAATTTTTTTATTATTTTTTGTACAGATGGGGGTCTCACTATGTTGCCCAGGCTGGTCTGGAACTCCTGGGCTCAAACGATCCTCCTGCCTTGGCCTCCCAAAGTGCTTGTATTATAGGTGTGAACCACCACAGCACTTGGCCTCATATTTGTATGTTCTACCCATGTCTAGCAAGCACCATCTCCAGGCTTCTTGTCAAGATCAACCTTTAAAGGAGCTTGGGAGAAGCCTGGGGCTGCAGGATAGGAAACAGGCAATTAAAGGAGAGCTTTTCCCCCAGGCAGATAGGTCCTCCCTTCTCACTCACAGACTTGCTCACTTCCAGGGACTTTCCGCAGGGCAAATCTCATGACTTTTAAAGCCCCCTGTCCTCCCCTTCTCTTTCCCTAAAAATAGTTGTTTAGAAATAAGGATAAAATGAGTCTCTGTAAATAATTGGTGCAAACAATTCTCACCTTTGTCTTTTTTTTTTTTTTTTTTTGCCCTAAAGTGCAGTGAAAAAGCATGTCTCTCAGAGTTGTTTCTGGACCTCTCTCTAAAGATGAAAGGGCTCTCTATAAACCTGCTCACCCAAAGGACTGGGAGGTAGCAGGGAATCCAAGAACAGGAATTATCTAAGTATTCAGAGAGTTTTTGGCCTAAAACAATCCCTTGCATTATGCGGGCAGCCTGAGAAATATTTGTTAAATATTTGTTCATAAATGTAAAACTTTCGTATGTCAAAGGAAAAGGAGCAAAGTTAAACAGCACATAAAAAATGTGGTGAAAATATTCATTGAAAAATGAAAGATAGGCCAGGCACTGTGGCTCACGCCTGCAATCCCAGCACTTCAGGAGGCCAAGGCGGGTGGATCACCTGAGGTCAAGAATTCGAGACCAGCATGACCAACATGGTGAAAACTACAAAATTAGCTGGGCATGGTGGTGGGCACCTGTAATTCCAGCTACTTGGGAGGCTGAGGCAGGAGAATCGCTTGAACCTGGGAGGCGGAGGTTGCGGTGAGCCGAGATCGCACCGCTGCACTCCAGGCTGGACAACGAAGTGAGACTCCATCTCAAAAAAAAAAAAGAAAAAGAAAAAGAAAAATGAAAGATAAAAGGTTAAACGTCTTTGTGATATGCTCACACATCTCCCATTAGAAGTGGGAGCTAAACATTGGGTACACAAGGACACAAAGATGGGAACAGTAGACACTGGGGGTTCCACAAGGTGGGGAAGGGGATGGGGGACAGAAGGGTCGAAAAACTACCTATTGGCTACTATATTCACTACTTGGGCGACAGGATCATTAGAGGCCCAAACCTCAGCATCACGTAATATACTCATGTAACAAACCTGCACAGGTACTCCATGAATCTAAAATAAAAGGAAGAAAAACTTCTTTGTGATATATAAAGATCTCATACAGACAACTAGTTAACCCCACAAAGATCCCAATAGACACATGAACAAAAACAATTGACAAGATTTTTCACACACACACACACACACACACACACACACACACACACACGAAATATACCAGATAGTAAAATATAAGGAAGCATCTAATCTGGCTTGGTTCTGTGTCCCCACCCAAATCTCATCCTGAATTGTACTCCCATAATTCCCACATGTTGTGGGAGATAATTTGAATCATGGAGGCGGTTTCCCCCATATTATTTTTGCGGTAGTGAATAAGTCCCACGAGATCTGATGACATCTCATCAGGGGTTTCCGCTTTTGCTTCTTCCTCATTTTTCTCTTGCTGCTGCCATGTAAGGAGTGCCTTGCACCTCCTGTCATGATTCTGAGGCCTCCCCAGCCATGTGCAATTGTAAGTCCAATAAAGCCTCTTTTTCTTCCCAGTCTTGGGTATGTCTTTATCAGCAGTATGAAAACAGACTAATACAGCATCCAACCTCAATAATTAAAAAGAGGCAAACCAAAACAATAAGACACCATTTTAGTTTATCAAATTAGCAAAGATGTGTGTTAGACAATACAATTCCCTTGAGGCTGGAAAGGGTGGAATGCAAAGGAGCCACCCAGGTGTTGCTGGTAGAAGCAACTGGAACAACCTCTTTGAAGTATACTTTGGAATTCTTTTATCCCAGCCATGGGATGGAGTTACCACACTGTGATTACGGGGAGAGTGGGCTTTGGAGTCAGACAGGCCTGAATTTGCCTGTGGCCAGTCACCTGGCATATTTAAGCCTCAGGTTCCTCATCTGTAAAATGGGAATCATGATACATATTTTCAGGATGTTGTGAAGACTACACAAACCTAAGTCAGAGCACTCAGAGGCACCTACAGCATGGGCTGGGACAGGAGCTGGTGGTGCAAAGAAGCAGAGCTGGTAGAGAACCCACTTTTGGGATGGCCACAGCAAATCCAATGGCTGTGGCCGTGGTGGCCTCAGTGGACCAACCGTGTGCTGTGATCTTGGCTATTGCTGACCTCCCTTCCTTCCTGCTGATTTTCAAGCCATTTCCCAGCCTTTTTAGCGTTTCTCTGTGTTACCCACAACACTTTCAATAAATTCCTTTTTTGCCTAAATCATGCTCTCCGTTGCTTGCAGCTAAGAGCCCTGAAGATACAGATCACAAGGTATGGGCAGAGAGGCAGAACCTATAGCTGGGCCACCAATGTCTAAGGAGATTGATATTTTCCCTTTTGTGGCCCCTTGCTACTAGGCAGTAAGCTAAAATGGATCCCAAAGACCAGTCATCGTAAGTGTCATTCTATTTTCTAAATACCTTTGTTTTTCTAAATGCATTTGTGACCCAGCCTGCCCAAATCTTATGGGGGTTGAACTCAGAGGTGGGTTCGCAGTCAGGAGGCCTAGGCTCAAATCTCAACGTGCCTCTAACTAGCTGTGGGAGTGTTACGGACTGAAAATCATATGCTGAAGCCCTAACCTGCAATGTGTCTGTATTTGGAGAGAAGGCCTTTAAGGAGGTAATTGAGGTTAGGTGAGGTCATGAGGCTGGGGCCCTAATCCAATTGGATTGGCATCCTTGCAAGAAGAGAAAGGGACACTAGATAGCTCACTCTTTGTGCCTGCCCAGAGGAACGGCCATGCGAGGATACAGTAAGAAGGCAGCCGTCTACAGACCTCACCAGAAACCAACCCTGCTGGCACCTTGACCTTGGACTTCTAGTTTCCAGAGCATGATGAGAATAAATGTCTGTTGTTGGAGCCACCCAGTCTATGGCATTTGATCTGTCGCCGAGGCTGGAGTGCAATGGCCCGATCTCGGCTCACTGCAACCTCTGCCTCCAGGGTTTAAGTGATTCTCCTGCCTCAGCCGGCTGAGTAGCTGGGATTACAGGTGTGTGCCACCCCACCTGGCTAATTTTTGTATCTTTTGTAGAGACCGGGTTTCACCATGTTGGCAAGCCTGGACAAAGTGATTTACCCAAAGTCACTGAATCAATCTGTTCAGGCTGCTGCTATAAAACGCCAACAATCGAAATGTAATCTCTCATGGCTCTGGTGGCCAGAAGTCTGAAATTGAGATGTTGGCAGGGCTGTGTACTCCCTCTGAACTTTCTAGGGGAGAGTCTTTCTTTGCCTCTTCCAGCTTCTGGCGGCAACCAGTGTTCCCTGGCTTGTCCCCATATCACTCCAGTCTCTGCCTCGGTCTTCACATGGCCTTCTATGTGTCTGTGCTGTCTCCTTTTCTGTATCTTATAAAGGCTTATTATTTGTTATTTGATTTAGGGCCCACTAAGATAATCCAGAACCATCTCTTTACATTAATTACATCTGCAAAGATGCTTTTCCCAAGTAAGGTCACATGTACAGGTCAGGATGTAGACATATCTTTTTGGTGGCCACCATTCAACTGACTGTAGACAGTGATAGTGATATATTTACTGGGGCAGCCCCTGCAGTTCTTGTTTCCAGTTGCATAGGCACATACCTGCTTCTCTGACCCTCCTGGAATTTCTGTAAGCTACCTTTAAAACATTCATGTTCTTAAGTTAGCAGAGTACTTGCCTCTAAGCAAGAACTCTGACTGATACATACTTGACTTTCCAAGTCTCACTTTTCCACCTGGAAAATGCAAGGATCGAACCAAGTAACTTTTAACATCCCTTCCTATTCTGGTTGATTCTAGAATTGTCAGTTGAGCTTGGTTCATGGAGAAGTGACAGATCAATGCCATCAATATTAGGAACTCAAATGAAGAGTCTTTAAAATGTGATCTCCATAAGGAGGCTCTGGGGAGCTGTCTCTTGCCCTTCGGAGTGATGTTTCTCAAAAAACAGCAGGTCAAGTGATGAGTTCTGGTAAATAGCAATAACCTTGGAATGCAAATCTTACTCTGTGGTGTCAGATTTTTAATATTCAATATGTTAGATAATCTCTTCATGATAATGATAAAGCTAGGCTCTGAAAATGAAATTGAGAATGCTGATCAGCAAGGGGAGAGCAACAAGAACTAATTGCACACAGCAGGGTGTGAATTTTCAGAGCCATAGAAACAGGAGTGACTACGCTCCCAAGAAAGCTCGAAGCAGCATGCTTCAGAGAGCACACAGCGCTTAGGGTCAGAGTTCTTATCCCAGCCTGGCCACCAGCCGACATGTGTCCTGCAGCCAGTCACTCCCTTTCCCTGGGTCTCCATAGCTGCATGAGATGAAGCGTGAGGAAGCAGTATACTGATGTACAAGGGTTAGGATTTGTTAAGTGAAAAGAACTGAAGTAGTAACTCTCAGCAGGAACATCCTCTGGGGGAAAGGGACTCAAATTTTCTCCCCGGTTTTAATTGTAAGATCAATGGCATTTGGGTACTAACATGCCTTCTCTTGGGTGGTACTGGATGGTGCTCCATAGTGTTGAACTTCCACAAAATCAATAATCAGATAATCCAATTTAGGTGACTCCTAACCACATAACACTATTAGTCAGAAACATCTGGGTTCAGAACTTCAACTCCAACTAGCTTAAACAAAAAGAGACTTGGTTGGCTCCTGTCATTGGGATCTTTAAGCTGTCTTTAGACATGACCTGATTCAGGTTTCTAGCTGTGTCTTAAGGAGAATGCCTCTCTTTCCAGTCCTTGGCTCAGCTTTCTTTTGTGTTGTCTTCATTCTCAAGTGGCTGCCCGCCTGTTCCAGACTTCTCTCCAGCTCAGTATCCACTGTAGAAAGGACATACCCCCTTCCTAACAGCTCCAGCAAGAGTCTAGAGCTGCCTTCTGAAGGGTCTTGCTCACGACCCTGACCAGCCACCGTGACCAGAGAATGTAGCATGCTTGTTGCCCAGGCCTGGAGGCTATGTTCTGCCCTGGAGCCAGTAGTGGGGTCAGCCCCACTCACATCACCAGACCAAGAATGGGGCCAGGTAGTTTCTCCAAGAGGCAACTACCTGGAGAGGCCGAGATGAATTCTATTGTAGTTAATAAGAGAGGACACTGCATGTGTTAGTTTGCTATTGCTGCTGTAACAAATTACCACAAACTTAGTGACTTCAAACAACACAAATGTGTCATTTTACAGTTCTGGAGTTCCAAAGTACAAAACCAGTCTCAGTGGGCCAAAATCAAGGTGTCAGCAAGGCTGCCTCTCCTCCAGAGGCTGTGGGGAAAAGGTCTGTTTCCTAGTCTTTTTATAGCTTCTGGAGGTCTGTCACTTGCATCGCTTGCCTCATGGCCCCATCCTCCATCTTCAAAGCCACTGTATAGCCTCTCTCTTCCTCTCTCTCTTCCCCTCTCTCTTCCCCTCTCTCTTCCCCTCTCTCTCTTCCTCTCTTCTCTTCTTCTCTTGTCCTCTTCTCTTCTCCTCCTCTCCTCCTCACTTCCTCTCTTCCTCTCTTCCTCTCTCTCTCTCTCTCTCTCTCTCTCTCCCCTCCACCCCACCTCCTGCTTCCCTCTTACAAGAATGCTTGTAATTACATCAGGTCTACCCAGATAATCCAGGATAATCTTTCCATTTCAAAATCCTTAATTGGGTCACATCTGCAAAGTCTCTTCTGCCATTCAAGGTAACATAATCACAGGTTCCATGGATTAGGACAGGAATATATTTGGGAGGCCATTTTTGTGGATGGGAAAGAACAGATATTCCTTACAGAATCTGCACCTGCCCATAGATTATAAGAGACAATAAAGATCTAATGCTAGCAACAAATAATATGTAGCAAGAAGTTTAGTAGAGTCAAGTGTGAAGATATAAATTCAAGTCTAAACTCCACCATTAACTAGCCCTCTTTGACTCAGTAGTTTTGTCTGTATAATGGACATGTCTACCTCAATCTCTGAGTTATCATGACCAAAAGGTCATGAAAACACGTTTACAAATGCAAACTATCATTTCTAGAATGAAAATCATGGAATGAAACTGGGGGATATGAAATTTCACTCACCTTTGCAGTCATTCACACCAACCCTAATCTATGAGGCTTCTTTCTCCAGAGTAAGGAAGGCTCCATCTAGAGCAAAAAGGTCATTCATCAGATTTGGATATTAAAGTAGCATGAGGCTGTGCACAGTGGCTCATACCTGTAATCCCAGCACTTTGGGAGGCCGAGGCAGGTGGATCAACTGAGGTCAGGAGTTTGAGCCCAGCTTGGCCAACATAGTGAAACCCTGTGTCTACTAAAAATACAAAAAAAATAAAAAAAATTTAGCTGGGCGTGGTGGTGCACGCCTATGATCCCAGCTACTCGGGAGGCTGAGGCAGGAGAATCGCCTGAACCCTGGAGGCAGAGGTTGTGGTGAGCTCAGATCATGCCACTGCACTCCAACGTGGGTGACAGAGCAAGACTCTGTCTCCAAAAAAAAAAAAAAAAGTAGCATAAAAAGCCAGAATTTGCCAAGAGATAAAAGGATTTTCTATACTCTCCAAGGTCCTGTTATGTGGCCATTAGGTCATATAATGTGTTAACACATTAACAACAGCTAAAACTGGCTGCCCAGGTGCCAGTTTTACTGCAGATATGATGTGGTTTTAGAGACATGGGAAGCCATGTATTCCCACCTCAGTGTTCTATGGGCAGGAGAAAAGACAAAGAGGCAGAGTGAGCAGTTCAAATGCCAGCGTTCTTGTTCCCTCTTCCCATCCGCCACTTTGGGACAAACACAGATGGATAATAGGACCCAAGGGGCACTTAGGTTACTAGACAGTGAGGAGGTCATGCTAGACTTCCCCATGTGTACCAGTGGAGGGGAGAGCATGGCAAAGAAGTCCCCATGTGGTCACATCCAGCCCAGGGTGGCAGCATTGGTGGAGGGAAGTGCCTGTCTGGCTAGATGGCCTGCCACAACCCTCCTGGCTTTCCATGGCCTGCCCAGGATGTACAGGGCTTCAGAGAGCAAATGGTCTCCAGCAGGACCTAGAACCTACTGTGACTCAATGGCCTCCAGTCCAGGGATGAGGGAGATACATGTGGCTCTGAGGCCTCTGGCAGAAAAGAGTTAACATAGTCAGTTTGAGACTGCTTGCAAGGTTGGCCCTTGGCTGGCATCTACATTGGATTTGGGGTGGGTTCCCAGCACTCCCAGAAAGGACAGGAGCAGTTCGCTGCGCCTGAACTCTTTGTACAAAAATGTGGTTTATGCTGAACACCTGCCTTCCTTCTGGAAGCCCGGACTTTTGGTACATCCTAGGCCACAGATGCTTATGTGACTGACCCTCAGTAAAATCCTTGGACTGACTCCTAGGCTTAGTGGCACTTCCCTGGTAGACAGCATTCCACATAGGTTGTCACAATTCTTTCTAAATAAACTAAGTATACCCTGTGTGACTTCTTGGAATTTTGCATCTTGTCTCCTCCAGCTTTGCCCCATGTGTCTCCTTCTTTCACTCATTTTATTTTGCACCTGTTCACTATAATAAATCATAGCCATGACTGTGACTATATGCTGAGTCCCATGAGTCCTCCTAGCAAGTCTTTGGAGCTGAGGGTGGTTGTGGGGATCCCCGACTCAGGCCTTTCTTCCCCTGCCTCCAAGATGTCCCTTGAGTTCTCTTCTATACACCCAGCTGACTCTTGCAGAGAAGCAGGAGTGGCATGGAATCTGAACCACTGAGTGTGCAGCTGACAGGCACGTCCCTTCCAGAGGTTGTGTATATTACTTATTGGACTAAATGTTGATTTCTCTCCTTCTTACCATTCACTACATTTTTGGATACTTCTAGGTGTAATGTGAACAAACACTCAAGCCCTGTGTCATTGTTATTGTAAAATGTCACTTTCTCACTATTCCCATGTGTCCACCTCTACCCTCCCCACTCAGCAGGTGACAGGGCAATCTGTTCACGAAAGAATTGGTCTCCCCCTCATCAGGCCAGTTCCTGGGACTCTCCAGCACCAAGTCCAGGGCAATCTGTTCACGAAAGAATTGGTCTCCCCCTCATCAGGCCAGTTCCTGGGACTCTCCAGCACCAAGTCCATGCTCAGATCCATCTCCTCTGAACACTGACCCTATCTCTTCCATTTATATATACATATATATATATATATATATATATATATATATATATATATATATATATATGAAATAGAGAAATCCTTTTCTCTCTTGGTAAATTCTGGCTTTTCATGCTACTTCAATACCCAAATCTGATGAATGACCTTTTTGCTCTAGATGGAGCCTTTCTCTCTCTGGAGAGAGAAGCCTCACAGCCTAGGGTTGGTGTGGATGACTGCATATATATGGAAGAGATAGGGCCAGTGTGTGTTTTTTAGATATTTTAACATATACATTTAACATATATGTATACACATGCATCTTATATATACATATATACGTCTCATATATATAATCTCATATATATACATCTCATATATACACATCTCATACACACACACACACACGTTTGGTGGCCTGTTTTCTTATCTGTCAGATGAGAGTGGGAATTATAAAATACCTAAATTGTTGACCATTGCACATGAAAATTGCATAGTTATGTGTGAGTGTATGTCTCAGCACAGACAAATAACATCCTAAGCACACATTACATTCCTCAGTAGACTTAGGAACTTTTTATTAAGCTTTCTTTTTTATTCATTATCCTTAATACAATCCACAAATCCTCATAAAGAAATTATATTTATATATAGATCCGTAAAAAAAATTCCCAGTTTTGGCTTGACCATGGAGAATAAGGTGTTTGTCCATTTGTGTCTAGGTGGGTCAAATGTAAATAACTTCAGCACTAAAAGTTTAACCAGTGAGAAAATATTCCCTGAAATCCAGGGGCCATTCCATAAATTGATGCCTGTGAAACACTGGCCTAGTAGATCTGAGAAGCACCTGCCAGGGCTAATAGACCAGGATTTTTCAGATGGAGTTCACTCCAGGCAGGTGTCAGGATCAGAAAGCTCTTTTTTGATGCTGCAGTTTCATGTTTCTTAGATCGTATTGTTAGTGGTGAAAATTATCCAACTCACATGGTACCAAAATATGTTATCGGCAGCAAATTTGTAGGGGTCTGCAGCAACCTCAATTTTTGCCTCCTCAGAAGAAAGAATTCGACTAAGGGGCAGAAGGCAGAAGGAGAGACTGGGGCAAGCTGTAGAGCAGGAATGAAAGTTGATTAAAAAGCTTTACCGCAGAAACAAAAGGCAGGAAAATACATTTGGAAGAGGGCCAAGCGGGCAACGTGAAAGGCAAGTGCACGGTTTGACCTTTGACTTGGGGTTTTATATGTTGGCATACTTCCAGGGTCTTGCGTTCCTTCTCCCGATTCTTCCCTCGGGGTGGGCTGCTGGCGCTTGAGAGGGGAGCGTGCGCAGTGTGTTTACTAGAGTTGTACCCATGCTCACTTACAGTGTTACTCCTTTACCAGTCCAATGTCCCTAGGAGGTCATGTGCCAGTTAAACTCCGCCATTTTCCCCCTTAGTGCTCATGTGTGAGCCCAGTCTCCCAACTCCTGAGATCTTATCGGGTAGCTACTGATAATCAGTTTCAGGTTTTTCTTTTCTATAGGGAGACTGCCTTTTTCTGGGGCTGGCTGCAACCAATTATTATTTTAGAGAGACAGTTAACCACCTGACCATCACCTGATGGCCACCTGACATTCCTGCTTGGGTTGGAGCGGGGCCTCTCCTGCCCTGCTCATGTCTGACTAGCTACTCACTGGAACAGGGAGACACATACACACACACAAAGTGGAAGATGTTTTCAGAGAGTTACTCTGGAGTACTTTGAGGAAAATGAAATGGGGTTATGTGATCGAAGCTGGCTGGTGCAGAAACACTGCCTTAGAAAGGGTGGTCAAGGGAAGGCCCAGTAAGGATCTGACATTTGGGCCAAAACTGGAATAATGAGAAGTCAGCCATGTGCAAATCTGGAGGGTGCATCTCAGGGGCAGAGAGTGGCAGCACAAAGGCTCTAAGGCAGGGATAAGCCTGGTGTATTCAAAGGACATTAGAAGAGGCCAGAATGGCTACATTGTGTTGAACATGGTCGAGGAGGTGGGGTCAAATAGCAGGCAGGGGCCCAGTAGCCTAGAGTTTACAACCCAGATACGGCAGGAACTTTTGGCCATTCCTACTAACCCCAATATCTGGTCTATTCTTTCATAGCAATAAAACTTCCAAGTTTTAGCTAAGCACATGACTTCCTACAATAAAAACTACATCTCCCAGCCTCTCTTATAGTTAGGTGATGTAGTCATGTGACTAAGTTCTGCCAGTGAAGTCTTAGCAAAATTACCTTGCTTAAAAGATAGCTAGTATATGCTCTCTGCCCCTTCTTTTCCATGCCTCCTTCCTACAGGGGTCCTGCCACTTGGACCCATGATGCAATGACTGGTGCTTTTGCTGTCGTATTGTGTCATGAAGAGGTAGATCACATCCAGGGATGGTGGAACAATGACCTGAAAGGTGCCTGCATCCCCGAGGAGTTCATGGAGTTTAGATACACTAGGAAGTCTGGACTACCTACCTCCCTCTCTACCAGAGGAAGAAATAAGCAAAGTAGATTTCTATTTTTTTAAGTCACAGTTATTTTGGGTCTCTGTTACCCTCAATTAAACAATAGCTGCCTTTGCTATTGATAGCCACAATAAAGAATATGGGTGCCACCTAAGTTTTTGGCTTGAGCAATTGAATAGGTGTTGCCATTTAAGGAAGTGGTAAAGACTAAGGGGAAAAAAACCAAAAACAAGATTTGGGTGAAAATCAAGAGTTATCTTTTGGTTATGCTGGAGCTGAGATGCTATTATACATCCAAGAGGATCTATAGACAGGCAGGCAGCTGAATATTTGAGTTTGAAGCTTGGGAGTGGGGAGGAGGCAGAGCTGAAGGCATAAGTTTTGAAGCCACTGTAGGTTGAGATGTCTCAAGAGTCATCAGCAGCACCATGTCCTCCAAGGGGGGGATGACCTTGCCTTGGCTGTGAAAGGTAAGCTTCATGTTATACCACAAATTCTTGGAAAAAAATGGAATTTTGGTAAATCAAATTTCATTATACCTATACTGGACAAACTTGCTATTTCAAAACATCCTTTCATTAATTATTTCAAGAAGTCTAAGTTTTCTTTCTGCCACTTCTTCTTTTACTTGTTTAGTTTGTCCAAATTTTGGTATTTGGGTCTTTTTTTTTCCAAGCATTCTTGCATTTTCTTTCCTGTAAATGAAAGTGTCAAAAAGATATTTATACTGTTACAGTAGGTAGCTAGTCAGACATGAACAGGGCAGGAAAGGCCCCCCACCCACCACCAGGAATGTCAGGGGACCATCAGGTGATGGTCAGGTGGTTCTTAACTGTCTCTCTAAAATAATAATTGGTCCAGCCAGTGCCAGGGAAACGCAGTCGTCCTATCAAAGGGAAAAACCTGAAACTGGTGATCAGTAGCTTCCTGGTAAGATCTTAGCAGTTGGGTGAGTGGGCTCACACATGTGCCCTAAGAGGTAAAGTGGTGGAGTTTAACTGGAATATGACCTCCTAAGGGACATTGGGCTGGTAAGGGAAGAACGTCTCGAGTGAGCATGGGTACAACTCCAGTAAACACACTGCGCATGCTCCACTCCCAAGCACTGGCAGCCACTGCTCATGCGGACAGGACAGCCCATCCCAAGGGGAGAATCAGGAAAGAAGAGACGTAAGACCCCAGAAGCATGCCCACATATAAAACCCCAAGTCGAAAGGTCAAACTTGTCTTTTAAGTCACCCACTTAATCCTCTTCCAAGTATACTTTCCTTCCTTTTGTTTCTGCAGTGAAGCTTTTTTTTTTTTTTTTTTTTTTTTTTTTTTTTTTTTTTTTTGAGACAGAGTCTCACTCTGTCGCCCAGGCTGGAGTGCACGGGCATGATCTCGGCTCACTGCAACCTCTGCCTCCCGGGTTCAAGCGATTCTCCTGCCTCTCAGCCTCCCAAGTGGCTGGGATTACAGGTGCATGCCACCACGCCCAGCTAATTTTTGTATTTTTGGTAGAGACAGGGTTTCACCATTTTGGCCAGGCTGGTCTTGAACTCCTGACCTCAGGTGATCCGCCTGCCTCAGCCTTCCAAAGTGCTGGGATTGCAGGTGTGAGCAACCGCGCCCGGCCAGCAAAGCTTTTCAATAAACTTTCACTCCTGCTCTAAAACTTGCCTCAGTCTCTCCTTTTACTGTCTGCCCCTTGGTCAAATTCTTTCTTCTAAAGAGGCAAGAACTGAGGTTGCTGCAGACCCCTACAGATTCGCCTCTGGTAACATCCCAACTCAAGAACATAAGCTTCATCAGGCCAGGGACCTCAGCTGTTTTGTTTAGAGTTAATTCTCCACACTGGCATAGAGTTGGTACTCCATAAATACTTGTTAAATAAATGAATGAGCTTATCAATTAGTTTTTCTCATCAACACATTTGAAATTGAATTTATCAATTTGTTTTATCATTAGTATTCCTGAGCTTCCCACGGAGATGCTACTGCTGTCTTTGGACAATTTCTTTGCTGCTGAGATAAGGAAAGGACTCATTTTCCCTGAGGCCTCATCAGGAGAGGAGGGAGAAGACTTCAAAGGAAGCTCCGACTTCACTGCCTGAACTGGCCCTAAAGGAAAGGGGAAGAGAAAGATCAGGAAGGTTTTTGCAGCCTTTTGTGCTACCATGCTGTCTGGAAGTTTCTGAGCTGGGTCTCTGGGTGGCGGCTGCAGCTCCTGGGCAAGGTGGGCTGTAGCAGTCAAGACCAGTCTCCTTCCTAGTTCTACCACTTACTGGCTGTGTCAGTGTAGCATTAGGCAAGTCCCTTAAACACTCAGTGCCTCAGTTTCCACATTTGTAAGTTGACACAAATAGTGACAGCTCCTTCATCACAGGCTGTTGTGTTGATTAAATTAGTTAAAATATGTAAAGTGCCTTTTAAGCTGAATATATAATAAGCTTTCAGTCAATGAAATCGTTATTCTTAGACGCCAGGCACTTCGAGTATACTTTCTCTAAGTCTCCCAGATAACCTTGAAAAGGTAGCCATTTAACTGACAAAATAGAGGCTTGGAGAGAGCAAGTTTTTTGGCCCGAAGAACTCCAGGGCTCCTTATACCTAATCACCCCCGTAATGTGGCTGAACCCCCTGAAAACCACCTGGAATAAGTTCTGGTTTCAGGGGCAGGACTACCGTCTTGATGTGCTAACTCAGCAGGTATGACCTGAGTGGCCATCACACTGGCTTATTTGGCTAAAACAAAAGTTCTTAACTTGTACTAAGACTTTACCCTGAGCTTAACCCTGGGATAGGCACTGCAGATGCCAAAGGTGCAGGAAATCAGCCCTTGCCCTGAGGAAGCTCACAGATCACGGGGGAGACAGGTGTGCAGACCAAGCCCCCAACATTTCAGTAAACAGTGGCCAGTGCTCTGCCAGGGGCCATGTAAGGCTTCCTAGAGGAAAGGAAAGGATGTCAGACTTCAGTCTAGAAGGATGAGCAGAAAATAAAGAAGCAAAAATGTGGGTGGGAGTAAGGAAGAAGAAGGATGGATCTGGGAAGAAAGAGCTTCCCAAAGAAAGGGAACTGAAGGGACAAAGGTACAAACGTGTGGAGCAGGGATCTTTGTGTCGGTCACTGCTAAATCTCCTAGAATGATGGCACATAGCAGGTGACCAATAAACGCTTGCTGATTGAATAGGAAACCAAGGGAAATTAGGCATTATTGTTTGCAGAGACAAATGAGACTCAGAAAGGCTAGTTTTCCCAAGGTTCACAGAGCTGGTAAGTAGAGTATCCAGGACATGAATCCAGCACTTTTGACTGTGAGCTGCACACAGACATAAAATAATAGTAAAATGGTAAAAAGTGGAGCTACCCAAACCAGGAGGAAAAAAAAAAATCCTCTGTCAACTCCAGAATGGATAAATAAAATGTGGTGCAGTCCAGGCACAGTGGCTCAAGCCTGTAATCCCAGCACTTTGTGAGGCCGAGGCAGGTAGATTACTTGAGCACAGGAGTTTGAGACCAGCCTGGGTTACATGGAGAAATCACATCTCTAAAAAAAAAAAAAAAAGAAAGAAAGAAAGAAAAAAAAAATTAGCCAGGTGTGGTGGTGCATGCCTGTAGTCCCAGCCACTCAGGAGGCTGATGTGGGAGGATTGATAGAACCTGGGAGGCGAAGGCTGCAGTGACCCTGGGCAACACAGTGAGACCCTGTCTCCAAAAAAAAAAAAAGGGTGGTATAGTCACACAATGGAATACTATACAGGAAAGAAAATGAAGGAAAAACTGTCACAGGCAACCACAAGAATGAATCTCACAAGCACCATGTGGAGGAAAGAAGCAGCCACAAAAAATTACACAGGCTATGGTTCAAGCATGTGAAGTTTATAAGCAGGCAAATCTTTTTTTTTTTTTTTTTTTAGATAGAGTCTTGCTCTGTTGCCCAGGCTGGAGTGCAGTGACCTGATCTTGGCTCACTGCAACCTCTCCCTCCCAGGTTCAAGCAATTCTCCTGCCCAACCTCCCAAGTAGCTGGGATTACAGGCATGCGCCACCATGCCTGGTTAATTTTTGTATTTTTAGTAGAGATGGGATTTCACCATGTTGGCCAGGCTGGTCTCGAACTCCTGACCTCAAGTGATCTACTTGTCTCAGCCTCCCAAAGTGCTGGGATTACAGGCCTGAGCCACTGTGCCCGGCCATAAACAGGCAAATCTAACCCATGATGTACCAAGTCAGCAATTACCTTTGGGAAGGAGGAGGGGGTTAGAGGTTGTGCAGGATCCCAGGGTGGCTTCCAGGGAGCTGAGCAGGCTCACCTGGTCACACAGGTGTGCTCCCCTGTGATAACTCATTGAGGGGCACACTTACGGTTCGTGCATTTTTCTCTATGTTATATTTCTGTTTAAAAGTTTTATATTTTAAGTGGGGATGTCTATACTTTGCTTTAAAATTGGTTTCAGGATCAGTATTCCAGAAGATGTCTGTGATCACCCAGGTTGAAATTTAAATGAGCGAATGCCCCAAAAGCACTTAGCATGATGTCTGGAATGGTGGACTCTCCTCCATAAACACTAACAGTTGTTATTATTACTATTATTATGTCTTTCACTTTCCAAACGGGAGCGGATAATTTTTTAAAGCACGCCGCAACACAGGTGCACCTCAAGCACCAGGAGTCCACCTTAAACAGGGGCAGTAGAAAAATAAGGGCAAAATCCCCCACCGCTGGGCCCATCCAGCACCAAAGCTAATGCAGTTTGCCCGCATGGCCATATGCCATGGGAGGGCCAAGCTGCCTGCCAAGCTCCAGCGCGGCCCAGATCCTTTCCCAGGTCCATCTGTCTTTCTTTGCCCTTTTTTTCCATTACCCTGCACAGGATACCTTTTCATAACATGAGGCTCCTGGACTCAGACTGACCACAGGCGCTTGTGTTTTTAGGGAAGGAAGGCGGAGCAGCTGCTTGGAGCTGCTGGCCACAGTTGTGGGGAACACATTGTCCTATAGCTCACCGACTCCCTTCTCAGTTCCCTTGTCATTTGGTGCAATCCCCCCAGCCCTTCTCGTCCTCGCCAGGCACCTACACCCCATCCTGGGCTTGTGTCTTCCTGCCAATGACACCCAACCCTGTGTCCTACCCCAGGACTGCTGCCCTGTCCCACCTCCTCCTCATACACTATAGTCATATGTTCATACATGCACACACATGCTCAGTCACACTCATATTCACTTCCACCCCATGCTTACACATACACGTGCTCACACACATTCTCATGCATGCTCACTCTCACTTATCAAGAACAACTCACAACAAAGAAATGTCCCTTGAACACCAGAAAAGCCTTGTGAATCCGGGGCAGAGTTTCTGAAAACACGGTCTGAACATCATCCCATCATTGTCCTATGTCACAGTCATCTGCAGTGGAAAACTTCATATCCTCCTCAGCCAAGCCCTAGACTGACTGAAACAGCATCTGTGGCAGCATAGCCCAGGAATCTGTAGCTTAACAAGTCACGGGTGGTTTTTACAATGAACCTGAGAGCAGGAGAAAAGGCAGGAGGGGGTGACAGGGTGCAGGCACCAAATGCTTCTGAGGTAGGGGTGCAGAGGCGAATGTGAGTCCACACCCCTGAGCCACAGAAGCCCCCAACTCTGCTCTAGGCATAACGGAGATGGGTCTGGCTGGGCTCAGAAGAGTCTGGCTATTGGCTGCAGGACTAGAGAGCGAGGCAGAGGCTCACTTTTTCCTCTTCAGTCGTGGGAACAAAGTGCCCAAAGACCAGAAAAGGGCAGATGTAGCTCTACAATAAGGTTACTTTCATTATCCTGGGAACTTCCGACAGGGGTTGAATATTAGATTGCTCAGTTATCTGTCGCTGGATAACCAACCATTCCAAAATGTAATGGCTAAAATGACAACCATTGTATTACATCTCACAATTCTGTGGGTTGACCAGCTGGCTCATTTCTGCTGCTCTTACCCAAAGTGTTTTGTATGGCTTCAGTGAGGTGGCAGCCAGGGCTGGAACATTCAGCATGGCTTTGCTCATATGTCTGGCACCATGGTGGGGATGGTTGGAAGGCTCTCTCCACGTGCCTTCTCCACACAGCTAACCTGGGCTTGGCTCTCTCCACGTGACCGCTCCACACAGCTAACTTGGGCTTTGCATGGCAGCTGGGTCTCAAGAGTGAGCATTCCACAAGAAGTCCTACTTCCTCACCCCAGATACAAAAGGATACAGTCATGGGTCACTCAATGACAGGGATACATTCTAAGAAGTGTATAGTTAGGCAATTTCATTATTGTATGAACATCATAGAGTGTACTTACACAAACCAAGATGGTCTAGCCTGGGAGCAATAGGCTGTATCACGCAGCCTAGGTGTAGACCTAGGTGTAGACCTAGGCTACGTGATACAGCCTACTACACCTAGGCTATCTGAGACAGTCTACTGCTCCCAGACTACAAAACTGTACAGCACGTGACTACTGAATACAGTAGGCAATTTTAACACAATGGTAAGTATTTGTGTATCTAAACATATCTAAACATAGAAAAGGCACAGGAAAAATACAGTATTAAAATCTTATGGAACCACTGTCATATATATGCAGTCCATCATTGATTGAAATGTCATTATGTGATGCATGACTGTACATATGATTGCATTATATTAAATTCTAGAAAATGCAAACTAATCTATAGTAGCAGAAAGCAGATCAATGACTGGGAACAAGGGTGGGGTGTAGAGAGAAATGGATTATATATACAAGGGCATGAGGAAGCTTTTGGAGGTGATAAGTATGTTCATTATCTTGACTGTGGTGATGGTTTTGCAGATGTACGATTATATCAAAACTCATCAAATTATGCAGTTTATTGTATATCAGTTATACCTCAATAAAGCTTTAATAGAAAAATAATAATATGCAAAACATAGAAAATATATATTGAAAATATGTTTTCTACTGCAAAGAGCTGCCCAAAACAAGTATATATATTTGTTTTGGGCAGCTCTTTGCAGCAGAAAATGTATTCTTGAGTTTCATCATTTATAAGCCTTACAAATACTAAGACGTGTATTGGCAAAATCTGTTGACACATCAACCTAGACAGAGAAGATACTGCTTTTCAGTTTATTGCATGAACCTCTTCAGCATCATGCGACATCCCATCAATACATTGATTGATATTGTATTCCCTGAGAGTGAAACCTTTCCAATCCCTCATACTGCATCTTGTCCTGGCAATTTACTCACTGAAATTTTACAGGCATTATTAGGTTCTCACTACCTGTGTGGCCTTCCCTTTTCTGGCCAATAAGTTCTGCTACTAGATCTTGCTTCCTGTGCCTGAGGGTGGATTTTTAACAAAAGCTTTCCACTCTTTGAGATTCCAATTGCCATTTAAAATAGCCTCTTACCTTACCAATAGCAGTGGCCTGTAGGTCAGTGTGTTTTCAGTCTGCCAGGCCACTGTTGCACTTGTGAGTTGTTTGCCACAGAGACACACGGTGGGGCAGGTGGAGGGGGGGTAGGACCACGTGGATCACCAGCCTGCACAAAGCTCATTGAAGAGTGGCTTTCATCACAAGGAGCAGCTTCTCTGTGTCCTGAAGACTGTCGCCTTAGTCACTTCTGGCTGCTATAACAAAAATACCATAGATTGGGTGGCTTAAACAGCATTTATTCCTCAGAGTTCTTGAGGCTGGAAGTCTGAGATCAGGATGCCAGCATAGATGGTAAGAACTCTTTTCCGAGTTTGCAAATGGCTGCCTTCTTGCTGTATTCGCTTGTAACAGAGGGAGAGAGATTATCTCTCTCAGTGTCCATTTTTATAAGGACACGAATCCCGTTCATGAGGGGTCCACCCTCATGACCTAATCACCTCCCAAAGCCCCCACCTCCAGATACTATTACACTGGGGTTAGGTAGGGCTTCATATGTGAATTTTGGCCAGAGATACAGGCATTCAGTCCATAGAAACTGTAATTCCTCATTGATGACTTCAGTTTCAGGTCCTATGTGTGATTTTCCATCACTGATTTTACCAGGACTGTCTGTAGGTCTAGACCTGGAACTTTCCTCCATCACATCATACATCATCTTCACAACTCACCACTTGACCCTCAAAAGAAATTGTAAACACAAATGTTAATAAAATACAAAATAAAAAGCACAAGAAGTCCGAGTGCCATGGCTCACACCTGTAATCCCAGGAGTTTGGGAGGCCGAGGCGGGTGGAAAGCCTGAGGTTGG